>NC_000016.10:23334970-23638001 GCF_000001405.40 Homo sapiens
AAATTTTTTGGCTCTAACTCTAATCAGTCCACATTTTAAATTTTAATTGCTCTTTTCAATATTTTTTTTCTCTTTCCTGTGGACATGTAAGCTACACGAAGGCAGAGATTCATTGCCTGACTGTTTTGTTCACTGATGAATGTCCAGCACCTAGAACAGTGCAGAGTACACAATGGATGATTAATCAATATTTGCTGACTGAATAGATTAAACATTGATATGCTGCAAAATTCAAAAGGTGCAAAAGGAGTAAATAATTTTTTTATGTCTCCTTTTCTGCCTGTTCCCCCAGCCACTCAGTTCCTTTCTTGAGGGCAACTCATATTACCACTTTCTTGTGTGACCTGGTAGAAGGACTGCACAGATACAAGGAAATACCTCTATGTTGCCTAAGCTGGCCTCATACTTGTGGGCTCAAAGATCCTCCTGCCTCAGCCTCCCAAAGTGCTGGGATTATAGGAGTGAGCCACCGTGCCAGCCTGTATTTTCTTTTTTTTTTTTTTTAGATGGAGTTTCTCTCTGTCGCCCAGGCCGGAGGGCAGGCTTGGCTCACTGCAACCTCCGCATCCCAGGTTCAAGCGATTCTCCTGCCTCAGCCTCCCAATAGCTGGGATTACAGGTGTGTGCCACCATGCCCAGCTAATATTTGTATTTTTAGTAGAGACAGGGTTTTGCCATTTTGGCCAGACTAGTCTTGAACTCCTGACCTCAGGTAATCCACCTGCCTCAGCCTCCCAAAGTGCTGGGATTATAGGTGTGAGCCACTGTGCCCGGCCTCTATTTTTTTTTTTTAACATAAATGCATGTGTGCTTCATATGCTGTTCTACCCTTTCTTTGCTCTCACTTAACTGTATATATTGACAACATTCACTGTCTCTGATCAGCTCAAATAAGACCTGTATCTTAGAGGGCTGTGGAGGAAGCCACTTTCCCTATCGTCTCCATTAGTCATGCTGTGTTTGGCTTTCTGGGAGCACCCCTAGATGTCAGGGAACCACAGCCTTGGGCAAAAGAGGTTCATAGGTGCACACAGAGGATGCGGGCAGCTGCATGGCCCCACTTCAGATTTCCCCAACACCCACCAGAACAGGTGCAAGATGTCAGGTGCCCCGTCTGAGCTAGTAGGTGAGAGGTGGCCGGAAGCCAGGCAATCTGGTTTCTATTTTCAGACCTGCCCTTTGACTCACCATGACTGTGGGTAAGTCCCTCTGAGTCCCTCTGTGCTCTAAATTCGCTGTGTAATGGGCATAATTATGCCCACCCCAACATACTTAAAAGGACGGCATGAAGCCACACCAGGAAATGCCTTGGAAGAGAGCATATGTCCTTGGACCAGTACATGCTTCAGCCCGTGAAAGACAATTAACAGGGCATTTCCCAAAGGGTGGTAAGCAAGACGATTTTTTTTTTTTTTTTTTTGAGACGGAGTCTCGCTCTGTCGCCAGGCTGGAGTGCAGGGGCACGATCTCGGCTCACTGCAGCCTTCCCCTCCCGGGTTCAAGCAATTCTCCTGCCTCAGCCTCCTGAGTAGCTGAGACCACAGATGCGTGCCACCATGCCCAGCTAATTTGTGTATTTTTAGTAGAGACGGGGTTTCACCATGTTGGCCAGGATGGTCTCGATTTCTTGACCTCATGATCTGCCCACCTCGGCCTCCCAAAGTGCTGGGATTACAGACTTGAGCCACCAAGCCTGGCCAAGATGATTTTTTTTTCAATGATTCTCAGAGGAACCTTTTTCTGAATAGTTAAGAAAGTATGTTCATGTGTATTAGGAAAAAATGGCTCAGCACATCAAACCTGTTATTTCACAGGTGTAATATTGCTTTGTATTCATAGTAGTGCCTAGGAGGAAGTTGAGTTTATTTTAGCCAAAAATAAAAAAATGAGATGATGTGGCATTATCTAGTAAGTAAATAATGATACAAGTGCTACACAGATTTAGCAAAAATTGCAAAAGTGGTATACAAATGATCAATGCTAAGGAAAGCATTGAATTAGCAGGTAGTTAGAGGGAAATAACAAAATCAAGCTTATAAATATTTATATGAAATACTCATTTGAAATATTTCTTTTTACTATTTATTTATTAATTTTTTAGACAGTGTCTTGCTGTGTCACCCAGGCTAGGCTTGCAATGATACAATCATAGCTAATTGCAACCTCCAACTCCTGGGCTCAAGCAATCCTCCCACCTCAGCCTCCCCGGTAGCTGAGACCACAGGCACATGCCACCACATTTGGCTAATTTTGTAAGTTTTTTGTAGAGGTGAGGCTTTCAATATGTTACCTGGGCTGGTTTCAAACTCCTGGACTCCAGTGATCCTCCTGCTTCAGTCTCCCAAAGCACTGGGATTACAGGCATGAGCTACCAGGAGTGGCCAGGTTTCTTTCTCTTTCTTTCTTTTTTTTTTTTTTTTGAGATGGAGTTTCACTCTTGTCGTCCAGGCTGGAGTGCAGTGGTATGATCTCGGCTCACTGCAACCTCCACCTCCCTACCAGGTTCAAGCAATTCTCCTGCCTCAGCCTCCCAAGTAGCTGGAATTATAGGCACCTGTCACCATGCCCGGCTAATTTTTGTATTTTTAGTAGAGACAGGGTTTCACCATGTTGACCAGGCTGGTCTCGAATTCCTGACCTCAGGTGATCCACTCACCTCGGCCTCCCAAAGTGCTGTGATTACAGGCTTGAGCCACCGTGCTTGGCCCCAGGTTTCTTCTTATTTAGTGCAAATATATATGACATAGTAAATCAGAGATCAGCAAACTTCTTTAAAGTACCAGATGGTTAATATTTAAACATTTAAAACATATAGGCCAGGCACAGTGGCTCATACCTGTAATCCCAGCACTTTGGGAAGCCAAAGCAGGAGGATCACTTGAACCCAGGAGTTCAAGACCAGCTGGGCAACATGGCAAAACCCCATTTCTACCAAAAAAAAATAATAATAACAAAAATTAGCCGGGTGGCACGCACCTGTAGTCCCAGCTACTTAGGACACTGAGGTGGGAGGATCGCTGGAGTCCAGAAGGTTGAGGCTGCAGTGAGCTGAGATTGTGCCACTGCACTTCAACCTGTATGACAGAGTGAGACTCCGTGTCAAAAAAACCACAACAACAAAAAAGAAAGGCTCATTTAATACATTTCCTGCACCAAAGCTGGTAGCAACCATTTTTCTAAGAAGCCCTGGTTCTTTTAGTCAAAAATGGTATTTAGAGACCAAAATCTTGGTGCTGGGAATGCACATAATATTTGAATTTATAAATAGAAATTGTGTCCAAGGTATGCCCTGGCTTCTCTAGAGATCCTGACAGCTTCCCTAAAACTCTTCTTCACTTTTTCTGGCCTGGACACTAAACCTCAGCTGTGGCTGTTACACCTGGCCAGGTGCTTGAGAATAAAGAGTCAGTCATGTCCTCTGGTTGCCCTTGCAGAGGCAGAAACATGCAAGATTTTTCAATAACCAGAGTCAAATCCACTTTCAGGTTAACCTTCAATTAACTTTAAAAATCCAGCTACCAGAAACCATATTCCCCAGTAATCTTGGATAATTGAGGTTTTGCTGCGAAAATAAGTACAGGGGATTTTAATGAAAGCATCTGACCTGCAATTTACAGGAGTCACAAAGTCAGATGTCCACATGAGCCAGAGCAGCTAATGAAAATGAGTAAAGAGGGCTGGGTATAAGACAGCATGGAATGGGAAGAATTGGGGTGAGCTGGGAACACACTACCCATCCAAGGAGAGCAGCTGCTAGTCAAATCTAGCAGAACATGGTCATGCGGGGACAACCGTCACATCTTTCTGACTTTTCAAAGGATGAAGAAAATCCACGTTTTAAAAAAATGTGAAATCTCATCATTTTGAAATGGCAATGGATTAAAGTCTTTTGTTAGAACTTTATTGAGACATAATTTACATATAATAGAATGCATCCATTTGAAGCATATTGTTTGATGAGTTTTCACAAGTGTATGCATTTAATGAACCACCATCCCATTCAAGATCTAGAATATTCTCATCGTCTCCAAAAGGCTCCCTGTACAACTTTTAGTCAATCCACTACTCACCCAAGGCCCAGATACTTACTGATCTGCTTTCTGTCACAATAGATTAATTCATATTTTCTAGGGGTTCATATAATGGAATTCTATAGTATGTATTCTTACGTGTTTAGCTTTTTACTCGGCTTAATATTTTTTATATACGTCCATGTTTTATGTATCAATAGTTGGTTCCTTTTTATTGTTGAATGGAATCCTATTATGGATATGCCGTAATTTATTTATTTCTTCCCCTGTTGGTGGACGTGTGGATTGCTTCTAGGTGGGGGCTATTATGAATAAGTGAACATATATGTACAAGTCTGTGTGTGAAAGTATGTTTTTCTCCTGGATAAGTAAAAGTGGAATTGCTGGGTCATATGATAACTGTTCATTTAACTTTTTTTTTTTAAATATAGAGACAGGGTCTTACTATGTTACCAAGGCTGGCCTCAAACTCCTGGGCTCAAGCAATCCTCCTGGCTTGGCCTCCCAAAGTGCTGGGATTACAGGCGTGAACCACTGCACCTGGCATCCTTAACTTATTTTTATTATTATTATTATTATTTTGAGATGGAGTCTCACTCTGTCACCCAGGCTGGAGTGCAATGGCACGATCTCGACTCACTGCAACCTCTACCTCCTGGGCTCAAGCGATTCTCCTGTCTCAGCCTCCCAAGTAGCTGGGATTACAGGCGTGTGGCACCACTCCCAGCTAATTTTTTTGTATTTTTAGTAGAGACAGGGTTTCACCATGTTGGCCACGGAGTCTCAAACTCCTGACCTCAAGTGATCCACCCACCTTGACCTCCCAAAGTATTGGGATTACAGGTGTGAGCCACCGCGCCTGGCAACTTTACAAGAAACTATATCAAACTACCTTCCAAAGTGACTGTACCATTTTGCATTCCAACCAGCTGTGTAGGAGAATTCCGGTTGCTACACATCCTCACCAATACTAGATACTATCAGTCCTTCTAATGGGTGTGAAGTGATAGCTCATTGTGGGTGGTTTTGATCTGCATTTCTCCAGTGACTAATGATGGTGAGCATTTTTTTGCATGCTTATGGGCCATTCATATTTCCTCTTTTATGGTGTCTATTCAAATCATTGGCCCATTTTTTGTTGAACTGTTTGTCTTATTATTTAGTTGTAAGAGTTCTTTATATATTCCGCATAGAAATTCTTTGTCAGACATATGTATTCCAAGTATTTTCTCCCAGGAGCTTGCTCTCTCATTTTCTCAACCATGTCTTTTGAAAAGCAGAAGATTTTAATTCTAATAAGGTACAATTTATAAGTTTCTTATGATTCATGATTTTAGTGTCCTATCTGAAGATCTTTGCATATCCTAAGGTTACACAGATTTTCTTCTATGCTTTCTTCTGGGTGTTTTATAGTTTTATTAGGTCTATGAACCATTTGAAGTTAGTTTTTGCATATAGTGTGGGGTAGGAGTTAAGATTCCCTTTTAAAAAAATATGGACAACTACTTGTTTCAGCATTTGTTGTTGAAAAAAATTACACTTTTTTATTTTTTTACGTTTTAATCTTTCTTTTAAATAGAGACAGGTTGTCACTGTGTTGCCCAGGCTGGTCTCAAACTCCTGGGCTCAAGTGATCCCAGTACTTTATTGGCCCAAGGAACTGGAATTACAGGTGTGAGCCACCATGCCTGGCCAAGACTACACTCTCTTCATTGAACTACCTTGGCAAATTTGTAGGTCTATCAGAGCTCCTTAATCCAATGATCGGTAGATCTATCATTACATCAATACCACACTGTCCTGATAAATGCAACTTACAGTAAGTGTTGATATCACATAGAAATGTCTTTCAACTTGTTTTTATTTTTCATAAGTTTTTTAAAATGTTGCTTTGAAGTGTGTGTGTGTGTGTGTGCATGTGTACACATGCATGTGTGTCTGATTTTGTTTTGTTTTTGCTGTTTTAGTTCTTTTGCTTTTCCATACATATTTTAGAATCAGTTTGTCAATTTCTACAAAAATTCTGCTAGGATTTTGGTTGAAATTGAGTAGACTCTAGAGATTACGTGTGAGTTGACTCTAGAGGTTAATTGACATCTTAACAATATTGAGTCTTCTAATCTATGAGCATGGTATAGATCTCCATTTATTTAAGCTTTCTTTTCATTTAAATGCTAAAACATCAGACAAGGTGCCAAGACAATTAAATGGGAGAAAGAATAGTCTGGGTGCTGGGACAAGTGGATAGGTACATGAAAAACAATGAAGTTGGATTCCTATCTCACACTATATATGTAAATTAATTCAAAATGAATCAAAGACTTAAATATAAGAGCTGGAACTATAAAGTCCTTAGAGTAAAGCATAGAAACAGATCTTCAGGACCTTGGATTAGGCAATAGAGTCTTAGATATGAAACCAAAGCACACACGCAAAAAAGAAATATAGAGAAATTTGGCATCATCAAACTTAAAAACTTTTGTTCTTCAAAGGACACCATCAAGAAAGTAAAAAGACAACCCACAGAGAAGGAAAGACAATGTTTGCAAGTCCTGTCTGTTAAGGGACTTGTGTATAGAATATATAAATAACTCTTGCAACTCAGTAATAAAAAGATAAATAGCCCAGTTAAAAAATGATGAAGGATCTGAATAGACATTTCTCCAAAGAAGATATACTGGCCATATAATGGATCTAATGGCCAATATATAAGCCTATGAGAAGAAGTTCAACATCATAGCTATCAGGAAAACGCAAATTGAAACCAACGTAAGATATCACTTCACACCCCATTAAGGTAGCTGTAATAACTTTTTAAAATGGATAATAAGTTTTGGAGAGGATGTGGAGAGATTAGAACTCTCACACACCGGGTGAAATTGTTAAGTAGTGCAGCCATTTTGGAAAACAGTCTTGCAGTTCCTCAAAAGGTTAAACATAGAATTACCATCAGACTCAGATCAGGAGTTCGAGACCACTCCTGGATATATAACCAAGAGAAATGAAACCTATTTCTACACAAAACTTATACAAGATCATTCATAGCAGTATTATCATAACAGCCAAAAAGTAAAAACAACCCAACTGTCCATCAACTGATGAATGGATAAATAAAATGTAGTCTCAACATAATATGGGATATTATTTAGCAATAGAAAGAAATGAAGCACTAATACATGCTGCAACGTACCTTTAAAACACACTAAGTGAAAGAAGCCAGTCAGAAAAGACCACACATTGTGCAATTCCGTTTTTTGTTTGTTGAGACAGAGTTTCACTCTTGACACCCAGGCTGGAGTGCCGTGGCACAATCTCTGCTCACTGCAAACTCTGCCTCCCAGGCTCAAGCAAGTCTCCTGCCTCAGTCTCCTGAGTAGCAGGGATTACAGGCACGTGCCACCACACCCGGCTAATTTTGTATTTTTACTAGAGACAGGGCTGTACCATATTGGCTAGGCTGGCCTTGAACTCTTGACCTCAAGTGATCCACCCACCTCACCCTCCCAAATTGCTGGAATTATAGGCATGAGCCACTGTGCCCAGCCTGCAATTCTGTTTCTATTAGGGGTGTCCAATCTTTTGGCTTCCCTGGACCACATTGGAAGAAGAATTATCTTGGGCCACTTATAAAATGGACTAACACTAACAATAGCTGATGAGCTAAGAAAAAAAAAAATCTCCTAGTGTTTTAAGAAAGTTTATGAATTTGTGTTGGGCCACATTCAAAGCCATCCTGGGCTGCCTGTGGCCTGCAGGCCGCAGGATGGAAAAGCTTGATTTATATGAAACATCCAAAACAGGCAAATCTAGAGAGACAGAGAATAGATAAGTGGTTTCTGATGGGGAGGAGGAGGGTGGAGAGAGGAATGAGAAATAACTTCTAATGGGCATGGAGTTTTCTTTAGGGGAAATAAAGATGTTTTAAAATTGATTGTGATGATAGTTGAACAATGTGAATATACTGAAATCCAGTGAATTCTACACTTTAAATGGAACACACAACAAAAAATGCTAAAACAAATAGTTGTCCATATTTTTTAAAGGGAATCTTAGCTCCTACCCCACACTATATGCAAAAACTAACTTCAAATGGTTCATAGACCTAATAAAACTATAAAACACTCAGAAGAAAGCATAGAAGAAAACCTGTCTCGTAAGAGAACTGAAACAGGGCTGGGCATGGTGGCTCATGCCTGTAATCCCAGCGCTTTGGGAGGCCAAGGAGGGCAGATCACCAGGTCAGGAGATCGAGACCAGCCTGACCAACATGGATAAACCCCGTCACTATTAATAATACAAAATTAGCCGGGCGTGGTGGTGCATGCCTGTAATCCTAGCTACTCTGGAGGCTGAGGCAAGAGAATTGCTTGAACCTGGGAGGTGGAGGTTGCAGTGAGCTGAGGTCACGCGATCGCACTCCAGCCTGGGCAACAAGAGCAAAAGTTTGCCAAAAATAAAAAAAGGAAAAGAAAGAAAGGAAGGAAGGAAGGAAGGAAGGAAGGAAGGAAAAGGAAGGAAGGAAGGAAGAAAGAGGGAGGGAGGGAGGGAAGGAAGGAAGGAAAAAAGAAAGAAAGAAAAAGAGAAAGAAAGAAAGAAAGAAAGAAAGAAAGAAAGAAAGAAAGAAAGAAAGAAAGAAAGAAAGAAAGAAAAAAAGAAAGGAAGGAAGGAAGAAAAAAAAAAGCCGAAACACTTTTCCACATTTATTGTTTTTGCATTTGCTAACAGGAACATTTACCATGAGTTCAGGGCCAATGTATAGTCAGCAATCTGTGACTCTGAAGCATGACAATTGGTGTCTCTTTCTGTGTGCACACATGGACTTAGTCTCTACTTTACTTGTTTGGATTGGGTTAAGCTGTACACTGATTCAATCCCTTCTCCATAAACTGTGTATACATTCCAAACACAGACCATCTATCACCGTGGGGGTGAAATCTGACCAGAACATCATAAAGTTGTTTGCAGCACTTACTGAGTTTGATCTGGCTAATGACCCAAGGGGCCAGACTAGTTAGATGCTCAGCCAATACTCAACACACTTCTGTTATTTGCCTACCATTGTAACAACTTTTGCTACCTGTAGTACTGTTGTTTACTTAAACATTTTTCTTTAAATCAATTCCCCTTTTTTTACTTAAGCACGTTTATGAACATAAAGCAAAAGTCAGTATCTCTTGCCATAAGTAGAAGGTGGCTCTTAAAAGTAAGCCCAGTGAAAACAGAATGTTACCCATTCTAACTAGATACTGTTGCCTGAGCCTGAGGCCTCATTGTTAAACCCGGAGATTAGAAGGGTTGGAGAGGTGTTAAGGAGCTGTTGGTACCAAGCTGAGACTTTCTCCTTGACTAAATCAGAATAATTACATGAGAATAGAAAAGGGTAGACATTCTAGAGGCCCTTTATATCTTCTACAACTACCTATTGGAACCTAATGTGATGTTCACCTATGTGGCTTTGGGGTGCTAGACTATATAAGGCAGACGAAGCCTTGGTTCTTCCCATATGCTTGAGTCATGGCAAACATTTAATACTTTGATGTTGCTCTTGTAGTTGCTATTATAATAACTGTTATTACTTTATTATTTCAGAGCAGGGAATAGACCTTCTGGGGAAAGTTGGGAGTGGGGTTACTCTATGAACATCCTCTTACAGCCATGATGGCTTGGGCAGGCACATAGAGTTTAATTCCTATCAGAGAATGGAGTTGGAGGTGGGGTGCAGTGGCTCACACCTGTAGTCCAAGCACTTTGGGAAGCCAATGCGGGTGGATCGCTTGATCCCAGGAGTTCGAGACAAGCCTGGGCAACATGGCAAAACCTTATCTCTACTGAAAATACAAAAATTAGCTGGGCATGGTGGCATGCGCCTGTAGTCCCAGCTACTCAAGTGGCTAAGGTGGGAGGATCACCTGAGCCCGGGAGGTGGAGGTTGCAGTGAGTCAAGATCGTGCCACTGCACCCCAGCCTGGGCAACAGAGCGAGAGCCTGTCGAGAGAGAGGAGAGAGAAAGAGAGAGAGAGAGAGAGAGAGAACAGAGTTGGAGAAGAAAGCACTTCATGCTTTGGCCAAGACTCCTTCTGGGGAAGGAAGGTGAGAAATGTTACTGTGTCAGATAATTGGATCAGGAGTGAATATGCTTGGGCAGGTTTAACATCTCTGTTTAGACGTGAAGGTCTGACCTTATACATCTGGATATTCTGTGGGGTGTCAGGCACTGTGCTGGGCTTTGTCAGGGATACAGAGCTGCTGCCCTCAAGGGGCTTGCGATCTCCCGGGAGAAGCCACAGGCACAAGAAACTAGAACACAGGATAAAACAAGGGTCAATTTATTTTACTATTAAGCTTCTTATGGGTGCAAATGGCAGGCATCCAATTTGGATATGCATAAATAAGAAAGAAAATGTATTGTTTCCATATCTGATGAGGCCAGGAATGAATGGCTTCAGGCATGGCTGGATCCAGGTGTTCAAATGGCAAAGTCAGAAATTTCTCTCCATCTCGTGCCTCTTCTTTCCTCTGTATTGGCTTTATTCTCAGGAAGACTTCCCGTTTGGGCTGCCAAATACCACCAGCTTAGTAGGCTTAGTTAAAAGTGAGGTCTCTCCTTCAGTTATTCCAATATAAACGAATAGAATTGAGTCCTAATGTTCCACTTTGAGTCACATGCACATCTCCCAGAGCTAAGAGGAGAGATCAGCCTGGCAACTCACACCAACTGAGATGAAAGGGACAGCGGGATATCTTCACCTGAAACCTCAGTGCAAGGGGGAGAGTATGCTGGGCACAGAGGAACCACACTGCCCAGCATGGTGCCCCCAGAAGGGAAAGGCTCTCAGAGGGGGTGAGGGTCCAGCCTGAAGTCAGGAGAGCTTCATGGAGGAAGTGGCCTTTGGTCTGGACCTTAAAGATCAAATACAACTGGAGCTCCAGGAATAGAGCTGGGATGCTCCTGCCGCAGGTTCCTGCTCTGTGTCCAGAGAGAAGGGAGGGGGAAGCAGGAATGTCCTTAGAAACCCTCATGTGCCATAACAAGTACCTGGTGGTCTTCACAAGAACCTGCCCTCTCATGCATATGGGAAACAGAGTCTCAGAAAACTCTGGCATTCCTCATCCATGACCCATACTCTCCAACCTCATGCTCCGGACACAACCTCACCCCATTCTAATTTGTATCCATGGAACACCCTTTTTTCCTTTTCTTTTTTTTTTTTTTTTTTTTTTTTTTTTTGAGACGGAGTCTCACTCTGTCGTCCAGGCTGGAGTGCAGTGGGGCGATCTCAGCTCAGTGCAATCTCGGCTCACTGCAACCTCCACCTCCCAGGCTAAAGCAGTTCTCCTGCCTCAGCCTCCCAGGTAGCTGGGATTACAAGGGCCCGCCACCAGCTAATTTTTGTATTTTTAGTAGAGACAGGGTTTCACTATGTTGGCCAGGCTAGTCTCAAACTCCTGACCTCAGGTGATCCTCCTGCCTCAGCCTCCCAAAGTGCTGGGATTACAGGCATGAGCCACCGCACCTGGCTGGAATGCCCTTTTCAAATCCCAGCTTTGATGGCATCACACCCTCATGCCTCCAAAGGTTCCAGTTCTCTTGGGATTGAAACCCTAATCTTTAACACAGTCCACAAGCCCTTGCGTGGCCTGGCCCTGCTCACCCTTGCAGGCTCCCTCCCCACCCCTGCAGGCTCCCTCCCCACCCCTGCAGGCTCCCTCCCCACTTCAGCCTTCCCCCTTCCCCTCCCCTCTCCTATCCTTTAACCTCAGCTCCTCCATCACTTCTCCAAGGACTCTCAGACCTGGCCAGGCCTCCGTTTTCTAATAAAAATCGCTGACACTTAGGTGCCAGGCATGAATCTACCCTCTCCATATTTTCATGCAGCCAGCCTCCACGACAGCTTTATCAGGTGGAAGCTGTAATTATCCCCATTTTATGGATGAGGAAACTGAAGGACTGAGAAGGAGATTTGCTCAAAGTCACAAGCTAGGAAGCAGCAGGGCTGAGAGTCAAAGCCAGAAATTTCCCAGGAGTTCGAGGCTGCAGTGAGCCATGATCATGCCACTGCACTCCAGCCTGGGTGATAGAGTGAGACCCTGTCTCAAACAAACAAACAAAAAGCCAGAAAATTTGGTTACAGAATCCTTATTCTAAACCACCAGCCTTTAATGCCTCTAGCATCTCAGGGCATGGGGTCCCAATCTTTCCTGTCATGTTTCATAGCTCTGCTTTTTTGATGGATTCTTCGCTTAACATCTGTCTTACCCACCGACAGCTAGTGACAATGGAAACTGGCATACTGAGGACCTGGCCTGTGCTAGGCTCAGTCCATAGCACTTTTTGTGCATCGCCGAATTTCCTCCTCTCAGCAATCCTGTAAGTTAGATGTAATTGTTACAGTAAGTCTTCACTTAACATTGTTGATATGTTCTTGGAAACTGCAACTCTAGGCTAAACGATGTCTAATGAAATCAATTTCACCATAGGCTAATTGATATCAACAAGAGTTAAGCTCCTATGGCCTATTTCTGGTCACAAAAAAAGTCACCAAATTTCTAAGTAAAGACCAAAATGCTTCTAATATTAAACATTGAAATAAATATGAGCTATACATACATTTAAGAAAGATTAAGACCAGGTGCGGTGGTTCATGCCTGTAATGCCAGCACTTTGGGATGCTGAGGTGGGTGGATCACTTGAGCTCAGGAGTTTGAGACCAGCCTGGGCAACACGGTGAAACCCCGTCTCCACTAAAAATACAAAAATTCACTGATATGGTGGTGTGCATGCCTATAATCCCAGCTACTTAGGAGGCTGAGGTGGGAGGATCTCTTGAGCCTGGGAGGTAGAGATTGCAGTGAGCCATGACTGCGCCACTGCGCTCTAGGCTGGGTAAGAGAGTGAGACCCTATCTGAAAAAAGAAAAAGAAAAAGAAAGATTAATAAAAACAAGTAAGATCATTATTTACCCACTTATTCAGTTCAAGGTCACAGTGGCCAGAGCCTATCTCTGCAGCTGAGGCCACAGGCGGGAACCCACCCTACACAGGACACATTCCATTGCAGAGCACTCACACACAGTCACACTCACTCACCTGGGACCATGCAGACACATCATGGGGAGGACATGTAAACTCCATATAGACAGTGGCCCTGGCTGGGAATCTACTTTCTTTTCTCATCAATGTTACAATGAAACATTGAACAAAACGACGTCGTTTGAGGACTTGCTATACCACATTTTATGCACAGAGAACCTGAGTTGAGAGTTTAAGTCACTTGTTCACTAGGTTATGAATTCCCAAAGGGCAAAAAACCTTGTCCATTTTGCTCATTGAGTCCAGAAGGACCATTTGAGTGCCTGGCATATAGTAGGCATTCAATAAATGCATTTTGGTTGATTAGATGGATGGATGGATTGATGACAGATAGCCAAAGGAAGGAAGAAAAGAAGGAAAAAAGGGAGGGAGGGAGGGGGGAGGGTAAAGAGGGAGGAAGAACGGGGACGTACCGCCGCCCAGTTCCTGGACGTGACTGGGACATCCTCGCAGGCAAGGCTGGTGTCCCAGCTGATGTGCGTCCCCATGCCTCTCTGCAGGTGCCACTATGCACGTGAAGAAGTACCTGCTGAAGGGCCTGCATCGGCTGCAGAAGGGCCCCGGCTACACGTACAAGGAGCTGCTGGTGTGGTACTGCGACAACACCAACACCCACGGCCCCAAGCGCATCATCTGTGAGGGGCCCAAGAAGAAAGCCATGTGGTTCCTGCTCACCCTGCTCTTCGCCGCCCTCGTCTGCTGGCAGTGGGGCATCTTCATCAGGACCTACTTGAGCTGGGAGGTCAGCGTCTCCCTCTCCGTAGGCTTCAAGACCATGGACTTCCCTGCCGTCACCATCTGCAATGCTAGCCCCTTCAAGTAGGTGGCCCCGGAGTGCACAGCTGGCCTCAGCAGACAGGCGGTTCTCTTTCTCTCTTTTCTTCCCTTCTACCTTTCCTTTCCTTCCTTTCCTTCCTTCTCCTTTCTCTCCTTCTCTTTATTTCTCCCCTTTCTTCCTTCCTTTCTCCCTTTATTACTTTTCCTTCCTTCTTCTTCCCTTTCTTTTTTCTTTTCTTTCTTTCCTTCCTTCTTTCTCTTTCTCCTCCTCTCTGTCTTTCCATTTGCCTTCATCCTTTTGCAGCAACTAAGATTCAAACTTCATAAACTTTTGGCCAGGTGCAGTGGCCTGTAATAACAGCACTTTGAGAGGCAAAGACAGAAGGATCCCTTGAGGCCAGGAGTTGGAGAACAGCCTGGGCAACATAGCAAGATCCCACTTCTAAAAAAAGTAAATAATTTTTTTTAATTAGCCAGACGTGGTGGCACATGTCTGTGGTCTGAGCTGCATAGGAAGCAGAGGTGGGAGAACTGCTTGAGCCCAGGAGCTCGAGGCTGCAGTGGGCTGAGATGGCGCCACTTGAGTTTCAAGTCAAGGCTAAGAAAAAATAATTAATTAAAAATAAAAACAAGAAGATGCCACTGCATTCCAGCCTGGGTAACAGATGCTATCTCTTAAAAATAAAAAAATCATAAGTTTCCTAGGCTTAGAGAGAACCTTGGGCACCCTCTGTCTTCAGGCAGGCCAGTGCCTATTTATCGATTCCACGCGTGTTTACGGAGCACCTACTATGTGCCAGGCACTGTCCTAGGCAACACAAATACAACAGTTAACAAAACAGAGTCCCTGTCCTCTTCACAGCCTGCCAGAGCAAACATGCCCCACAAAGTTGTCCCCACAAATATCGAATTCATCATCATTATGATGATAAAAAATAAAACAACTCAGCCGGGCACCATGGCTCATACCTGTAATCCCAGCATTTTGAGAGGCTGAGGTGGGCAGATTACTCGAGGTCAGGAGTTTGAGACCAGTCTGGCCAACATGGTGAAACCTCAACTCTACTAAAAATACAGGCAATGCCTGTAATCTCAGCTACTTAGGAGGCTGAGGCACGAGAATTGCTTGACCCCGAGAGGCAGAGGTTATAGTGAGCTGAGATTGCATCACTGCACTCCAGCCTGGGCAACAGAACAAGATCCTGTCTCAAAAATTAAAAAATAAATAAATAAAACCACTCTTCAACAAATGCTTATGATATGCTAGGCACTGTGTTCAGTGTTCTTTGGATAATTGGTGTCATTCTAATCCACACAACCACCCTAGGATTGGGAACTCCTGTCGCAGCCCCAGTTTACAGGTGAGGAGATGGAGGTTCAGAGAAGTAAGTGAGCTTGCCTGGAGATGCACAGTGGAAGACTGTGGGATTTGAATCTAGGCCTGATGTGATCCCAGAACTGCTACTTTTTAACCATTCTTCCGGATTGCCCGTTCTCCATTCTCCGCTTGATAGCAAGACCTGTGAAGGGGACACAAGAGGAGACCCAACCTAGTCAGGGTTATGGAGAGACAGGGAGTCAGTCCAAAAACAAAAAATAAAAAAAAGTGCCCTAAGGAATGAGTAGAAGTTGGCCAGATATGGTGAAGAGAGTGCCCCCAGTCTTGGATACAGCAGGTGCAGCTGGTGAGATGCTTGGTGCATTCAAGGAACTGAAAGAAGGGCTGAGTCACAGAAAACATTTTTATCCAAAAGAGAGTCCTGACCGGGCACAGTGGCTCACGCCTGTAATCTCAGCATTTTGAGAGGCCAAAGCGAGTGGATTACTTGAGGTCAGGAGTTCGAGACCAGCCTGCCCAACATGGTGAAACCCCATCTCTACTAAAAATACAAAAATTAGCCGGGTGTGCTGGCACATGCCTGTAAACCCAGCTACTCAGGAGGCTGAGGCAGGAAAATCACTTGAACTCAGGAGGTGGAGGTTGCAGTGAGCCGAGATCTCGCCACTGCACTCCAGCCTGGGTGACAGAGCAAGACCTTGTCTCAATTAAAAAAAAGAAAAGAAAGAAAGCAAAAGAAAGTCCTGACTGGGCACGGGCACAGTGGCTCAGGCTTGAAATCAGAGCATGTTGGGAGGCCGAGGCTTAAGGATCACTTGAAGCCAGGAGTTCAAGGTCAGCATGGCCAACATGGTGAGACAGCATCTCTGTTTTTAAAAGTCCTAGAAGGGAATTCTCACATAGTGATTACTTTCCCAATTATCAGAAAGTCCCTTCTTTCTATTAATAGGGTTCTTCCTGCCTTGGTGGGTTCTTAGAGCTGCTCAAGAGAATCTTTAATAATAATAGGAACGACAGCACTCCTTCTGGGCACTGATCCATGCATTTTATAAGCAGCACCTCATTGAATCTTCCCAACGATTCTCTGGGTTACTTATTTTTATCCCCCTGTTTTGTAGATGAGAGAACAGAGCCTCAGGGAGGTTAAGTTGCCCAAGATATTAAGTGGCATGCCAGGATTCAAACCTGGAGCCCATACAGTGACCCATCAAGCTTCCCAGAAGCTGTGAACATCTAGGCTGTAATAACACCACCACCTGCACAGACGCCACCCTTCCCCATCCTCCTGTTCCTGTGTACACAGATTTAATGGTCAGGGAACTGGCATCGAAGGCCAACGTTAGCTCTGGCTGCTGTACACCTTTGTACCAGGACCTTGGCCTCTGTCCAGCATTTAATGCTCCTGCAGGAAGTTCTCCAGCCAGAGTTGGCATTTGTGGCCTCAATTACCCCACTTTGAGGCAGGGTCTTGGGTAAATTGGACATGAAGTGACTGGGGTGCAGGGCCCGGCCCCGCAGAGATACTTCTTGATAGATCCATCTCTCACTGGCCACCATGTCCAACATGGGAGCGCCACAGGGCTGAGGGAAGACATTGGAGCCAGCCTCACAGTCCCATTCATTTTCTCTCTCTTGAAACTGGCTCCTGTTCCCAAAGTTGCTCCCCCCTGGGAGGGAGATCTCAGAACCCCCATAAACATACCCACTGGAGCCCACCAAACCCAGATTCTAAACTCACCTCTGCCCTTTATCAGTGGAGTGAGCTTGCAAAATCACACCAACTCCTGGAGCCTCAGTTTCCTGAGCTATATATGGGGACGGTAACAGACTTGTGGCAAACAAGACCTGGAAAGCACCTAGCACCTGGCACATGGTAAGCTATCAATAACCATGAGCCATTACAATTCTTCCTCACTCGAATGTGAATTTCATAAGGAAAGAGACCAGGTCCCTCTTGTTTGCTACTGTATCGTCTGTGCCTTGCACAGTGCCTGGCACATAGTAGGTGCTCATTAAAAGTTGGTGAATGAATGAGTGCATGGGTGGTGGAAAGATGGATGCATGGGTGGGTGGACGGAGAGGTGGGTGCTTAGGTGGGGTGTTCTTCTTATACATAGTGGCAGCCATGCTGGAGTAGCAGTGTGATATGGTTGGCTCAGTGTCACCACCCAAATATCATATTGAATTGTAACCCCCATGTGTCGAGGGAGGGACCTGGTGTGGGTGATTAGATCATACGGGCGGCTTTCCGCATGCTGTGTTCGTGATAGTGAGTGAGTTCTCACAAGATCTGATGGTTTTAAAGTGGCAGTCTCCCCTGTGCACTCTCTTTCTCTCTCTCTCCTGCTGCCATGTAAGACATGCCTTGCTTCCCCCTTCACCTTCCGCCATGATTGTAAGTTTCCTGAGACCTCTCTCCAGCCATGTAGAACTGTGAGTCAATTATACCTCTTCTGTTTATAAATTACCCAGTCTCAGGTAGTATCTTTATAGCAGTGTGAAAACAGACTACTATGGAGTGGGTCCCAGATTTCATTTGCTCTGCTTTACAGATATGCATTCCTTCCCCCTAACCAGCCCTCTCCCCATCCAGGTATTCCAAAATCAAGCATTTGCTGAAGGACCTGGATGAGCTGATGGAAGCTGTCCTGGAGAGAATCCTGGCTCCTGAGCTAAGCCATGCCAATGCCACCAGGAACCTGAACTTCTCCATCTGGAACCACACACCCCTGGTCCTTATTGATGAACGGAACCCCCACCACCCCATGGTCCTTGATCTCTTTGGAGACAACCACAATGGCTTAACAAGCAGCTCAGCATCAGAAAAGATCTGTAATGCCCACGGGTGCAAAATGGCCATGAGACTAGTAAGTGGTCCCTGGGCACATATCAAGCAATGGGCCCCACCCAGTGAGGCTGATGGGTGTTTCTTTTCTGTAGTAATTTGAGTCTCGCTGGGGGAAAGACAAGATGGAAGCCAGAGCCTGTTTTGCTTGTTTGCAGAGATTTTTTAAAAATAGAAATTTTTGGCATGTTAGTCAAGACTCCTTTGGTATAAGTGATCCAGCTCACACTAGCTTAAGCAAAACAGGCGATTCATTGGCTCACATGACTAAGAAATCCAGAGGTATACTGCATTCAGGCAAGGCTGGATCCAGGTATTCTAATGAGGTCATCAGGAATCTTTCTCCGTCTTGGTTCAACTTTTCTCTCAGGCGACTTCACTCTCAGGCAAGATCTCTCCATGTGGAGGGATCCCCTCAGTGCCCTTGCTTAGCAGTGGTCCCAGAAAAAGAGCTCTTTCCCTATAGTCCCAGCAAAGGTCCTAAGAAGACTCATTAGATCACATGCTCACCCCTAAACCAATCACTGTGGGCTACAGCAGGGGCTCTCATGATTGGCCAGTCCTGGGCCATGTGCCCTGGAGTTGGGAGTGATGTCAGCCTCTGTGAGACCACATGGACTGAGCAAGGGGGAAGGTGGTTCCCTGAGGGAGGAACTAAGTCTTGTTATCAAAAGATAGGGGCATAAATATTGGGCAGGTGAAAAGCCACAGCTGTGCAGTACAGTCACATGCCAAGAAACAACTGCCCTGCACTGGGAGGCTGGTATGCCATTAGTTCTTAAGCCTAGAAGTGGGGAGAAGGTCCCCTGCCCGTGTCTCAGGATCTCCTGGGAGCTCTGTCACAATACACATCCCTAGGCCCCACTCCTGGAGAATCTGAGTGAGCAGTTCTGGGCCCAGGCCCAGGAATCTGTATTGACAACAGGCTCCCTGGTGATTCTGATAATCAATCTTGGATGGGGATCCAGGAGGGGACCATACACTCCCCAGATGGGGAGCCACTGCCTTGCTGCTCACACTCATGGCGTTATGACTTCCACAACTGCTTTATCCCCACCTCTCCACACAAACTAGCCGACGTCATATGGGGGATCTGCTGTGGTCACACCTTCCTTAACCTCCTGGGCCTCAATTTCCTCATGATGATGGGGATAACAATGATACTTACCTCCTAGCTTTGCTGTGAAGCTTCAATGGGATTATAGATGTAAGACACTGGGAACAAAGCCCGGAACAGGGTAAGGATTAAGGGCTGCCATTACTTCCCCAAGGGGAGGCAGGGAGGCCCCCAGGAGTGGGCTGGCCGGGCGTGTTGGGAAGGGTGGTGTAAGAATGCCAGGGGAAGCTTCTCTATCCGGCTTCCCGGGTTCCAGCAGGGAGAACCAGCAGCAGCCTCGTGGCCAAGGCCAGAGTCCCAGGGCCAAGTCTGTCACGTGTCTGTGCGATGACTTGGATGTCATGAGAAGCCGGATGTGACCAGATGGAAGGGTGCTCTGCACCCTGTGGTGGGCTCAGTGTGACTGGGTCTGTGTCTTTCCCAGGACAGATAAGAGGCAGCATTTCCTGTGTGTTGAGTTTCTTCTTGGTCTTCATGGCCTCCAGGGGAGCTGCATCTGGAAGTCTCTGGCAGAGGCTGGAAAAGGAATCAGAACTGTGTGTGTGCGTGCGTGTGTGTGTGAGCATAAGTGTTGCGGCCACTTGTGTGAATCTATGTATATGGGGTTCGGGGCTAGGATGGATGTGTGTTACAATGACATGAGGCTGTGGAGGTCAGAGAGAGGGCATCTTCTGTGCATGCCTCTGCACACATGACCGTGTGTGTGTTTTTGCCCATGCATAATGGTACAAGTAGGGGTGAGGCTGGTGGCTGTAAACTGAGCCACTGAGTCACCCTCCCTTGAACGAGGGGACCAGCCTCTGTGCATGCCCATGAGTTGGTCACTGGCTGTGGGTCACTTCCAAGAGGTTGCTGAGGGGTCTCCTAACCTCCCAGGCCTCACCCTCAGCAGCTGGGGGTGGGTGCACCAGCCTGATGAGGGGATCTTGTGGTCAGCACACAGCTGTGTATGAGGCAGTAGCCCTTGAGCATGTGTGAGCATGAGTGTGAACGTTTCCCACCACCAAGTTGCAGCCAGAAAGGTGGCTGGCAAAGCACAGCTCTTGCCCTGCTAGGGCCCTCGAGCAGTGGCTGGGGTCCTGCTAGCAGCTCCCACGCCACCCACAAAAACCCCTCTTGGCCTCCACAGTGTAGCCTCAACAGGACCCAGTGTACCTTCCGGAACTTCACCAGTGCTACCCAGGCATTGACAGAGTGGTACATCCTGCAGGCCACCAACATCTTTGCACAGGTGCCACAGCAGGAGCTAGTAGAGATGAGCTACCCCGGCGAGCAGATGATCCTGGCCTGCCTATTCGGAGCTGAGCCCTGCAACTACCGGTGAGAGCCACCCCAAGCCCACCCGGCCAGGCCCTGGCACCGAGAGACAGTGGCATGTTACGGTTGGGAGCACAGCCTGCCAGGGTTCCAATCCTGCCCAGCCACTTACCGGCTATCTGCAGCACAGTTTTCTGTGCCTCGGTGTCTTTTAGGTCCTGTTTCCTGGAGGCAGAGCCTGAGGCAGGGATGTATTGAAGAGCTCGCGAAGCATTGAGAGAACTGTGTTAGGAAAAGTCTGCAGGGAAAGTGGGATAAGGAAGGAGGATTTGGAACATGTAGGAAAAGGAGAAAATAGAAAAAGAAAAAGGAAAGGCTGGGCGTGGTGGGTGGGTGGCTTACCCCTGTAGTCCCAGCACTTTGTGAGGTGGAGACGGGAGGATCGCTTGAGACCAGGAGTTCAAGACCAGCCTGGGTAATATAGTGAGACTCCAGCTCTAGAAAATAGTAAAATAAATTAAATTTTAAAAGGAAGGAGGAAAAAGTTAAACAAGGATGTGGTCTTAGGTAAAGTCTAGGCTCAGCTTGATCTGTGGGAGGATCTGGAGCATAAACTGAACCAGAGTGGTCCTCCCTTGAAGGAGGGGACCAGCCTTTCTGCGTGCCCCGTGAGCTGGTCACTGGCTGTGGGTCATTCCCAACAGGTTGATGAGGTGTCTCCTAACCTCCCAGACCTCACTTCTAGCAGCTGGGGGTGGGTGCACCAGCCCGATGAGGGGATCAGGGTGGGCACCCAGGCATCTGTTGCCTCGGTTTTCTCATCTCTGAAGCAAGAACAATAATCGTAGCTTCTTCATAGGGTCATTGAGAAGAGTAAATGAGTAAGTTCATGGCAGCACCTAGAACAAGGCTATGAGGCTGGGCGTGGTGGCTCATGCCTGGAATCCCAGCACTTTGGGAGGCTAAGGCAGGAGGATCGCTTGAGGCCAGGAGTTCAAGACCAGCCTGAGCAACATAGCGAGACCTCATCTCTACAAAAAATCAAAAACCAGCCAGATATAGTCATGCTCACCTGTAATCCCAACTACTCAGGAGGCTGAGGAGGGAGGATCACTTGAGTCCAGGAGGTCGAAGCTACAGTGAGCCATGATCACGTCACTGCACTCCAGTCTGGGTGACAGAATGAGACCCTGTCTCTTAAAAAAAAAAAACAAAAAACAAAAAAACACGAGGTTATAAAAGTGTTTCCTGTAAATATTCTTTTTCCCTAACAACCTTTAATATGAGAGACTGGCAGAATGAGGGTAATGGTAACCCTGGAGGTCTAGGTCTTCTTGCAATTGACCCACAGATTCCCACCTCCTTGGCCTCCCAGCTCCTGGCAAACCAACCCTGGGCCTAAGCATCAGGTGTTGTCCCAGTCTCTAGGACAACCAGAAACGGGGGGAATCTCCATTCTATCCCCTCCTAACAGCCTCCAGAGAGCTCAGCTGGCAGAAGCACGTGGGAAGGAGGCCTGAGGATGGGCAGGAACACTGCTGAGGCCTCAGAGCCCCTTGTCGGCCTCCTGACCCAGCCTCCAGGTGTGGGGTATGCCACACCCACCTCGGCCCCACCCCAGGTTTCAGCCAGTCCTGTTTCTGAGATTCGATGGTATCCTCCTTGATCTGGGGCCTCCAATGCTCACACTTCAGGCCTCTGTGGAAAGGAGCTTTTAGCTGAATCTTAATGCTATGGGCACGTGACAGGCTTCCAAGCTCACCTCCGAGGGACTGGGGTTGCAGGCAGCTCTCTGAACTCAGAACCTTCCAGAACCTCTAATGAGAATTCTTCAGAAAGCTCTGGGGCCTCTGTCCCCTCAAAATGCACAGGTGCAACCGGACATGTGGCTCACGCCTGTAAGCCCAACACTTTGGGAGGCCAAGGCGGGTGGATCACCTGAGGTCAGGAGTTCGAGACTAGCCTGGCCAACATGGCGAAACCTTGTCTCTACTAAAAATACAAAAATTAACCGGGAGTGGTGGTGCACATCTATAATCCCAGCTACTTGGGAGGCTGAGGAAGGAGAATCGCTTGAACCCCAGGGGCGGAGGTTGTAGTGAGCAGAGATCGCGCCACTACACTTCAGCCTGGGCAGCAGAGTGAGACTCTGTATTAAAAAGGAAAAAACAAATGCACAGGCACACATGGGCAGGGTTCTTGCACACAATGTCAAATAATTCAAGGCCACTAAGCAGGACAGAGCAGCACATATGTCCCATTGTACAGATTAGCAAAAGGTGGTTCCCATAGGTGGAAGATTTGACTGATGGCGCCCTGCTGATGGGATACCCTCTTCCTTGAGGGCCACCCCATGGCTAGCTGGTCACAGTCTGTGTTTCAGCCTCACTGTCTTGGCCAGGGTCCTTTGCTCAGGGCACACCCGCCAACCACACCTGCCATAAGGCTAGGGATACCAAACAGACTACTGTAATGTCCACAAGCACATTCATCTCACCCGCTCAGCTGAAAGAGAGCTGTAACACTGCAACTTCAAGTGCATGGCCCATCTGCTCAGTGAGAACACGCCCAGGAGCGAGAGTGGGGCAGGAAAGTGAACCTGCTGTCAACTCCCTACCCATCCAACGGGATCCCAGTGTTCAAGGGCCTGTGTTCCACTCACAGCCCAGCCCCGAAAGCTGTGCCGGCCACCTCATGGGTAGCTGGGCTGGGCTGGGTATAGCTGGCCTGTTGTCAACATAGCACCCTCCAAAAGGAGCCCCATTTGAGTCATATGGGCTGAGGGTGAGGGACGGGTGGTCCCCCAAGGGAAGCTAAAGAACTGTTAGCAGAAACAGGGAAAATAGCTGGCTGATGGGCCACTAAAACCCCCAAATATTGGCCACATAACTTCTGCCATGTGCGAGGGGTAGGGGGTAAGTGTAATGAAAGGGTCAAGGCTTGGGGTCTGGGGTTAGACCACCTAGACTCAAATCCTGGCTCCATCTTACAAGCTGTGTGACCTTGAACAAGTTTCTTAGCCTTGCTGTGCCTCAGTTTCCCTCCTCTGTAAAATAGGGGAGAGAACAATACCTACCCTACATGGTTACTTTGAATATTAAGTGAATTAATATGCATGAGTAACTGACCCTACTACTGGGCTTAATAAATAATAGTTATAACTATTACTTTTATAATAGTTTTATAACCCACATTTTAGGCTGGGCTCAGTGGCTCATGCCTATAATCCCAGCACTTTGGGAGGCCGAAGCTGGCAGATCGCTTGAGACCAGGGGTTCGAGACCAGCCTGGACAACAAGGCAAAACCCCATCTCTACTAAATATACAAAAATTAGCCAGGTGTGGTGGCGCATGCCTGTAATCCCGGCTACTCAGGTGACCGAGGCACGAGAATCACTTGAACCCGGAAGGCAGAGGTTGCAGTGAGCCGAGGTTGTGCCACTGCACTCCCGCCTGGGCGACAGGGGGAGACTCTCTTAAAAAACAGCAACAAAAACAAAAACCCCAATTTGACAAGGAATGCAAATTCAATAATTATGCCAACATTTACTGGGCCTTTCTCGTCCCTGTAGGTGTCAGGCACTATTCTAAGCACTTTGTGTGTTAAAATTGCTTTCACTCTGGCAACAAAGTCATGAGAAAGGAGCTGTTATTTTCCCCTTATTTTATTTTTTTAAGAGACAGGGTATCACTCTGTTGCCCAGGCTGGTCTCAAACTCCTGGCCTCGAGTGATCCTCCCACCTCAGCCTCCCAAAGTGCTGGAATTACAGGCATGAGCCACCGCGCCCAGCCTTCCCCATCATTTTATAGTTGCTGTAACCTGCCCAGAGAGGTTAAGTAACATCTCTGAAGTCACACAGTTGGTGAGTGGCAGAGCTAGCAGTCTGGGCCAGGCCCACCCCGCATCACTCTATTGCCTCATCAGAAAGGGTGATCGTCATCTTCCCTCCCTACCCACCTCTCCCAAGCCTATTTCCCCAGCCCTCGGCAGGTCCCAGTGAAAGGTACCATCCAGGCACCTTAGCATAGAGATCTCAGCCAACTGCTCTCTGAGCTCTTCCTCACTCCCACAGTTGACTGGTCATCTGCCTTCCTGAGTCAGCCTTGGACACAGCTGTGGGAATGTGCCTCTCTGCTCTCCCGGTGCTGGGCCACAGACACTGTGGCCCCTGCTTCCTCCCTCTCTCTCTGACTCCATCCTGTCCCCCTCCTAACATGACAAACACTCTAGAAGCAGCAGCTGCAGAATTAGGAAAATGTGAGCCGCATGTGGACCCCAACACCAAACTGCCTGGACTTGAATGTCAGCTCAGTATGTGACTGGGCATGCTACTTAGCCTTTCTGTGCCTCAGTTTCCTCACCTGGAAAGTGGGGACAGTGAAATAACCACATAGCATTATTGGGGGATTAAATGAGAACATATGCAAAGTACCTGGTGCAATGCCTGGCACATAGTAAACATTATAGGAGCATTTTTTTAAAAAGGCTTTTGGGCCGGGCATGGTGGCTCACGCCTATAATCCCAGCACTTTGGGAAGCCGAGGCAGGCAGATCACCTGAGGTCAGGAGTTTGAGACCAGCCTGGCAAACATAGTGAAACCCCATCTCTACTAAAAATACAAAAATTAGCTGGGTGCAGTGGCTCACGCCTATAATCCCAGCTACTCGGGAGGCTGAGGTAGGAGGCTGAACCCAGGAGGCAGAGGTTGCAGTGAGCTGAGATCATGCCACTGCACTCCAGCCTGGGAGAGAGAGCGAGACTCCATCTCAAAAAAATAAATAAATAAATAAATAAATAAACAAATAAATAAATAAATAAAAAGGCTTTTGGCCAGGTGCAGTGGCTCACTTAATCCCAGCACTTTGGGAGGCCAAGGAGGGAGAATCGCTTGAGGCCAGGAGTTTAAGACCAACCTGAGCAACATAGTGAGACCCCCCATCTCTACAAAAAACAATTTTAAAATAACAAAATTAGCCCGGCGTGGTGGTACACACCTGTAGACTCAGCTACTCTGGAGGCTGAGGGGGAAGGATCACTTGAGCCTCGGAGTTTGAGGCTGCAGTGAACCAAGATCACACCACTGCATTCCAGCATTCCAGCCTGGGTGACAGAGTGAGAGTAAAATATAGAGAGAGAGACTTTGTTGTTGGTGGTGGTGGTGGTTTTTTTTTTTTTTTTTTTTTTGAGACGGAGTTTTGTTCTTGCCCCCAGGCTGGAATACAATGGCATAATCTCCACTCACTGCAACCTCTGCCTCCCGGGTTCAAGTGATTATCGTGTCTCAGCCCCCCGAGTAGCTGGGATGACAGGCATGCACCACCACACCTGGCTAATTTTTGGTTTTTGGTTTTTGGTTTTTGGTTTTGTTTTGTTTTGTTTTTTTGAGACAGAGTCTCACTCTGTCGCCCAGGCTGGAGTACAGTGGCACTATCTCGGCTCACCACAAGCTCCGCCTCCCGGGTTCATACCATTCTCCTGCCTCAGCCTCCCGAGTAGCTGGGACTACAGGCAGCCGCCACCACAACCGGCTAATTTTTTGTATTTTTAGTAGAGACAGGGTTTCACTGTGTTAGCCAGGATGGTCTTGATCTCCTGACCTCATGATCCACCCGCCTCAGCCTTCCAAAGTGCTGGGATTACAGGCATGAGCCACTGTGCCCAGCGTAAATTTTGTATTTTTAGTAGAGACAGGGTTTCACCATGTTTGCCAGGCTGGTCTCAAACTTCTGACCTCAGGTTATCTGCTGCCATAGCCTCCCAAAGTGCTGGGATTACAGGCATGAGCCACTGCGCCTGGCCTAGAGAGACTTTTTATCGAGGAATAGTTTTAGATTTACAGAAAAACCACAGCCTCCAACTCCTGGACTCAAGTGATCCTCCCTCCTCAGCCTCCAAAAGTACTAGGATTACAGATGTGAGCCACTGTGCTGGCCTTTGCTCTGTACTTTGGAAAGGAGTCACTAAATTCAGACTACGCTCAGGGGAAGGGGAAGGGAGTGGCCAGTGGGAAAGGAGCATTGAGCTCCACCCCTCCTAGAGAGAAGAATATATATTATTTGGAATTCTTCTGTAAAGGAAGATTTGTCTCATCTCCTCCATTTATTTATTTATTCCATCATTTATTGACACAGTATGGACTCCTGTAGATTTAGGTTGTAATCCAATTCCTTGTTATCTATTCTCTTGCTTAAATTCTTCTAGCTTTGGCCACTCTGTCAGTTAGCACCTGTGTGCCTTTGATATGTCCTCACCTGGGTGGGTTTTTTAACTTTTGCCTACTTTCTGGCACTACAGGATGCCCCCGCCCTAGAATCAGCCATTTCTCTAAAGAGCTCTGTTTGGTTTTTTGGTTGTTTTGTTTGTTTGTTTGTTTTTGTTTTTGTTTTTTTTGAGATGGGATCTCACTCTGTTGTCCATACTGGAGTGCAGTGACACAATCGCGTGCCCGATTAATTTTTTTATTTTGTAGAGATGGGGTCTCCCTATGTTGCCCAAGCTGGTCTCAAACTCCTGGCTCAAGCAATCTTCCCACTTCAGCCCCCTAAAGTGCTGGGATTACAGGAGAGAGCCAACAAGACTTGCCCAAGCTCTGGTTTTTTAAATTGAAGAATGGTATTTAGAAACCAAGATCTGGGCCAAGCATGGTGGCTTATGTATGTAATCCCAGCACTTTGGGAGGCCGAGGTGGAAGGATTGCCTAAGCCCAGGAGTTTGACACCGGTCTGGCCAACATGGCAAAACCCCATCTCTACTAAAAATACAAAAATTAGCCGGGTGTGTTGGCATGCACCTGTAATCCCAGCTACTAGGGAGGCTGAGGCAGGAGAGTCACTTGAACCTGGGAGGCAGAGGTTGTATAGAGCCAAGATCATGCCACTGCACTCCAGCCTGAGCAATCTCAAAAAAAAAAAAAATAAAGTTAAATAAAATTTAAAAATAAAGAAACCAAGATCTGGGCATATATAAGCATTATTATTACTATGGTTGTTGTTGTTTCAGGGATTATCCAACTAGTTTCTGCCCTGGAAAGTCTTTCCTGACCTCTGACCACACAACAGTGGTTATACTGCTTCCTGCTAGGATGCTCTATTTCCCAGTCTTTTCTGGAGGCTCACTGGTCTCTGTCTGCATGCCTGGCTCCCAGCCCAGCAGAGATTTCTGTAGGGAAACACCTGGCTCTGGAATCAGAGGCAGCCAGTCCTGGGAGCAGCCTCTCTGGGTGAAGAGTATTATCAACAAGCAAATAGTTGGCACGCACGTGGAGACCAAGAGCATGGCGCGGGCAGGAGGGGACCTGGCCACACCCCATGCAGCCTCCTGCTCCTGGGCTGCATCTGACCAAGACAGTTCCTTGGGAACACTGTGTCCCCATGCCCTGGGGCGAGGTCTCTCCTTCAAGAGCAGGGCCTGGATTGAGCTGGTTTGCTCTGCTCTGTTCTTTTCCTGTGGCCACAGCCCTGATCCCACAGTTTATAGACTCCATGGTGCCCGCCCAGAGCTATTTCTTCCCTCTGGGGCTTTGCCTGTGTTGTGTCCCTGCCTGGTGAGCCCTTTCTCCTCCCTACCCTGTAGACTTAGCCATCGCTTACTTGTTCATAAAGTCTCAGCTCAGGCCTCCCCTCCTCCAGGAAACCTTCCCTGACTCGCTCCCCACTCTCCACTGGGACTTGGGTGTCACTTCTCCATACTTATCTCTGTCGATGCTCTTATCGCCTATTGTAATTTATTCATCAAATATTTACTGAGTGTCTGTGTGCTCTGTACCAGACCCTGGGCATGGAGCTGTGAACAGTAGCAGCCAAGATTTTTTGAGTATTACAGTATGCTAGGCATCCACCCCTTGCCGCAGTCATGTAGGTAGTATTATCTGGTGTTACAAATGGGGAAAGTGAGGCACGAAGACGTGATGTAACCATCCCAAAGCTCACCAGCTGCTAAGGGACACAGCCAGAATTGAAATCAAGCAGGCTGGCTCTGTGGCCTGTGCTCTTGACCTCTGAGCTCTTCTCCTTCCAGACAGACAAGGTCATGCTCCCTCCCCGGGCTTATGTTCTAAGCAGGAGACAGCTAAGTGAGCAATTAAATCAAGAAGATAATTTCAGGCCAGGCACAGTGGTGGATGCCTATAATCCCAGCATTTAGGGAGGCTGAGGCCAGAAGATCACTTGAGGCCAGGAGTTCAAGACCAGCCTGGGCAACATAGCAAGACCCCATCTCCACAAAAAATTTTACAAATTAGCTGGGTGTGGTGGCACATGCCTGTAGTCCCAGCTACTCAGGAGGCTGAGGCAGGAGAATATCTTAAGGCCAGGAGTTTGAGGCTGCAGTAAGCTATGATCACGCCATTGCACTCCAGCCTGGGCAACAGAGTGACACCCTGTCTCTACCAAAAAAAAAAAGGAAGCTGATTTCAGATTCTGATGTATCTGATAAAGAAGATAATCAACTGGTTGAAGGGCCAGGTGCAGTGACTCACCCTGTAATCCTAGCACTTTGGGAGGCCAAGGCAGGTGGATCACCTGAGGTCAGGAGTTCAAGACCAGCCTGACTAACATGGTGAAACCCTGTCTCTACTAATAATACAAAAATTAGCCAGGCGTGGTGGCGCATACCTGTAATCCCAGCTACTCAGGAGGCTGAGGCAGGAGAATCACTTGAACGGGGAGGCAGAGGCTGTAGTGAGCTGAGATCATGCCACTACACTCCAGCCTGGGCAACAAGAGTGAAACTCCATCTCAAAATAAATAAATAAATAAATATAAATAAACTGGTGGAAAAGATCTAGAGTAACTAGGTAGAAAATTCTATTACTATTAGTAATAAAGTACTATTAACTAATAGTTCTAGTCCATCACTTTGCATAGGGGTTCAGGGAGGCCTCAGAGCAGATAAAAGCTGAAGGATGGGGAGAAGCCAGTATCTGAAGAGCTGGTTAGAGAATATTCCAGGCACAAAGGACAACAGAGGCAAAAGCCTTGAGCTTGGAAACATCTAGAGTGTCGCTGGAGTGTAGGGAATGAGACATAGAAGGCCAGCATAGGGACTTTGCACTTTATTCTGTGAGTGACAAGAAGCCTTTGGAGGGTTCTCAGAAAGGGAGTACCGTGCTCTGACTCACAAATTTAAACAATCACCCTGACTGCTGTGCAGAAGGAAGACTTTAAGGATGAACAGAGGCAGAGGCTCCAGCAAGAATCCAGACATGAGATGCTGGTGACTTGGGCCAGGGTGGGAGCGTCTGAGGTGGAGACAGGTGGACAGACTAAAGTCACATCTTGGAGCCTGGCGTGGTGGCTCACACATGTAATCTCAGCACTTTGGGAGGCTGAGGTGGGAGATCACCTGAGGTCAGGAGTTCAAGACCAGCCTGGCCAACATAGTGAAACACCATCTCTACTAAAAATACAAAAATTAGGCCAGGCATGGTGGCTCACGCCTGTAATCCTAGCACTTTGGGAGGCTGAGGTGGGTGGATTGCCTGAGGTCAGGAGTTCGAGACCAGCCTGGCCAACATGGTGAAACCCCATATCTACTGAAAATACAAAAATTAGCTGGTTGTGGTGGCAGGCACCTATAATCCCAGCTACTCGGGAGGCTGAGGCAGGAGAATCGCTTGAACACAGAGGGCAGAGGTTGCAGTGAGCTGAGATGGCACCACTTCACTCCAGCCTGGGGTGAAAGAGCAAAACTCCATCTCAAAAACAAAAAAAAAAATAGTTGGGCGTGATGGTGCCTGCCTGTAATCCCAGCTACTCAGGAGGCTGAGGCAGGAGAATTGCTTGAATCCAGGAGGCAGAGGTTACAGTGAACCAATATCACGCCATTGCACTCCAGCCTGGGCAACAGAGCAAGACTTTGTCAAGAAAGAGAGAAAGAGAGAAAAAGAGAGAAAGAGAGAAAAAGGGAGGAAGGGAGGAAAAGAAAAGAGAGAAAGAGAGAAAGGGAAGAAGGGAGGAAGGAAGGAAAAGGAAAGAAAAGAGAGAAAGAAAGAGAAAGAAAGGAAGGAAGAAAGAAAGAAAGAGAAGGAGAAAGAGAAAGAAAAGAGAGAAAGAAAAAGAAGAAAAGAAAGAAAAAGAAAGAAAGAAAAGAAAAAGAGAGAAAGAGAGAAGGAAAGAGAAAGAAGGAAAGAGAAAGAAAGAAAGAAAGAAAGAAAGAAAGAGAAAGAAAGAAAGAAAGAAAGAAAGAAAGAAAAAAGAAAGAAGTCACATCTTGGAAGGAGAGGGGGGTTGATAGGATTCCACTCTCTGTCCTCTGCCACACTGGAAGCTGCAAAAGGCAGCCCTGTCTTGTTTTGCTCAGTGTCCCTAGCCTAGCACCCACCTCAACAAACATTTATTGGGTGGAAAAATGTGGTTTCTTCCTGCTTCCCCTTGCACCGTTGAGGAAACCCAAGCTCAGAGGTTGAGTAAGCAGCTCAAATCTGTTGACAGTGGCAGAGCTTGGGTCGGCCCCCATATCCCATTTCACAGCCTGTCCTGGACCCAAGTCATTCTGCAAGTCAACTAGCTGAGACAAAAGATACAGGAAATGGCTTTCTTATCTGAAAACACGGGAAAATAACACCTGCCCTTGTGGGGTTATTTTGAGAATTAAATGAGATCACGAATACAGAAAGATTCAGCACAGGCCTGGCCCATAAAAGTCACTCAGTGAATGTTTGCTGTGGAGCATAAGGCTTCAAAGACAATACTGCATGGCAGGTGACGTTTTATGTGTGTGCATTATTTGATGTACTTACTCTCATTCCTTCCTGTTTTTATTTTTAATTTTTTACAAATTATTATTGTTTTTTTGATACAGAGTCTCACTCTGTTGCCCAGGCAGGAGTACAGTGGTGCAATCACAGCTCACTACAGCCTCAACCTCCCCAGGCTCAGGTGATCAATCCACATCAGCCTCCCAAGTAGCTGGGACTACAGACACTCACCACTACTCCTGGCTTTTTATTTTATTTTATTTTTTATTTTTTGTAGAGATAGGGTCTCAATTCGTTGGCCAGGCTGATCTCAAACTCCTGGGCTCAGTTGGGTGCAGTGGCTCACGCCTGTAATCGCAGCACTTTGGGAAGCCAAGGTGTGGGGATCACCCGAGGTCAAGAGTTCAAGAGCAGCCTGGCCAACATGATGAAACCCCATCTGCACTAAAAATACACAAATTAGCCGGGTGTGGTGGCGGGTGCCTGTAATCCCAGCTACTCAGGAGGCTGAGGCAGGAGAATCGCTGAGATTCTCCTCAGCCTGGAGTGAGATCACACCACTGTACTCCAGCCTGAGCAACATAGTGAGACTCTGTCTCAAAAACAAACAAACAAACAAAACTCCTGGGCTCAAGTGATCCTCCCACTTTGGCCTCCCAAAGTGCTGGAATTACAGGCATAAGCCACCGCTCCCAACCTCCTCTTATTTTTAATAAATAAAAAAAGAACAACATAGAAACATCAAGAGATATTTTTTAAAGCTGCTTACTTTGGAGACTTGAGAACATGCACTTCGACTGAACAGAGTTTGATGAACTCCAGCACACCAGTCATCAGAAGAGGCAAGGAGGAATTCTCCCCTGAGCCTTCTGGTGGGCCCAGGAGTTCCTCGGCTTGTGTCTGAAGGCCCCTGCCTCAGTCTTCAATGAGCTTCTCCTCTGTATCTGTCTCTCTTCTGTGTCTTCTAAGGATGCTTGTCATTTGATTTCGGGCCCACCTGGATAATCCAAGATGACCTCATCTCGAGATCCTTAGCACATCTGCAAGGACCCTTTCTCCAAATAAGGTCACACTCATAGGTTCCGGGGCTGAGGACATGGATGTGCCTCTTTTGAGGTGTATACGAGACAGATGAAAACATCTGAGAAAGTTCTTTTTCATTTTTGTTGTTGTTGTTTGTTGTTGTTTTAGAGACAGGGTCTCACTCTGTCACCCAGGCTGGAGTGCAGTGGCACAATCATAGCTCAAGCAGCCTCGAACTCCTGGGCTCAAGCGTTCCTCCCACCTCAGCCTCCCAAGTAACTGGGACTGCAGGCATGCACCACCACACCTGGCTAATTTTTGTATTTTTTGTAGAGATGAGGGTCTCACCATGTTGCCCAACCTGGTCTCAAACTCCTGGCCTCAAGCGGTCCTCCCGCCTCAGCCTTCCAAAGTGCTAGGATTACAGGCGTGAGCCACCACGCCCGGCCAGAAAGTTCTTTTTCATAACTCATGGCCAAACCAGAGAGCCTGAGCCCCAACTCCAGAGAAACTCTCTTCCCCTGCTTTCCCAAGGGAGCCTGGGAATCTCCCCTCTGGTTTGGACCAGAGGATGGACAGAATGACCTGTTGCTCGCCTCTCCCTTTCGGAGCCCCTCCAAGGAGGAAATGAAAGGTGGACGGCAGACAGTCGGGGGAGGCATTGCCTGTGGTGGAACCTGCCCTGCAGCTGATGCTGTTTCTTTTAGGAACTTCACGTCCATCTTCTACCCTCACTATGGCAACTGTTACATCTTCAACTGGGGCATGACAGAGAAGGCACTTCCTTCGGCCAACCCTGGAACTGAATTCGGTGAGTTTTGGTTTATCGTGGGGCCAGAGCCATGAGGCTTTAACCACCCCCACAATGTGGGACTGAAAGACCATCAGCTGTTGCAGGGTGGGACTGAGGGGGGACCAAGGCATCAAGAGGAGTGGCTGCTACCGAGGCTCTACTGTGTGCCAGGGGAGGCCAGGCCAGGCGCTTCCTCAGCCATTCCCGCCCACAATGTTCAGAATCCGTGGGGTAGCAACTGGTGTTCCCATTTTACTGATGAGCAAAGTGAGGACTTGGAAGCAGCACAGCTTCGTGGTCAAGAGCTCAAGCTTCAGCCAGGCGTGGTGGCTCATGCCTGTAATCCCAACACTTTGGGAGGCCGAGGCAGGAGGATTGTTCAAGCCCAAGAGTTCGAGACCAGCCTGGGCAACAAGGTGAAACCCCATCTCTTAAAAAAAAAATACAAAAATTAGCGAGGCATGATGGCACGTACCTGTAGTCCCAGCTACTCAGGAGGCTGAGGCAGGAAGATCGCTTGAGCTGGGAAGGTCAAGGCAGCAGTGAGCCATGATCACACCACTGCAGCTCCACCATTTACTTGGGTGGTGTTCCTGAGCTCCAGAGCAACCTTCTCAAAGCCTTAGTTTCCCCAATCATAGATTAGTATATAGTAGCAGAGCAGAGCATTTAGTATAGTAAATCGTATCTACCGTGTGAGCCATGATGATGAGTAAATAGTATAAGCCTTGTGAGTCATTACGATGTAATGTGGTAAATCGTTTCACCTGCCTAGGAAGTAGGGAATGCTCCATATATGCTGAGTATTCTGAGCAGTTTTTAAACAACTTGTCCAGGATCATGCAGTTAATACATGGACCAAAAGACATTGCATGTTCTTACCTGTAAGTGGGAGCTAAATGATGTGCACACGTGGATATAGAGTGTGGAAGGAGAGACATCAGAGACTTAGAGGGTGGGAGGGTAGGAGGCAGGTGAGGGACAAGAAATTAATGAGTACAGTATATATGATTCCAGTGAAGGTTACACTAAAAGCCTAGACTTCACCACTGTATAATAATTCCATGTAACAAAACTGCGCTTGAACCCCTTACATTTATACAAATTAGAAAAAGAAAAGAAATACATAACAGTCTCTTAGTCTCTCTGCCTCTCTGGTGTACAGTTTGTTTGTTTGTTTTCTTGAGACAGGGTCTCACTCTGTCACCCAAACTGGAGTGCAGTGGCACGGTCATGGCTCACTGCAGCCTCAACCTCCTGGGCTCAGGTGATCCTCCCACCTCAGCCTCCTGAGGAGCTAGGATTGCAGGTGGCTAATTTTTTGTAGAGATAAGGTTTCATCCTGTTGCCCAGGTTGGTCTTGACCTCCTGGGCTCAAGCAATCTGCCCTCCTTGGCCTCTCAAAGTACTGGGATTACAGATGTGATCCACTGCGCCCAGCTGTACAGTTCTTAAAGAAAGACAGAGACACACAGAGAGAAGCTGAAGGAGTCCATGGAAGTGAGGAAGTGGGGCATGGTGGATGACGGATCCCCCTCCCTCGGGGCTCATGTGTTGCACTGACCCCTAGAGAGGGGCTGGTGGACTCAGGCTGGCTGTGGTTTTGCGGCTTGTGAGCCGGGCACAGGTGGGAGTGGATCCCTCCTCCCATCTCTAGGTTCTGACCTCTGCAACCACCAAGAGGCAGGCTCTCATTCAGCGACCATCGGGGCCGCTGGCCAAGAGGGCAGGTGAGCTGAGTGCCTTTCACTTAGCCCCCATGCTGCTGAGAGCACTGCCACAGAGGTGCCAGTCAACTTACTCCCAGAGGCAGATGGTTATAGTCAGGGAGCCAGCTGCTGTATCAGAAGCCCAGCAAAAGCACTTCCTCACTGGAAGACCTCAGACAAGTCCCTTCACTTCTCTGTGCCTCAGTTTCTCCATCTGTAAAATGGGGACAATACTAGTACCTCCATCATGCAGCCCTTGTGAGCATCCGAGGAGCTCATGTTTATTTTATTTTATTTTTGGAGATGGAGTCTCACTCTCGCTCAGGCTGGAGTGCAGTGGCGCAATCTTGGCTCACTGCAACCTCCGCCTCCTGGGTTCAAGCGATTCTCCTGCCTCAGCTTCCCAAGTAGCTGGGACTACAGGCATGCGCCACAATGCCCAACTAATTTTTGTATTTTTTTTTCTCTATTTTGATATGGAGTTTTGCTCTGTCGTCCTGGCTGCAGTGCAGTGGCGCAATCTCGGCTCACTACAACCTCTGTCTCCCAGGTTCAAGCAATTCTCCTGCCTCAGCCTCCCGAGTAGTTGGGATTACAGGTGGCCGCCACCATGCCTGGCTAATTTTTGTATTTTTAGTAGAGACGAGGTTTCACCATGTTAGCCAGGTTGGTCTTGAACTCCTGACCTCAAGTGATCTGCCCGCTTCAGCCTCCCAAAGTGCTGAGATTACAGGTGTGAGCCACTGTGCCCGGCCAAGGAGCTCATGTTTAATGAGGCCCTTAGCACATCACCCCGCAGGTAGCAAGTGCTCAACTAGCCCTTATTGTCCTAACCAGAGGGACTCAACTCCACGTAGCTCAGGACCGTGGTGCGTGGGAGACTGGGTCCAGTCCCTTCCCTTGAGAACAGTCAAGAGGGGAAGGAAGACAGACAATAAAAGAGCAATCACACAAATGAGGCAGGTACTCAGAAGGAAAGTTCCGGGGCTAGGAAAGTGTACAACCAAGACCCTGACACCTCGTCTGAGCCATCAGAGAACGTTTCTGGAGGAAGTGATGCTGGTTGAGATCTGAGGGAAGAGCATGTGTTTCTAGGGGAAGGGAAGGGGCAGAGACAGCATTCCAGAGCTAGGGAATAGCACTCCAGATTGAGGAACAGCATTCCAGGTGAGAGAACAGAATTCCAGAGCAAGGAACAGCACTCCAGGTGAGGGAACAGCACTCCAGAGTGAGGAACAGCATTCCAGAGTGAGGGAACAGCATTTGCAAAGGCATAGCAGGAGGAAGGCGTGCAGAAGCTCGGAGGCATTGAACGGGGACAGCGAGGGCACCTGTGGTGTGAGGTGGGGTGGCATGGGTGGGCCGTGGCCATGCTATGCCTCCTTGATCTACCTCCTGATCAGAAAAGAGATCACGGGAGGCAAGAGACACCTAGGGAGGAGGCTACGTAAGAGCCTGCCTTAGAGATGATGGGGGCTTTGCAGAAGGCAAGCAGTATTTGAGGACTGAGTTTTTGCAAAGTGGAGCCAGCCTCCTTGGCGGTCCCTGGAGGTCCCCTGGCCGGAGGGAGCTTGGAGAAGTGGGTAGTGGGGTCTCCTTTCTGCCTCAGGAGAAAGTTCAGGCAGCCCTCACCCCACCCTCCCCACAGGCCTGAAGTTGATCCTGGACATAGGCCAGGAAGACTACGTCCCCTTCCTTGCGTCCACGGCCGGGGTCAGGCTGATGCTTCACGAGCAGAGGTCATACCCCTTCATCAGAGATGAGGGCATCTACGCCATGTCGGGGACAGAGACGTCCATCGGGGTACTCGTGGTATGGCCGGAGCCCAAGGGCAGTCCTAGAGGGTCTGAGGGTGGGAGCCCACCTGTCCAGGGCCAACTGCCCTTGGCCTGGGAGGAGGGGATCTGGGCCCCCCAGCCCTGGCCTTCCTTCCTTTTGGCTGGAATCCCCCCAGGGTGGCCCAAGCTTTAGGGGAAGGTGAGCCCTCTGGCGCCCCCTCTGGCGCCCCCCCTGGCACCTGCAGGGGTCCACAGCCCTCTGTCCCCAAATGCTTGATAGAAGGGAGGTGCAGAAAGGGCTTCCTGGGGTGACCAGTGTCCCCCTCAAGCAACCCCTCTAAACACAGGACAAGCTTCAGCGCATGGGGGAGCCCTACAGCCCGTGCACCGTGAATGGTTCTGAGGTCCCCGTCCAAAACTTCTACAGTGACTACAACACGACCTACTCCATCCAGGTGGGAAGGTGGTGCACGCCTCATGCCCCGGGGCCCCTGTCCGGGTTTATGGGGCCAAGGCCTCAGTACTCCGGGAGAGCTGGCCCCAGCAAGTCTGGCTCTGCTGGGCCTTTGTAGGTTGCCACGGGGCACCCCGGGCCTGTGGGACCAGTCACTTTCCTGGGCTCTCTCACCAGGGCCTAGGGTTGGCCACTTCTCATCCCCACATTGGCAGGTGTACCCCTGGGGAAGCCCAGGGGATTATGGGGATCTTACTCTGGGGTTTCCCAAGATGAAAACAAAAAATAGCAGCTAACACCATCAAGCTTCCATTGTGTGTGAAATGCTGTGCGAAGGGCTGGAACACATTCCATCGTCATTTAATCTTTCAACTGCCTCCTGCCATGAATCTACAATATAGTAATGACAGCAGCATTTATTGATAAACTAATAATAGCAGGGTTACCATGTGTTAGGCAGTCACTGTTGTAAGTAATTTACATGTATATTACATCATTTAACTTTCACAACAACCCTAAGATGTAGATACTATTATCATTCCCATTCTGGGAATGAGGAAATTGGGATTGACAGACCCCAGTTCAAATGCATCATCAATTTACCTGAGAAGTCCCTTTTTTTTTTTTTTTGAGATGGAGTCTCACTCTGTCACCCAGGCTGGAGTGCGGTGGCGTGATATTGGCTCACTGCAACCTCCGCCTCCCAGGTTCAAGCAATTCTCTGCCTCAGCCTCCCGTGTAGCTGGGACTACAGGTGCCCACCGCTACACCGGCTAATTTTTTTGTATTTTTAGTAGAGACGGGGTTTCACCAAGTTGGCCAGGCTGGTCTTGAACTCCTGACCTCGTGATCCACCGCCTCGGCCTCCCAAAGTGCTGGGATAACAGGCATGAGCCACCGCACCCGGACTTTATTATTATTTTTTTAAAAGAGATTGCTGGGCATGGTGGCTCACGCCTGTAATCCCAGCACTTTGGGAGTGCGAAGCGGGTACATCACTTGAGGTCAGAAGTTCAAGACCAGCCTGGCCAACATGGTGAAACCCCGTCTCTACTAAAAATACAAAAAAAAAAAATTAGCCAGGCGTCGTGGCACACGCCTGTAGTCCCAGCTGTGCAGGGGGCTGAGGCAAGAGAATTGCTTGAACCCGGGAGGCGGAGGTTGCAGTGAGCTGATATCACGCCACTGCACTCCAGCCTGAGTGACAGAGTGAGACTCTTGTCTCAAAAAAGTAAAATAATAAAATAAAAAAGAGAGACAGGGTCTTGCTCTGTTACCCAGGCTGAAGTGCTGTGGTGCCATCATAGTTCACTGCAGCCTCGAACTCTTGGATTCAAGCAATCCGCCTGCCTCAGCCTCCCTAGTAGCCAGGACCACAGGCATGAGCCACTGTCCCTGGCTAATTTCTTAATTTTTAAAATTTTTTGCAGAGACAGAGTCTTGCTATGTTGCCCAGGTTGGTCTTGAACTCCTGGGCTCAAGCAATCCTCCCACTCTGGCCTCCCAAAGTGCTGGGATTATAGGCATGAGCCACTGCGCCCACTGGAAGTCCCTCTTTGCATCTGCCTTCAATCCCCCTTGCTGTAGCTGGAGGCTTCCTTCTCATCCTGATCTCCAGAGTTAACCCAGACCTGCCACTAGTCCTGGCCCCCTTGGAGAGGGCAGACTGAATCCTTGCAAAGGTGACAAAAATGACCACTCGCTGATACTTCCTCTCCAGCCCAGTCTGCCTTGCCATATCAGTGCACTGAGTCATAACAAGAGGGCAGCCCAGTGCCTGCCTCAGTGTCTGGGTGCCCGAGCATGGCATGGTTTGCCCTTTCCCCGTAGGAAATGACCCTCCTGGTGCCCACCTGCCCACCCATTGCCTGGCTGGTTTGGCCACCTCGCGTCTGGAGGGACTTCTGCCCATTATGGAGAACTCTAGCCGTCATCTGAGCCTCTGGAGGGACAGACAGACAGACAGGACAGTACAGGGAGGTGGGAAACACGGAGAAGAAGGTACCAGCCCCAGAAACCTCATTCCAGGAAAACTGCATCTCTCGTTTCTTCCGGTGTGGTAGCCACCCAGGCCAGAAAACAGCCAAGAGCCAGGCCCTGATCGGGAGCTCTGCCCATCCCCATGGACACCCCAACCAGGAGCAGGCTTGAGCCCACCCCAGCCTCCATCACAGGGCCTGGAAGGACTCCCACTTTCCAGATGAGACAGAGAGGTCTACAAGAATATAAGACGCCTTGGTGGGGCGTGGTGGTGCATGCCTATAGTCCCAGCTATTCAGAGGCTGAGGCGGGAGGATCACTTGAGCCCAAGAGTTTGAGGATGCAGAGAGTTATGAGCGTGCCACTGCACCCCAGCCTGGGCAACAGAGTGAGACCCTGTCTCAGGAAAAAAAAAAAAAAAAAAAAAGAGGCCGGGCGCGATGGCTCACACCTGTAATCCCAGCACTTTGGGAGGTCAAGGTGGGTGGATCACTTGAGGTCAGGAGTTCGAGACCAGCCTGGCCAACATAGTGAAACCTGGTCTCTACTAAAAATACAAAAATCAGCCGGGGGTGGTGGTGCATGCCTGTAATCCCAGCTACTCAGGAGGCTAAGGCAGGAGAATCACTTGAACCCAGGAGGTTGAGGTTGCAGTGAGCCGAGATCATGCCACTGCACTACAGCCTGAGCAACAGAGCAAGACTCCATCTCAAAAAAAAAAAAAAAAAAAAAAAAAGAATGTAAAACACTTGCCCGAAACCGAGCTCTGGCTCCTCCTGGCCATGCCGTTTAATCTGCCTTCCAGCCCTGATTTCCTGCCCTCAGAGAGCCACAGACTCGTTAGGGGTAATAGAAAGGCAGGACATAGGGACCTGAGACGGAGCCCGGGCTGCAGGAGGAACAGAAGAGGACTCAGGAGCGCAGGTGTGGAGGGGCGGGGCCGAGTGGAGAGAGGTAGGGAGGAGCTGGCCAGGGCTGTGTCCAGGAGCCCGGGGTAGTCAGGACCTAGGAAACTGGATAGGCAATGAAACACCAAGAACCACTGCCTCCATCCGTGCAGCGCTTCCTGAGCACCTGATGTGGCCCTGAATCCTCCCTCCCAACCTCAGGAGACAGGTGTCCTCAGCACCCTGTTTCACCTATGAGTAAACCAAGCCCCAGAGGGTCATGACTCGCCCTAGGACACATAGCTGGTCTCTGAGTGGACTGAAACCAGGTCAGAATGACCTGAAAGCCCAGTATGTTGGGGCCGAGTGAGTGGAGACTCATCACGTCCAGCCTCCTGGAGGCTGCCTGGGAGCCCTCCTCTTCCTCGCCCCACCAGGAGACATTCTGCAGACCAGTGGGCCACTCACTTCCTCTGTCATCAGCTGTGCATTAAGACGCCCAGAGATCATCCTTCTCCTGGCTTTCCCTGGGCAATTCCCTCTGGGAGGAAGGAGCACAGAGCCAGCCTGCCTAGCTTCCTCGGTGGCCTGTCAGGGTGCATCTGTGTCAGGTGCTTGGACGGAGGCTGGCATCCTCATAATGAGAGCTCTCTGAGCATTGGCTTTATTATTAGGGGCAAGCCGCTCTTCCCCATGTTGAAGGGTGAGGACCCCAGCTCTGAATGGTGGGACCTGGGATACTGCGGTCTGGCCTGGGTCCCTCTGTGGGGTCCAGAGACCTGCTGGGAAGCCCAAAAGCGTCCAGGACTGTGGGGTCTGTAGCTGCAGCCAGTCATCTCACCACAGCTTCTCAGCCCTGGAGCACCTCCACCAGCTCACCTACCTCCCTTAACTTGGGCATCACTTCTCTGGACACCCCTGGTGCTGGAATGGGGACATCACTGACCATGCCTGTGTTCTCTCCTTATGAACCCCCTACCCTCCCCAGGCCTGTCTTCGCTCCTGCTTCCAAGACCACATGATCCGTAACTGCAACTGTGGCCACTACCTGTACCCACTGCCCCGTGGGGAGAAATACTGCAACAACCGGGACTTCCCAGACTGGGGTGAGCGGGGGCACGGGGGATCGGCACTCCAGCCATCTGGGGCCACAGAGGCTCTGACCATAGAGGAGGAGGCAGAGCTCAGTGCCCTCAGCAGAGTCCAGAGATGTGCCCAGGGTGGCTCCTCCACAGTCTGAGGTCCCTCCTATGATCCCCTCCCAGGCCTCCTTTCTGCAGGAGCCCAGCCTTCTCTCTGCTCCTCAATTTCATGAAGCATGGGCTTGAAACACATAGGCATAGAATGCACGTGTCCTTGTGGGCCTGTGTCTGTGTGCCACACAAATGCTCACACATGTGCAACCCTGGGCATGTGGCTGCTGGCGAGTGTGTGCCTGCACTCATGTTTCCAAGTGCACAAGTGCAAAGGCATTTCCATGCTTGCGTCCAAATGCACAGGAGCTGTTCGTGACTGCAGTGGGTTGCTGTATGTAGTTTATGCACAGGCACAAATCACTTCCAGGGTCTGCATTTGTGCACTCTGGCTTTTGTGCACGTGTGTGTGTGTGTGTGTGTGTGTGTGTGCACGTGCATGTATGTATAAGGCCACGTGTCCATCTTCAGCATGTGTGTTCATGTCTATGTGGGCTCATTGGGTCTCTCTGCAAGGCGCTGGGTGGAAGGGGAGTGTGAGGAAGCCATTAGCATGATGGTAGCCTCCAAGGACTCGAAACCTGGAGTCACAGCAGGAAGAAGAGCCCTGCTGGGCTCACAACCAATTGGAGCTGGGGCCTGGGAGCCCTGGCGGTCTGGAGTCCAACCACCGAAGAATTTTGTCAGCAGGGTGCAGTGGCTCGTGCCTGTAATCCCAACACTTTGGGAGGCCGCGGTGAGCAGATCACTTGATGCCAGGAGTTCGAGACCAGCCTGGCCAACATGGCAAAACCCCGTCTATAAAAAAAAAAAAAAAAGAAAGAAAGAAAAAAAAAAGTAAAAGAGAGAGAGAATAAAAAGAATGCTGTCAGCCGGAGACTCACCACTTACAACCAACACAAACTAAATGGGAAAACGTTATTCCTTCCAGTCACCCACCCTTTGTTCATGACCCCATAACCCTGTCCACCAGGCAGGGATGGGGATGGCCGGCAAAGGGAAAGCTGCTGGGACCCCCCTGAGCTGGGCCCCAGGCCAGGCTGGGGTGAAATGGCTGGAGGTCGGGGGCTGGGTGGGGAGCGGTGATTTTTCATGACACCTCCTCCTGCCACCTAACCACAGGGCCAGGAGAGCAGAGGGGCCAGCCAGAGGCTCAGCAGGGAACAGGGGCACCTAAAAAGCCCCCTTAAACCTCTTGGCCGCCTTTCTGTCTCCTGCGCAGCCCATTGCTACTCAGATCTACAGATGAGCGTGGCGCAGAGAGAGACCTGCATTGGCATGTGCAAGGAGTCCTGCAAGTGAGTGCGGGTGGGCGGGCACAGCAGCGGGCAGGCATGGAGGGGCATCACTGGCAGGGACCACAACAGGCCTGGCCTTCTCTTTCAGTGACACCCAGTACAAGATGACCATCTCCATGGCTGACTGGCCTTCTGAGGCCTCCGAGGTGAGACAGTTGGGGGCCAAGCTCCTGGCTCCCACCTTTGGCTGGGGACAAGTCTGGGCATAAGATGTGGGCTATTTGGAAATTTGAAGGGGGTGCCTTTTTCCCTCCCTCCTTCCTTCCTTCTCTGTTTCCCTCCTTCCTTCCTTCTTTCTCTGCTTTATTCCTTCCTTCCTTCCTCCTCTCTTTTCCCTTCCTCCCTCCCTTCTCCCTTCCTTCCTTCCTTCTTTCTTCCTTCCTTCATTCCTTCTCCCTTCCTTCCTCCCTCCCTTCTTCTTTCCTTCCTTCCTTTCTCCCTCCCTTCTCATTTCCTTCCTTCTTTCCTTTCCTCCTTCCTTCTCCCTCCCTCCCCACTTCTGTTTCCTTCTTTCTTTCCTTCCTTCCTCCTTTCTTCCTCCCTCCCTTCCTTCTTTCCTTCCTTCCTTCTTTCCTTCCACCAATATTCTCCCAGGCACTGTGCTGTGTACACAGCACAGAATTAGACAGACATAATCCTTTTAATAGGAGAGGGCCAAGATCACAAGCAGAAATAAAATCGTTTCAAAGTGTGATTATGGCTGTGAAATAAATAAACAGGTTATGGGAGAGAGTAACTGCGGGAAACTACTTTATTTTTGTATTTTTACTTTATTTTTTATTTTTGGAGACAGGGGCTTCCTCTGTCGCCCAGGCTGGAGTGCAGTGGTACGATCACAGCTCACTGAAGCCTCGAACTCCTGGGCTTAAGTGATGCTCCTGCCTCAGCTGTGATCCTCAGCTGGGACCACAGGCACATGCCACCAGGCCTGGCTAATTGTTAAACTTTTTGTAGAGATGGAGTCTCGCTATGTTGCCCAGGCTGGTCTTGAACTCCTGGCCTTAAGCGATCCTCCCACCTCAGCCTCCCAAAATGCTGGGATTACAGGCATGAGCCACCATGCCCAGCTTCTGGGAAAGCATGTTAGACCGAGTGGTCAGGGAAGGCCTCTCTGAAAAGGTGACATTGGAGCTGACACCTGGAGGCAGAGGCTGAGCCATCATGGGCAGAGCTGGGGAGGATTCCGGGCAGAGGGAGCAGGAAGTGTGAGGACCAGAGGTGGGAGAGAGCCGGGCAGGGTGGCCAGGCCCGCCGAGGAAGAGTCTGGAGGCCCGAGTCCTTCCTCCCCTAGAACAGCAGCCACAGCTTCCACTACGACCTTCCTCCTGCTCCTCATCCAAATTGTGATTCCCCCGGGGGCCTCAGGAAGGGACAGGGCTGTGGTCTACCTCCCCCAGGGAACAGAGCCATGACTGGGAGGGATGCTGCAGATGGCAACTTTTGCAACCACCTTCTTGGGTTCCAGGACTGGATTTTCCACGTCTTGTCTCAGGAGCGGGACCAAAGCACCAATATCACCCTGAGCAGGTGAGCCTGAGCCTGGGCGGGGCTGGGGAAGACAGGGAAGGGGTCCAGAAACTCGGGGCAGGAGTTTGGACACAGGACAGCTCCTCAGACACATTCTCACATGGGTCAGACCGAGGAGCAAGTCTTGAGGAGGAGGCACTAGGAGTGAGAGAGAGGAAAGGCAGCCAAGGGGACTCTGAGTCTACCACCTGCTAAGGAGAAGCCTGTGCTTCCCTCTGTCACTGTGCATCCAACCAGCCATCCATTCATCCTCCATCATCCACCCACGCGCCCAGCCATCCTCCACTCATTCATCCTCCATTCTCCCACCCAGCCATCCTCCACCCATTCATCCCTCCATCATCCACCCACACACCCAGCCATCCTCCACTCATTCATCCTCCATTCTCCCACCCACGCAGCCAGCCATCCTCCACCCATTCATCCCTCCATCATCCACCTCTCCATTCTCCCACCCACGCACCCAGCCATCCTCCGTTTATTCATGGATCTCTCCATCCATTCAACACAAACACTAGTTGAGCACAAGAAAGACACACAGTCCAAGCTAGCAGGAGTCTAGGGGGCAAACATATGTAAAAAGGGCTCAAGGAGAGGAGGGTCTGTACAAGCCCCCTACTCTAGGAGTACAGCAGGGAAGGAGCCTCAGTCTGCCTGAGAGATAAGGGAGGTCTGCGTAGGGAGGTGGCTTTGAGTGAACTCTCCAAGGAGGAGTAAGTGCTGTTCAGATAAGAAGAGGTACCAATGTCCAGGCAGAAGACAAAGCTGGAAAGCCTGGAGGCACGAGACAGCACAGCCTGAGGACGATCAGGTGGGAGGGGATGCCCACACAGCCACCCTTCTCTGTCCCAGGTGCAGTGAAGGCGCTCAAGGCTCAGTGAAGAGCTCTGTGCGGAGTCACTCCGTATAGCCCAGGCCACCCTGATGGCACAAAGTGGGGAGCTCAGAGCAGATCTTTGGGGCTGTCCCAGGCCAGAGTGTCCTGTAGGGAACTGGTAGTCAGGGGATGGAGAAAGGGGGCCATAGGATGGGTGCTGGGCAGAGATGCCCAGAAGGGCCGGGAAGGGCTGCACTTGCAGTTCTCGTTTGGACCTCCCCACTCACGGGGGCACGCATGAGAGAAGCTCAGGACAGAGGAGGGCTGGGGCGGCCATCCCTGGCTGCCTTCCTGTGTGCATGTGTGCACGGGTGTGTGGGTACATGTGTGTGCATACATGTGGGTGTGTGCACGTGCATGTGTGTGCATGTGTCTATGTGCGTGTGTGTGTGTCTGTCTGTTTGGAAGGGGGATACATTAGTCCCGGCCCTTCTCGCTGCCTCCTGCAGGAAGGGAATTGTCAAGCTCAACATCTACTTCCAAGAATTTAACTATCGCACCATTGAAGAATCAGCAGCCAATAACGTGAGTTTAGGAGTCTCCCAATACCCCAGCCCTGCCCTGCCCTGACCCCTGCACCCTGAGGGTGGGGGAAGGGTTCTGAGCCCTATGAAGGAATTAGGAAGATCCCTAAGACAGTCCCAAGTTATTCCCCTGGGCCAAGATGGTCACCCCCTCCCGTTCCCACCCAAGAATCACCTCCCAGGAAGCTGTGAGGCTGGGCTAGAGGCAAGAATGTGTGGCCTGAGCTCACCCCAGCTCCCTGTTCCCCACAGATCGTCTGGCTGCTCTCGAATCTGGGTGGCCAGTTTGGCTTCTGGATGGGGGGCTCTGTGCTGTGCCTCATCGAGTTTGGGGAGATCATCATCGACTTTGTGTGGATCACCATCATCAAGCTGGTGGCCTTGGCCAAGAGCCTACGGCAGCGGCGAGCCCAAGCCAGCTACGCTGGCCCACCGCCCACCGTGGCCGAGCTGGTGGAGGCCCACACCAACTTTGGCTTCCAGCCTGACACGGCCCCCCGCAGCCCCAACACTGGGCCCTACCCCAGTGAGCAGGCCCTGCCCATCCCAGGCACCCCGCCCCCCAACTATGACTCCCTGCGTCTGCAGCCGCTGGACGTCATCGAGTCTGACAGTGAGGGTGATGCCATCTAACCCTGCCCCTGCCCACCCCGGGCGGCTGAAACTCACTGAGCAGCCAAGACTGTTGCCCGAGGCCTCACTGTATGGTGCCCTCTCCAAAGGGTCGGGAGGGTAGCTCTCCAGGCCAGAGCTTGTGTCCTTCAACAGAGAGGCCAGCGGCAACTGGTCCGTTACTGGCCAAGGGCTCTGTAGAATCACGGTGCTGGTACAGGATGCAGGAATAAATTGTATCTTCACCTGGTTCCTACCCTCGTCCCTACCTGTCCTGATCCTGGTCCTGAAGACCCCTCGGAACACCCTCTCCTGGTGGCAGGCCACTTCCCTCCCAGTGCCAGTCTCCATCCACCCCAGAGAGGAACAGGCGGGTGGGCCATGTGGTTTTCTCCTTCCTGGCCTTGGCTGGCCTCTGGGGCAGGGGTGGTGGAGAGATGGAAGGGCATCAGGTGTAGGGACCCTGCCAAGTGGCACCTGATTTACTCTAGAAAATAAAAGTAGAAAATACTGAGTCCAGCTGTGTTGTTTGTTTGACTGGGCAGCCGAGGTGCCCTGATGGCGGAAGGGCATCCATAGTGGCTTGAGACCCAAACTGGTTTAAGGGAAAGGCTCTCAAGCCCCTCCTTCCACTGCCAGCTCCCAGGCTGACACTCACTGATCCCTGCCTGGGTTGTGTACCCATCTCTGACCCAGTCAGTGTGGCCAGTTAGATAAGCTGCTCTGACTGGTCACACCTGAATTCATCTGCCCAGACCTGAAGCCAGTTTGGCCCCCAGGAGAATCACATGGTCCAAGGGCGGTGGGGGCACAGTACCCACGGTTGCCAGATAACAATCAGGCTGCTTGGTTGAATTTGAATTTCAGATAGACAAACTGATTTTTTTTTTTTTTGAGATGGAGTCTCACTGTCATTGCCCAGGCTGGAGTGCAGTGGCACGATCTTGGCTCACTGTAACCTCTGCCTCCTGGGTTCAAGTGATTCTCATGCCTTGGCCTCGCGAGTAGCTGGAATTACAGGTGCATGCCACCACGCCCAGCTAATTTTCATATTTTTAATAGAGACGGGGTTTCACCATGTTGGCCGGGCTGGTCTCAAGCTCCTGGCCTCAGGCGATCCACCTGCCTCAGCCTCTCAAAGTGGTGGGATTACAGGCATGAGTCACCGACCCCAGCCGAAAAACTGATTTTTTTAGTATATGTACATCCATGCAATACTAGAGACACATACAAATAAATCATTTGTTGTTTTTTTTGAGCATTTTATACATATATATTTTTATAGAGATGGGGTGTCACTGTGTTGCCCAGGTGGGAGTGCAATGGCATGATCATAGCTCACCGTAGCCTCAAACTCCTGGGCTCAAGCCATCCTCCCACTTCAGCCTCCCAAGCAGCTGGAATTACAGGTGTGCACTACCATGCCTGGCTAATTTTTTTTAATTAAAATTTAATTTTAATTTTTTTCATTCTGTATTTTTAATTGCTAAATACCGTCCCCCAAAAGCTTAAGGTACCCAAAGAGAGATCAGGGAGCTGTCACCAGAGTACGGTCTGGCAGGTGCACACACAGCACTGCAGCACCCTGCTGTCACCTACCGGGCCCCTGGTGATGAAGGAGAGGCTGGCTTAGAGCCTGAGCCTCTGAGGGCCCAGCCTTCCTGGCCTAGGTCACCTGTGTCCCTTGGTCTGGAAGGTAAACAAGCTGGCCTCCCATCAAGTGCTCAGGATGGCACCTGTGGAAGAAGGAGGTGCCACAGAGTCGGTGCCACTTCAGTCAAAGGCAACGTTGCTAGGGGCTGAGTAGGGAGGGCTGAGTAGGAAACCGGGTTTCCCAGCTTGGGGCCTGGCTAGCTCGCAGGCTGGGCCCACAACTCTTGGTGGTTACCACCCTTACTACTTACTGTGTGATTACCGCTGTGATTACTTACTACTGTGATTACCGCTTTTATTACTAGCAGTAGTAGTTGTGGCCACAATCACTGTTACCATTTGTTGTTATTAAACAAGGACTACATTGGATCAAGTACTTATCATATGCCAGGCACTATGCCAGTAACTTTTTAAATTTTATTTCATTCTCATAACCACTGAGAAATAGTATAATAGCATCCCATTGCACAGGTAAGAACACTGAGGCTTAAGAGGTGAAGTAAGGTACTCGAGGTTTTTAAGTGACAAAGCTGAGACCCCAGCCTCACCCTCTGGGTGCCAATGGTCATAACAATACCAGTCCCTTACGGGAGCCCAGAGCTTTCATATTTATTATCTTATTTGAAGCTATGGGGCATTATTATCTAGCCCGCGTGACAGCTCTTCAGTTACATGTCAATTTGAACAGGCTTAAGCTACAAAGGGAATTCATTAGCTCTTGTAGTAAAAGGGTTTCAGGCATGGCTGTATGCAGGGGCTCGCCTAGGTCTGGGGTTTCTTTTTTCTTTTTTTTTGAGATGGAGTTTTGCTCATTGCCCAGGCTGGCATGCAATGGCGCTATCTCGGCTCACTGCAACCTCCCCGTCCTGGGTTCAAGCGATTCTCCTGCCTCAGCTTCCCAAGTAGCTGAGATTACAGCCGCCCACCACCACATCTGGCTAATTTTTATATTTTGATAGAGATGGGATGTCACTATGTTGGCCAGGCTGGTCTCGAACTCCTGACCCCAGGTGATCCACCCACCTCGGCCTCCCAAAGTGCTAGGATTACAGGCGTGAGCCACCATGCCCGGCCTAAGGTTTCTTTTTTTCTTGTTTTGAGACAGGGTCTCACTCTGTTGCCCAGGCTGCGGTGCAGTGGCACAATCACGGCTCACTGCAGTCTGGACCTCCTGGGCTCAAGCAATCCTCCCACCTCAGCCTCCCTCAGTAGCTGGGACTACAGGCATGCACCACCACGTCCAGCTAATTTTTGTATTTTTTGGAGAGAGGGTGTCTTCCCATGTAGCCCAGGCTGGTCTTGAACTCTTGGCTCAAGCGATCCACCAGCCTCGGCCTCCCAAAGTGCTGAGATTACACGTGTGAGCCACCACGCCTGGCCCTATCTGGTGATTCTGTGTTGCTGTCCTTCTTAGAAAGGTTTCCTCCACGTGCTGTTCTTTCTGAATATCTCTTTACACCTGCAATTGCAGCCCTGTCCCCTCAGCACAGCAATCCCAGGGGGAAGAAAGCTCTTCCTGAACATTTTCCCAGCAATAGCCCCAAGAATGAGGCTTGTTTGGACCCACCCAGGGCCCACGATCATCCTGAACAGGTCATGGCAACAGGGAATGGATGAAGATGCTGCCTGGCCGGCCCTGAGTGAATCTATGGAGGGCGGCCCTTTACAGACACCTGTAAGAGGTCCTGTTCAGAGACATTTTGGAGCTGCCTGTAGATTGTGAGGTCAGGACCAGGCTGAGGGTGAGCATCAGCTTGCCATCCCTGCTCTCAAGGGGCCATGAGGGCCAGGCTGTGGTGCAATGGCCTCATTGCTAAAAGCAGGCTCCAAGTCATTCATTCCCCTGCCCTCTGGATCTAGCGAAGAGAAATGCTGTCCCGCTCCTACTCTGAGATCCCTTTTTCACGGCTGGAAACTTAGGCCTGCAGAGCCCAAATTGCCCAAAAACAGCATTCTGTAATTCCCAACTCTACCCCAAAAGGAAAGGAGGGTTACAGATGCCAGAAGACTATGAAATTAACATTGTGGGCTGGGCACGGTGGCTCATGCCTGTAATCCCAGCACTTTCAGAGGCCGAGGTGGGCGAATCACTTGAGGTCAGGAGTTCGAGATCAGTCTGGCCAACATGGTGAAACCCCATCTCTACTAAAATACAAAAATTAGCCAGACATGGTGGCGCATGCCTGTAATCCCAGCTACTTGGGAGGCTGAAGCAGGAGAATTGCTTGAACCCAGGAGGCAGAGGTTGCAGTGAGCCGAGATCACACCACTACACTCCAGCCTGGGACACAGAGCGAGACTCTGTCTCCAAAAAAAAAAAAAAAAAAAGAAAGAAATTAACATTGTGTACATGTGGCCACCACCACTGTATTTCAGCGGCTCTTCAAATAACCCTGTGAGTTAGGTACCATTTTGACTCCCAGTTTTCAGATTAGGAAATGAGGCGCGAAGAGGTGAGGTGACTTTTCCAAGGTCACACAGCAGCTGGGAGTTGGCGAAGCGTTGAATCAAGCCCAAGCCTGTCCCACTCCACAGCCTAGTAGCTCTCATGAGCCCAGCACAAAGCTCACCACAAAGCTTCCACTTTCGAGCAGCATGTGTCACCTTCCAGGTTTCTGGCTCTCGCTTCTTCGAGGCAATAGCCAGGCTCAAACCCTGCCAGGAACAGCCTGTGATCCACCACATGAGAAACCAAAATATTTTTCTTTGTGTGGGTTTGAAGCCGATGCTGTCGGGGCCAGCCAAACTGGTTCTGAGGATGTGAGGATGGCATGTGTGGGAAGCCCTGTGAGGACAGAGCCGGTGGGACACTGGCCCTAGTAGCCCAGTGGGGCTGGTTCAAGAGTGTTGGAGGCTGGGCGCAGTGGCTCACGCCTGTAACCCCAGCACTTTGGGAGGCCGAGGCAGGCAGATCACCTGAGGTCAGGAGTTCAAGACAAGCCTGGCCAACATGATGAAACCCCGTCTCTATTAAAAATACACAAATTAGCCAGACATGGTGGCATGTGCCTGTAATCCCAGCTACTCGGGGGGCTGAGGCACGAGAACCACTTGAACCCAGGAGGCGGAGGTTGTAGTGAGCTGAGATCACCCCACTGCACTCCAGCCTGGGCGATAGAGCGAGACTCCATCTCAAAAAAAAAGAACGGCCTTGGGGATGGCAGGGTCACTCCAGAGGGCTGGCCTGGGCGACCTGCCGGCCCGCTGGGATGTGTCCCGCCACGTGCCCACCGTGTCCCACATGAGGAAGGCTGCCTGATAGCCGGGCAAGAGTACAGGTGCCACGGTCACCAGGCTCACTCTGAACTCTGGCCCTGCCACAGGGTAGCTGAATGGCTCTAGGAAAGTCCTTAAACCTTGCCACACTGTGGATAAGACTCCCCGCCTCCCAAGGCTAGAGTGAGGTCTGTTTATTTATTTATATATTGATTGATTGACACAGGGTCTCACTGTCACCCAGGCTGGAGGGCAGTGGCGAGATCACAGCTCATTGCAACCTCCAATTCCTGGGCTCCAGTGAGCCTCCTGTCTCACCCTCTTGAGTAGCTGGGACTACAGGTGCCCACCACCAAGCCCAGATAATTTTTAAAAATTTTTTATAGAGATGAGTGTTGCTCTATCACCCAGGCTGGAGTGTAATGGTGCAATCTTGGCTCACTGCAGCCTCAAACTCCCAAGCACAAGCAATCCTCCCACCTCAGCTTCCAAAGTAGCTGAAACCAAAGGTGTGCACCACCACAGGCTAATTGTTGTATTTTTTTTTTGTAGAGACAGGGTCTCACTATGTTGCCCAAGCTGGTCTCAGACTCGTGGCCTCAAGCGATCCTCCCGCCTCAGCCTCCCAAAGCCCTAGGATTACAGGTGTGAGCCACTATGCCCAGTCTGTGGTGAGGTTTAAGTGAGACATCCCAGAGAGAGGCAGAGCTCAGCCCAGCCCCTGAGACCCAGGCAGGGCTCAATTCCAATGACAGCCCCTGTGACAGGCACCACTGCCATCCCCTTTCTTTCTTGTTAACAGAAACCCAATCAAGGCAGCCAATAAGCCCAGCTCAGGCTATAAATCCTGATTGGTCTAAGCCAGTGTTTCTCAACTGGAGGAAGTTTCTGGAGACATTTTTGGTTTCACAACTAGGAAAATACTACTGGCATCTAGTGGGTCAGGAAAGTTAAACAGCCTGCAACGCACAGAACAGCGTCAAACGCAGAGCTGTACAGCCCAAAACGTCAATAGCCAAGGCTGAGAAACGCTGGTAGAAGCCAGCCTGGGCTTTCCCGCCTCCTTTGTAGCGGGGATGCCTCATGACTGAGAAACAGCCAGTGAGGGCTAGGAGAAGGCTGGCCAGGGCTTCCAGGGAAGCCGCCACTTGCATGATAGAAGGGACAGAATTGCTGCTCTACCTTCTCTGCTCCCTTTTTCCCTGAATGCAGATGCAGCACCTGCAGTTGCAAGAGTCACCTGCCACGATGAGGCCTCCAGCACATGGGGCTAAGTTTCAAATCACAGGGCCTGACTCCAACCAGCCACTAAATCAGTGCCTGTAGCCACCACTATTTTTTTTTTTTTTTTTTTGAGATGGAGTCTCACTCTGTCACCCAGGCTGGAGTGCAGTGGCGCTATCTGGGTTCACTGCAACCTCTGCCTCCTGGGTTCAAGCAATTCTCCTGCCTCAGCCTCCAGAGTAGCTGGGATTACAGGCACGCACCACCATGCCCAGCTAATTTTTGTATTTTTAGTAGAGACGGGGTTTTGCCATGTTGGCCAGGCTTGTCTTGAACTCCTGACCTCAGGTGATCTGCCTGCCTCAGCCTCCCAAAGTGCTGGAATTATAGGCGTGAGCCACCGTGCCCAGCCACCTTTTACTTCTTTTTATTTCTTGTTATCAAGAAAAATTAATTTCTGTTTAAGTCACTCAAATTACGTTATTCCATTACTTATAGCCAAATATAATCTTAACAGATAGACGCTATTAATGAAAAACACTGAAGTTCATACACCATACATTTTAAAAAAGAAAAAATGTGGGCCAGGCACAGTGGCTCACACCCGTAATCCTAGCACTTTGGAGGCCAAGGCAGGAGGATCACTTGAGCCTCAGAGTTCGAGACCACCCTGGGCAACAAAGCAAGATCCCGTTCCTACAAAAAATGTTTTAAAAAATTAGCCAGGTATGGTGGTCTCCATCTGCAGTCTCAGCTATTTAACGGGCTGAAGCGGGGGAGTTGCTTGAGCCCAAGAATTCGAGGCTGCAGTGAGCTGCGATTGTGCCACTGCACTCCAGCCTGGGTGACAGAGTGAAACCTTGTCTCAAAAAAAAAAAAGGAAAAAACTGAAAGCCTAATTCCTTACCATGGCTGACGAGCCCCCTTATGATCTGGCCCCCAGCTTCTCCAGGGATACTGCTTCACCCTTTCCTCCATGAAGCCCCTCCTCTCCTGCCCCAGCCGCCCTTGGACATGCCTCAGGGCCCGGTCTGCACCACTCCCTGGGCCTGAACGCACCTCCTCCTTCACTCTCTGCCACATGGCTCTTACTCTGTAGGTCTCGGGCTGCCCACTTTATGCAGTGCCAGCTTCCACCCTGACACCCGCTTTTCTGCTAGCACTTACCTCTGAAATTATCCCCATTTACCTTCTTCTCCCTCCCTCTCCCACTGAACATAAGCTACAGGGGAGGACCCATATCCCTAGACATTCCCAGTGCGCACAACATGGCAGACATGTGGGAAGCACTAAAAAATGCACTGAAGAAGTAAGAGGCTGGGTGCAGTGGCTCACACCTGTAATCCCAGCACTTTGGGAGGCTGAGGCAGGCAGATCACTTAAGGTCAGGAGTTTGAGACCAGCCTGGCCAACATGGCAAAACCCCATCTCTACTAAAAATACAAAAATTAGCCGGGCGTGGTGGCGGGTGCCTGTAATCCTAGCTACTCGGGAGGCTGAAGGGGGAGAATCACTTGAGCCCAGGAGGCGGAGGCTGCAGTGAGCCAAGATCACACCACTGCACTCCAGCCTGGGTGAAAGAGTGAGGGGGAAAAAAAAAGAAGAAGGAAACAGTCTTCTTGCATTTCACAGTAGTTATTTATTCCATTTTCAAGATCTGATCCTTTAAAAAAATTATCTAAAAAGTCTTCTCTGATAAATAATACATCTTTAATTTACAACTCTTTTTGATTATACAAATGAACCAAGTCTTTTTTTTTTTTTTTTTTGAGACAGAGTCTCGCTCTGCTGTTAATTTTTGTATTTTTAGTAGAGATGGGGTTTCACCATGTTGGTCAGGCTGGTCTCGAACTCCTGGCTTCATGATCCATCTGGCTTGGCCTCCCAAAGTGCTGGGATTACAGGCGTGAGCCACCGTGACCAGCTGAACCAAGTCTTTTTAAAGTAACTTCTGCCCAATCTTGGGCAGAGTTTCTGAGCAAATCTGTGCTGGTGAGTCGCGAAACAGCAGCCCTGGCTCTCTTGGTGGTCCGGTGTGTGGTGGGGTCAGTAATTCACACTCCGCATGGTGGCCACGGTGGTGGCCAGGCGACGGGGCAGGCCTTTGCTGACCTGTCTATAGTCCTCAGGCCTGGTCTTCAGTAGCGTCACGATGTGCTGGAGGGTGCGGGACGGCTGCAGGCCCAGGGCATCCATCACGTTGATCAGATAGTCTGTGGGGGCGGAGAGGAGACAGACAGAGCTCCACAGACTCAGCACCAAGCAGGTCAGAGCCCCACAGGGCCTCCCCTGAATACGACACAGAGAAGCTGCCCTGCCAAGTCCCTAGATGTGGGGCGCCAACCCTGCCCTCAATAGGCCCTTTACTCACCAGGTTCTTCCCACAGTGTCAGACCAGACTGTGAGCTTGGCTCGAGTCTAGGAACTCTAATTTAATAAAGAACTAACCAACATCACTCCCATCCCCAACCACACACATACACACTCACATGCACACACACGCACACACACTCTCACATCCAAACTCACACAAACTCGCACACACACTCACATGTACACACACTCACATGCACACACTCTCACATCCACACTCACACTCACATGCACACACCCGCCTTCAGCACCAGTCTGAAGGACCAGCTGACCTCACCCAAAGCTCTGTTCTGGGGACTCCTGGGTTCCAAGCCCTGGCCCCCAGGGTATCCACTGACCACTTGGAAAACCCAGAGGGTCAGGAGACACACAAGCTTGTCTGAGCAGTTACTAAAGACCTCCAGTCAGAACGCCGCAGTGAAGACAAGGACAGTGTCTGGGGTGGGACCCTGGTATAACACAGGTTTCCACATTTCCCAGATGACCCCTGAGGCACTGGGGATACAATCGGATACAGATTTCTGAGCCTACCCCCAGACTAGGTTGATGAGCATCCCAAGAGAGGATTCTAGGGTTCTGTCATTCTACAAAGCGACCCCGGTGGTTCTAACCACCAGGCAAGCTTGGGCAAAACAGACAGCATGGGGGAGCAAACCAGGTGCAGCCAGGTGTGACCTCAGAGAAGCCCTTCTACCTCCCTGAGTCTCTGCTTCCATCTGTCCACAGTTACCACCCATCCGGCAGCATGGATAGGGGATGAAGCGGGAAACGAACATGAGAGCACCTGATGTGTCGCAGGTGATCAATATATCAATGCTGCCTTTCCCTCCTGCCTGGGCAGTGCAACCCAACCCAAGGGAAGCCTTGCAAAGCCTTCTCCAGCTCCTCCCAGTTCATGCTTGGAAAGACTAGAAGACAGCACCACCCGATATGCCCCTGGCTAGTTTTTTTTTTTTTTTTTTTTTTCTTTTCTGAGACAGAGTTTCACTCTTGTTGCCCAGGCTGGAGTGCAATGCTGCGATCTCGGCTCACTGCAACCTCCGCCTCCTGGGTTCAAGCAATTCTCCTACCTCAGCCTCTCAAGTAGATGGGATTACAGGCGCCTACCACCACGCCTGGCTAATTTTTTGTATTTTTAGTAGAGACGGGGTTTCGCCATGTTGGCCAGACTGGTCTCAAACTTCTGACCTGAGGTGATCCACCCACCTCAGCCTCCCAAAGTGCTGGGATTACAGGCATGAGCCACCGCGCTCAGTGCCCCCCCACCGGCTACTTTCTGATCTTGGGTTCATCTCTTCTCCTTGACTAAAGTGGAGCTCCAGGCAAGGCCTCAACTTTCCTTGTGTTTTTTGTTTTGTTTTGTTTTTAATATTTTGTAGAGACAGGGTCTCACTATGTTGCCCAGGTTGGCCTCAAACTCCTAGGCCCAAGCGATCCTCCTGCCTCGGCCTCCCAAAGTGCTGGGATTACAGGCATGAGCCATGGTGCCCAGCCCCCTGTGTTTTCTTTTTAGGCCCCACTCAGGGCAGGGCCAGGAGGAGATGCCTGCTCTGTCACGGCTGACTCAGGAAGAGCTGCTTCCCAGCAAAGGTGCCGCCAGGCACGTACTTACTCCTTTACAAGTTTATCCATAAAACCGTGAGCTCCACTTGACTGTCAGCCAAGAGCTGCAAAGAGCGGGCCCACAGTCTACTAGGACATTTTTGTTTGGCGAGCAGTGTTTTTTGTTCTGTTTGTGCTCATGCTTAATTTGAATGTCTTTCAGGTGTGCATGCTTTGCCACAGACCTCACCACTCTGTCGCCTTATACCCTGTCAGTTTCATATACTAGCCTTACCTTCCCTGCCCCTAACCGTACATCCTTACAGTGTAAGCTCACTAAGCATGGGAGCTGCCTAAAGCTTTGTTGTCTCTATCTCCTAGAACTACAGCTGGCACACAGATGCTCGAGCAATGCTGAATGAGTGAAGAAATGAATCTGCAGGGGGAGCTTAACAGGGAGGAATAACAAGGACAACTGAAACTGAGGGGCAATCCCTAGATTTCACTCCACTCACTAGTTCCAGTTCTTCCCCCTGCTGCTGCTTGTACTAACAGGGAACACCAACACGCATTTGAATTCTCTCATCTCTCTTTCTCTGAAGGGCAGTAGCCAAAAGGCTGCCTGTTCCTCTGGTAAGTGCTGAGAGCTGACTATGAAATGAGCAGGGGTCAGGAACTCAGGAAAGCTGGATCCCAGGCCTGGCTCCATCACTAACAGCTCTGGGACCCGGAGGAAAGCACCTTGCTTCTAGTTCTTCTTCTGCAAAACAAGAGCCAGAAGCCGGTTGAGCCTGGCTCAGCCCTGTGGTCACTGAGGACGAAGCTCTGGCTGTGTCCCCAGGGAGCTGATCTTTCAGGCTTCTACCACCCGCTCTCCTGACCACCCCGAGAGGTGCGTTAGGCTAAAGAGCAGACAAGGTATTGGAATGGCATCAAGAGACTGGGGAGACTCCCTGCCACCTGCCAGCAGTAGCCCCATGCTCAGAGTACACCTGGGCAGTGAGGCCCTCCAGTGAAGAGGGCAGGCAGGAGCAAAGGGGACACGCCCACTGACTTGGCAGGCAGGATGCTATCTGGATGGAGACCACAAAGTGACCCTGGCCACATGGCCTTGTTATGGAACTGCCCTGGGCCTCCGTTCCCTATCGGTATGATGGAGAAGAGAGCACCCACCTCACAGGGGAGTTTGGAATTACATAAGACGATGGGTGCGAGTGCTTGGTCCAGCGCCAGGCATGCCTGGTATGCAGTAAGAGCTCATTAAACACTGGTTGGGAATTATGGCACAAATGGAGCGGGCCAGGTGGGGCCAGGCTGCAGGACTCGCTGAATCTTATCTCACTGAAGCTCCCCTCAACGGTTCTCAAGTCCTCTTCGAAAACATAGATGTCTGAGCTTCAGCCCGGTCTTGCTAAGTCAGAATCTCTGGGGCAGGGCCTGGAGAACCTGAATTTTCAACCAGCTTCAGAGCCAAATCCACAGCTGAAGCTAAGGGAAGACTTGGGATGAGATTCCTGGAGGGCAAAGGAGAAACTGACAGATGCAGCAGGCAAGAGCTGTCCCTCCCACCGCCTGTCTTGTGGGGACCCACCGATGTCAGTGGCCAGCTGCTTGGCAGAGTGTGGGCTCAGCTCAGGGATCTGTAGGATCGCATCACAGTAGGTCTGCATTGTGGCTCTGGCGATCGAGCCCAGCCAGTTGTCAGCCATGTTGTCCAGCTCGGGCAATTCATCCCCTGAAAAGAAAAGGAGGTCACCAAGGAAAACACAGGCCTGCAGTAGCTGCTGAATGCACCAAAGTACCAGGAAGCTTCTGATCTCAATGGCAAACACAGGAAACCGAAAACAGTTACATCTTAGGGCCAGGTGCAGTGGCTCATGCCTGTAATCCCAGCACTTTAGGAGGATGAGGCAGGCGGATCATTTGAGGTCAGAAGTTCGAGACCAGCCTGGCCAACATGGTGAAACCCCCGTCTCTGCTAAAAATACAAAAATTAGCCAGGCGTGGTGGTGCGCGCCTGTAGTCCCAGCTACTCAGGAGGCTGAGGCAGGAGAATTGCTTGAACCCAGGAGGCGGAGGTTGTGGTGAGTCAAGATCGCGCCACTGCACTCCAGCCTAGGTGACACAGCAAGACTCTGTCTCAATAATAACAATAATACAGAATACAAAGTTACATACAAAATACCATCTGCTTACAGAGCAGAGCCAGAAGGCACAAGCGAAAGTGGAAATACCAGTGCGTTCCGCAGTGGGATGTGGTTATAGATTTTTCAAGTTGTGATATTGTTTTAGATACAGCATGTGTACAAAAAGTACATGTTAGAAGGTTAAAAAAAAACAGGACTTGGTGACAAATGAGCCCAAGGATAAGGTGTCATCTGGAGTTTCTACCCTGGAAACTGACAGCTTGACTTGTAACATCGCCAGAAACGGTCCCCGCTTACCCTGCTCAGGAGGAAATGGCAGCTTTCCAGCGTGCAATGCCAACTCTAAGGCAGAGTCCTCCTGAGTCACAAATGGCTCAAGATTCAGGGGGAGGGACATGATGTACTGCCCGATCTGAAACAAAAGAAAGCGCTGTTAGCCTGACATTGACACATACGGGTTATTACTTTATGGGTACATTTGTGTGAAGGCAAACGGCAGAGAGACAAAATTGCTAGACCTCGGGTGATCCCAAGTCTGATCTTTCTAGTATGTGGCGATGCTTGTTATGGCAGTACCCTAAAAAAGAATCACTGGTAGCTTGCATATAGATTATAGATTCATCCTTCTTATAATGACCTCAATATTTTTGAAATGCATTCAACACAATCTCTATCTCCAATGAAGTAATGGATATCAAAATGCTTTGTAAAATTTGAAGCATTGTGTAAATATAAGTATTATTACTGTTCATAGGTGAAAAACCAGTAAGATACTAGTGTCAGAATGTGTGGGGCCAAGCAAGAATTCAAATCCTGTCTTCTGAGGCCAGGCACAGTGGCTCACACCTGTAATCCCAGCACTTTGGGAGGCCGAGGCGGATGGATCTCCTGAGGTCAGGAGTTCAAGACCAGCCTGGCCAACATGGTGAAGCCCTATCCTACTAAAAGTACAAAAATTAGCCGGGGATGGTGGCAGGCACCTGTAATCCCAGCTACTCGGGAGGCTGAGGCAGGAAAATCACTTGAACTCGGCGGGGGCGGAGGTTGCAGTGAGCCAAGATCATGCCATTGCACTGCAGCCTGGGCAGACTCTGTCTCAAAAAAAAAGAGACTCTGTCTCAGAAAAAAAAAAAAAAAACCTGTCTTCTGGATTTGGATCTGATTCTCTCCCTCCTAGATAATTTAACCAGAAGAAGAAAGGAATTCTGTTTGAAAAAAAGCCATTTATAACTATAAATTACTTTGGAGAAAAAACTATATTGTTTTCATAATATAAACTCTTGAAACTAAAGATAGACAAAACCTTGGCTGGTGGGGAATTGCAAAAGGTCATTTGCAATTGTCCTAAAAGACATTTAGGACATGCCCACAATTAGCACAGTCTTGGTCATGTGTTTGTCAGATATCCACGTGATGCCAAGAGTGTATTTTAGACCACTGTTTCCTATTTCTATTGTAATTCATTGTTTTGTGTTTTAAGGTTAAGTATGTGTTTTGTTTCAAAATAAGGGGGTTGACTTTTCAGGTTTCAAAATGATAATATATGTTTTTAAAAGGTCTTTCTGCCTGTTGTTGTTTTTTTTTTCTTCCTGCTACATATTCATTCCATGACATTCCTGTCACTGTTAATTAACTCTGTAAACTAAAAGTCAGGAGACTATCAAAGCAAGAGCTTCTCAATCTGGCCTCACACATGTCTACGTAACAGCGGGCTCCTTTCAGGGTGTAGTGTCCAGAAGTTAACACAGACTCGAAAATCTACCCAGACCAGAGAACTACAGGATGATCATGCCCTTCTTTCCAAACATTCAATATGGTTTGGCTGTGTAAGTGTAAACATCCATTATTAGTTTGGTGTTCCTTTTTTCTTTTTTCTTTTTTTTTTTTGAGACAGAGTTTTGCTCTTGTTGCCCAGGCTGGAGTGCAATGGTGCAATCTCGGCTCACTGCAACCTCCGCCTCCTGGGTTCAAGCAATTCTCCTGCCTCAGCCTCCCGAGTAGCTGGGATTACAAGTGCCCACCACCACACCTGGCTAATTTTTTTTGTATTTTTAGTAGAGACGGGGTTTTACCATGTTGGCCAGGCTGGTCTTGAACTCCTGACCTCAGGTGATCCGCCCACCTCGGCCTCCCAAAGTGCTGGGATTACAAGCGTGACCCACTGTGCCTGGACTGGCGTCCCTTTATAAGAGGTACACAGATGGTAAAATAAATCATTTTTTTCTTTCATGTACTTAGTATAATCTTTCACCCAAAGTAAGCAAGTGGCCACTTACCTCACTAATAACAACAGCTACTGTAAATTTCAGCTTGAAGTGTTAACAAATTCATCATTTTTCCCCAAGGCTGGGGGAAGAGAAGGATGCTGATTTCTGGTGTTGGAATTTCTCTGTACTACAATAATTCCTCTCAACAAGCCCTTCCTGAACACCTACTACGTACAAAGACCCCAGACATACTCCTATATTTGGTATACCTTTCATCTGTAGCCATAAGCTTTGGCTAAGTCCACAGACTCAGTTTTACCTTGCATATATATTGTTTTTAAATTTCAAAGCATTTTCTCCTATTTCATCTCTTTACAATGCTCACATGATTCTGTGTGGGTGAGGGCTTTCACCAACAAGGCAAAGTATCATTTAGGTGAAAAATTTCAGTAATCTGACATCTCTAACTTCAATCAATTGGCCTTAGACTGTAGGGATTGCTGGGGTTCCTAGATCTCACAGTGCAGGTTTCTCTCAGGGATCTTGTCTCTATTCACTCCTTGGAAATCAATATGGAAAGGGCTGCTTAGCATCCCACCTGTGGGTATTTGTCTACTATTCTCACATATGCAATCAATATTTCTTGATATCCTGGTTGGGTTAACTCACTGACTTGGGAAAAATGAAAAGTTTTGAGGTCAGACAGACTTGGGTTGGAGTTTTGGCTCTATCACTGTGAGAACCTGGGCAACTTAATCTGTCAGGACCTCGGATCATCATCGCTGAAATGAGGATGACCTCATATTACTTCAAAAGGTTGTGGTGAGGGTAGAATTAATACGTGTGCTATGCACGTAAAGCAGCTGGCGTCCTAACAGAGCAGCCACTGGGTAAGTCGCTGCTTCCTCCCAGCCCCACTCCCACTGTGAAGGAGGGCTGCCACACCTGTCTCATGGACATGATCTGGCCCAGCCACTAAACAACCTGGCACTGTCTCTGCACACAGTACGTGTTCAATTAGGTGTTCCTTTCCTGGGTTCAGGTCATCAGCCTCCGTACAGCTCAGGAGGACAGCAGCAGGCAGGGAAGGGCCCGGGCCTGGAAACTCCTCCTAGCCCTCATTCCCTCTCTAGACCTCAGTTTCTTCAACTTTAGAATCAACTTGGTAGCCACTCAGGTCCCTTCCAGCACCATCATTTTCTGAATCAATTTAGACTGCAAGCATACTATCTCTGCTCTAAAATCAGATCATTCAGCCGGGCACAGTGACTCATGCCTGTAAACTCAGCACTTTGGGAGGCCAAGGTGGGCAGATCACTTCAGGTCAGGAGTTTGAGACCAGCCTGGTCAACATGACGAAACCCTGTATCTACTAAAAATAGAAAAATTAGCCAGGTGTGGTGGTGGGCGCCTGTAATCCCAGCTACTCGGAAGGCTGTAGCAGGAGAATCACTTGAATCTAGGAGGCCAAAGTTGCAGTGGGCCAAGATCGCGCCACTGCACTCCAGCCTGGGTGACAGAGGCTCCATCTCAAAAATAAATAAATAAATAAAAATAAAATCAGATTATTCCCATGGGTTGTAAAGACCAACCCACATCTTAACAGTTTCATCAGTAGAGGGTATCAGGTGCCCTGGGAAATAGAAGGGAAATGACTGTTGTTTTAGACTTGATACTGCCCCAAATGAACAGAGAGCAGAGAGCCAGCCACCTCACTGCCTGCCAGAGGGACTGCCATGCACTTCTTGCAATTATACAACATGTACTTTTTTCTTTTTTTTTCCTGAGGCAGGGGGTTGCTGTGTGGCCCAGGCAGGAGTGCAGTGGTGCAATCACAGCTCACTGCAGCGTCGACCTCCTGGGCTCAAGCGATTCTCCCACCTCAGCACCCCAAGTAGCTGGGACCACAGGACACACCACCATGCCTGGATAATTTTTTACTTTTTTGTAGAGGCGGGGTCCCCCTATGTTGCCCAGACTGGTTTCAAATTTTTGGGCTCAAGCAATTCTCTCGCCTCTACCTCCCAAAGTGCTGTGACTATAAGCATGAGCCACCATGCCCAGCCTAACATTTATAATACTTCTAAAATTCCTTTCTAGTCATTTTGGCAGAGTCACAACTTACACATAGGGGTTGGATTCTAAGGCAAGAGCGTAAGGCAGAAATCACCTTGAAAAGTCTCAGAAATCTCCCATTGTGTGAGGTGAGTGTGGTTTGGCACATATTACTCCTCTATAGTGTTTCTTGTGCGCACTGACATTTAAGAGCACCTGAGCTAGACTGCAGGAAGTAACGGAAGGAAAGGCCATGTGCAGGTGTCTGGGTGACTGTCAATTCCCAGGGGTGAATGGGGAGGGCAGCAAGGACTCCACGTGCCCCCATTCCCCTGCATGGTTTATTCTGTTCTCTTTTAATATTAAGCCTCTATAACTGCAATTCTTCTGAAGAGATTTGTTTGTTGCTATGAAGTTAAACATGAAAGCACTCCACACAGAGCCTGGCACATAGTAGGTGATCACTAAAAGCTGGCTGAATTTGAATTCACAACCACAAACACACACTACTCTTCTGAAAGTCACAGAGAAGAATTGGCCATCTGCCTCCTGTCTTCCCAAGTCAGAATTTCCCATTAGACTCTCAACTCTGACGCCCTCAGGTACTGGCCACATCTCATATAGGGAGAGATGGTGAAGGAGTGAGAATGTGCTGGGGTCTGGAATCGCCATGTGGCTCTGCTGATCTTCTTAAAGTCCAGGATCTGGGTGCAGACTACCCCAAAGCACAGGCTACCCAAAAGGGTCAGATAGCACCCATGGGGAAATGACTATAAGGGCAAGAATCAAAAGACAAGGAAGGTCTGAAAGACTTGGACCACCCTGGAGAAGCACACAGAAGCTCTTACGTTGCTGATGTACTCGAGAGGGGTGAGACTAAAGGCGGGCAGTTCATCTGTGAGGGTTTCTCCGATGCCAGCCGTATTCCAGCTCTAAGGGTGGAACGAGAGGACACAATCAGTACCTAGCAGCCAGGCAGCTGTGAAGACGCCACCCAGAAATACACAAGAAGAACATGGCCTTCCCTGGAGGCACTGTCTTTGGTTGGAGCTGACCGTTGGAGCCTCCACCACTCAGCAGGCAGGGGCTTCTCTTCTTTAAAGCTTCACCTGGAAGCCCGCCATACAGAAGGCAACGATTTCTCTCTCCGCATTCCTGCAGGTCCATGAAACAGGAACTGCCACATTGGCTGAACTGTGGGGTGGGAACTGATCCCTTTCATTTATCTCGCTGAGATTGTAACAGGAGAAAGTTGGATATTTTTGGTCCAAGTTTCTCTGCGTAGCGGGGCCACTGTGTAGAGAGGTGCTGGGTGCAGACAGCCTCACTACTTCGTGGGTCCTTAGCACCCTAAGGAGAACAGGGCACCCTGAGGTCCCCCACAGAGGCCACGTGTCAGTCTCTTATCTGGGAGGGAGACCTAGGAAGCCCCTCTGGCTGCAGGAAGAGCCAAGCCTCATCGGCAATACTGCTTTACCTCAACTAAAGCTGCTGCTTTATTTCTCACCACCTTCTGGATCTGTTTCTCAACTCATCAGAACTCAGAGGGATGGGGATGGGACGGCACTTCCAAACCCCAACAGCTGCCCCTCTGGCCTCTCTGTAGTCCCCCTGTGCGAGGAGAACCTCAGCACTAACACGTGTTTCTTGCCATTTGGAGTGGAAACATCTTCCGTGTTGTTGTGGAAGCCTTCCCAGCAGTTTATATAGAGTTGGGTAAAGGACCTGTGCACATGTGCTCACAGACTTCAGAGTGGCACACCTTCACACAAAAATCTCGCTTCTTACTTCCAACCTGAGCCACTCTAAAGCCAGCCCTGGAAAACAAGGCCCTTTCTGGCTGAACTCCGGGAGTGACTCCGGCGGTCATGTAGGAACTGCTGTCTGCAGCCACCTGATGTTGGATCCGGTTGCCTGATCCTTTAAGTAGCATTCCGGGAAAGGAATGACCATGTCCAACCCTGGGCTCCCAGCCCAGGCTCAGCCTCGGCAGCCCTCCCCGTGCTCTCTAGCGCCCACTTGATTCGGTCTTATTTTCTTTGATGTAAATGAGCTCTTTTCTTCCCCACCCCAGGTGCCCCCAACCCTTGTCCTACAGTTTTCTAGACTCTTTGTTCTTGCCTGCGAATGCTCTTTTGTCTCAAAAGAGCCTACATTTTTTCCAGCTAACTCCCAATCCAGCGAGAAGGAACACGCCAACCATCCACATTTACCAAGTACCCAGGATGTCGAGTGTCTTGTGCTAAGCTTTGCAGAGAAGAGACAAAGAAATGTAAGATTTGCTCCTTGCTCTCTAGAAGGGAGCTACTTGGGGAAGCAAGACCCCCTGACATACTCCCACCCTGTACACCCCCACACCTCCTATCCTGTTCTGGCCCCTCCCCTCTCCCCCCTGCAGACACATGAGTGCTGCCTCCCACTTCTAGAGCTCTCGGTGTCAGAGGCAAGGAGCAAGAAGAGCTCAGGGCGATTAGAGAAGCGGCTGGCCATAGGATGTATGCGGTACACAGAGGCAGACAGAGGCTGGAGGGAGAAGGCACAGCTTTAAACACCAGGCTAAGTAAAGCCTTTACCTTGAACAAGTAAATTGCAAGGGAAAAAGAAAGAGAGAGGAAACTTACCATTCAAAAATGACAAAAAAGACATCCCAATAAATCTCTACGTGCAGGATCCTGGATCCTAGATCCTGACTCAAAGGGTTAAAATAAATTATGCCATTTATAAAACAACTGGAAATTTGAACACTGATGACATTAGGAATTCCTTTTCTTTTTCTTTTTTAGGGTTGACTATGGTACTGTGATTATTTTTAGAGTCCTTCTATTTCAGATGAGGGGGTATGTATGAAACAGGATGGCTAGGAGTGGATCATGGTTGGAGCAGGTGATGAGTATATGGAGTTCCTTATACTCTTCTCCCTACTTCTGTGTATGCGTGAAAAGGTCCATAAGAAGTTGCTAAAAACAGACAATCAGACTAGCCCTGGGGAGGGTTTTGAATGAGGAGAGATAAAACCAAAACAATGCTTTGTGAAGGTGAATACAGCAGCTCTGCAGAAAATTGGGGTGGGGGGCAGATGAAAAGCTCAAAAACAGCTCAGAGATGATGAGAATCCCCTGTGGAAACAGGTGTGGGACACAGAGAAAAGGAAGGGACAGCAATCCTTGGTGGTTTGTCGGCAAAGAGGGGTGCAGCAAGGGAGCCCAGATGGTGACAGGCTGGGAAGCAGAGTGTGGGGAGAAGCAACGGCTTCCAGGAGACCAAGAGCAGGTAACAATGTGCAGGGCGAAGACAAGCACTGCTGCCATCCATCCCAGGGACTGCAGCCTGGAGGCCCCAGGAAAGGCCTCAAAGGGGAGGCAGGAGGAGCAGCCTCAAAACATGAACAGGCAGAGGAGAGAGGGAAAGAACAGCTGGAGTGGGAAAGAAGTTTGGAAGAAGCGCAAGACAGAGTGGCTTGAAATAGGAGGGTGCTTAAAAAGCAGCAGATGGCTGGCTGCGGTGGCTCATGCCTCTAATCCCAGCACTTTGAGAGGCTGAGGCGGGCGGATCACTTGAGCCCAGGAGTTTGAGACCAGCCTGGCCTACATGGTGAAACCCCATTTCTACTAAAAATACAAAAATTAGCCGGGTGTGGTGACGCTTGCCTGTAGTCCCAGATACTTGGGAGGCTGAGGCATGAGAAGTGTTTGAACCCAGGAGGCGGAGGTTGCAGTGAGTGGAGATCACACCACTGCACTCCAGCCTGGGCAACAGAGTGAGACTTTGTCTCAAAAAAAAAAGGGGGGGGGGAAAACAGCAGAGAATGTCACTTGAGGGCAATAGGGAAATGCTGCAGGTCATTTTTTAATTGTTCAAAATTTATTTAAAGTGTCCTTCAAATGGGCTTTTCTATCCATCTGTCACCAGGTAAAATAGGTAAACTTCAATAATCCATTTTGAAATCAAATATAGCGTTGGTTTGTAGTCTCGGAATATAAAAGGGCAATAGAATTTACCAGCAAATGCTGAAAACAAACATTTGATGACCAGGGTTTAATTTTCAAATCCTTAAGGCCAGAGTGTTTGCCTTGGTATTGTGTGCTGGCACCCTCGGAGTGCTCCTCCTAATCTCCAAAGCCACCTGCGCCCATTCCCAAGGGGCCACGGTGCTGTGGTGAAGCCGGAATGAGAAGGTAGGGCCAAGCACCCAGGAACTCCACCATCAATAATGAACTCTGGAATGCAGAAGTAGAGGGAAAAGGACGGGGGAAGCACCACCCCTGTTTAAATGTAGAACTAAGCTGGGAAGCACTGAGGTTTCAGAACAGAAGGTCAGTACCGTCAGCTTTGACAAAATAAAAATAATACAAACAACCCAATCTGCAGGTGAGGGAGGGGACAGGAGAGAGACAAAGAAAGCTAATCCTTTCGTTTTTCAATGGATCATATGTATCAGTATCTGTCTGCAATGGAAACAGGATTAACAAAAAGCAATGGCAACTCCAATCTCTTCATACTCATAATCTTTTTTTCATAACCTTGGAGAGAGCTTCTGGGGAATGAGTATCTTTCGTGGAGAAAAAAAAAAAATCTCGACCAGGCTTGGTGGCTCATGCCTGTAATCCCAGCACTTTGGGAGGCCGAGGTGGGTGAATCACTGGAGGTCTGGAGTTCAAGACCAGCCTGGGCAACCTGACGAAACCCCGTCTCTACCAAAAAATACAAAAATTAGCCTGGAGTGGTGGCAGGCGCCTATAGTCCCAGCTACTCGAGAAGCTGAGGCAGGAGGATCACTTGAACCCAGGCAGCAGAGGTTGTAGTGAGCCAAGATTGTGCCACTGCATTCCAGCCTGGGTGACAGAGTGAGACTCAGTCTCAAAAAAAGAGAAAAGAAAAGAAAAATGTCTCAAGTTCAATAATTCCTTTAGATTCATTTAGTGTCTCTTTTTTCTGGTTAAATTCAAATAAAATTATATTGTGCATATCTTGTTTTTCTTAAAAACAGCATTATAGTATAATTCCATTTCTTCCTATAGATCTATCCACTGATGCCCAATCAGCCTTTAACATGTATAGGCGTGCAGAAAGAGATGTCTGGGTTGCTGGACATCAAACTGCTGACGCTGATTATTTCTCAATGGTGGGATCTTGGAGGTATTTATTAGATTTTTTTTTTTTGTATTTTCTTGTATTGCTTGAGTTTCTAAAAATAAATACCTATACAATTTTTATTTTAAAAAAATCAAGTAAGTCATTCTTCTTAAAAATGAGAATCACAGAAAAGAAGAAAACTACCACTTATTACACATCTACTCTGTGGCCAGTGCTATGCTAAATTCTATCAATATACAAAATCTCACTTAATCCTCATCAATCTATATAAGAATTACTATATCCCCATCACACAGATGAGGAAACGGAGGCTCACGGAGGAAGGAATAACTCAGCCATGTGATGGCACCCGCCTCATTTCTGCTACAGCTCTCCTCCACTTTACGTCCCCTTCTGCGCTACAAATACAAAATCTGATTGAAATAGATCTCATGGCATTTTGCACAGAAAAATCATAAAGAGTGAAAATCACAAACTTCAAGGGTAGAAGGAACCTCACGATCATGTCGTTTAACTGAGCAATTTTACGGATGGGAATCCTGACTCCCAGTGAGGGGGTGAGGCCTGACTGAGACCATGCAGGAGCCCTGGACTCCCAGCCTTGCAGGCTTTCTAGAGGGTGGCAGAAAGGAGAGCACGTTTGATTTTGCCAGATGAGTTCTTGTCATTTTGTAAAAAGATCTCTTGGTTATTAAAGGCCCATAACTGGAATCCAAATGGCCCTGAAGGGTCAGTAAGATACATTAACCAGGGGGCTGTCCCGCCCAGTAATCCAAAAGGAAAGTAACAAGATCTGGAGCAGGGGAAAGACAGCAAGTAGAGAAAATAGAACAGGCAATGCCTTGAAAAATAATTCGGACAACCAGAAAAGAGAAGAGGGTGTGAGGAAAGGAAAGTGAGTCGATTCTAGAAACAGCCAAACAGAAAAGGTATCAAGGAAAGAAAGGAACAGAACCCTCCAAAGCCCCCTCAAAAACACAAGTTCAATTCTGATAAGGTACTCCCCTGAGTAAAGTTCCAGAACCAATTCTCCAGAAATGATTCGTGTGGTGTGAAAATAATTCAATCTCAAAAGACAATTAGCTCTTCTGACCTGGCCTAACCTACGAAGCTGCACATAATCTCTATTACTTCTCTGCTGCTCCAAATAGGGAAAGTTAATCAAGCAATTTTAATAATCCTGAGAACCGCCTGTGAATAAAGTATCAGAGTAACTACAATAAAGATAAGAAATTCATGCTAAGCAATGAGGTGAAATTGGAAAGTGGCTCTTTCCGGCTTGGGAAAGTTAAAGCGGGATCTTCCCAAAGCTCTTGGAACAGGGAGGGTTAAGCCCACACTCAGTATGCTTGAGTTGGAGGCAGGACCCGGGAAAAATTGATGTGGTCAGTGAGAAACTCACGTCCATCTTCGAAATAAGCAACAGCTGTTGTTTGATGCGCAGGAACACGGAATCGAAAGCCAGCTGGTGGGCCTGCTGGTTAAGCCGAGTCAGCGCTGCTCGAGGTGCAGCCAGCAGGTTGTGGTTGCTTGACCCTTTTTCCTAAGACAAGAAAATGCAAAAGGCAGTTGTTAGGCCTGAAACCCAACCCAAGTATTAGCTAGTTAACCATTTTGAAAACTCACAGGAGAACTGGGGGTTCTATGCAATAGTGGTTCCCAAACCTGGCTGTGCCCCAGGCCCCTCTGGAGAACATGCTGAATTACAGATTCCCAAGCTCCACCCCAGAACTACTGCATCAGAGTTCACTGGGGTTGGAGCCCAGAAATCTAGATTTTAAATTCACTTTCCCAGGTGATTCTGATGCACTTGGGCTAACATGAGCTCATGGACAAGCAGTTTAGGAAAAATTCACCTGTGACCATCCCTCAGGGATAGAGGAGGTGGGAAAGAGGGGGGAAACAAGATCAGAAGCTTCACATATAAATCAGAGTGATGGACAGAGCCCTAATTCCCGGGGAGGTCAGGTCAAATATACTTGGCTGAAAGCCAAAGTATGTACAACCTCCATGAGTCCCAAGGAATTCCAAATAGCCTGAGAAAATAGAGATGGAAAGTGTAACCTTAGTTTTGTTATTATAAATGAACTGATTACAACAGACATAAATCAGATTAGCAATAAAGATAAACAGAGTTGCTTTAACCTAATCACAGAAGCATGGATGAATGAGTTTCCAGAATTGCTTTACGAAGTGTTTGTCAAGCTCAATGCAACCAGTTGGTGGGTCAAGGTGCAAAGAGATGGGGAGGCCCTGGGAGAATAGCACTGAAGCCTCAGACATGTCCAGGCCCCCTGTGCAGTTCATTCCAGAGCTCTAGGCTGTGGATAATTTTCTACTGCATCTGGCCAGGTGCAGTGGCTCACGCCTGTAATCCCAGCACTTTGGGAGGCTGAGACAGGCAGATCACCTGAGGTCAGGAGTTCGAGGCCAGCCTGGCCAATATGGTGAAACCCTTTCTTTACTAAAAATACAAAAATTAGCCAGGTGTGGTGGCGCATGCCTATAATCCCAGCTATTCAGGAGGCTGAGGCAGAAGAAACGCTTGAAGCGGGGAGGCAGAGGTTGCAGTGATCCGAGATTGTGCCACTGCACTCCAGCCTAGGCGACAGAGTGAGACTCCATCTCAAAAGAAAAAATTTTCTACTGCATCTGGTGCTCCAGGAACAGCAATGTCTCCTCTGTCTATCACCAAGAGTGAAGTTAAAGCCAGACCAGTGAGGGAGGAGGACAGTTCTGCAAAGGATGCCCACGGTCTTCTTATGACCCTGGAAGCCATTCCCAAGGAATTGTGTGACTCATTCCATTTGTTAGGAAGTTCTCCTGTCCCTGGACCCCAAGGGGCTCAAAGTCAAGGGCAGCGTTATGGCAGGCAAACTAAGAGTTTAAAGAAAAAAACCAGGAGGGAACACCAATCCCCAAGTCCTCATGGTCCCATGTGGAAGAACTTGTACTTGGGTAGACTCCTGGTGACTCTGCAGCCTGGCTTCTCCCTTGGAAAAGAGTAATGACTTCTCTTGCTCCTCCTGGTATCCTGGGTTGGGATCCTCTATTACAGGTTCTGCCTGCCTGCAAGCAGTACACATCTGGTCCCCTCTCAGGAGGCTGACCCTGAACAGGGCCAGGGGCTGTCCAGCTCTGTCTGACCGGCTGACAAGTTTCATTCTGGAGTGAATTACAGCAAGTCCCCCTAGCCGCAGATCTAAACCCACATTCTCTTTTTTCCTTTTTTTTTTTTTTTTTGAGATGGAGTCTCGCTCTGTCACCCAGGCTGGAGTGTAGTGGCACAATATTAGCTCACTGTAACCGGTGCCTCCCTGGTTCAAGTGATTCTCCCACCTCTGCCTCCCAAGTAGCTGGGACTACAGGTGCGTGCCACCACACCTGGCTAATTTTTGTATTTTTAGTAGAGACCGGGTTTCACCATGTTGGCCAGACTGGTCTTAAACTCCTGACCTCAGGGGATCCACCCACCTCGGCCTCCCAAAGTGCTGGGATTACAGGTGTGAGCCACCACACCTGGCCTAAAGCCACATTCTCTAACCTGGCTTTTATCAGTAATAAAGATCCATCTCTTCTAACCTCTACATCTGTATCTCAATGGGTTTCAAGTTTAATATCTTAGCTCCTTAAAATCCCAACATAAATGAGACAGAGAGGTAGTAGCAGGGTACGTCACAGCCCAGGGCCACACACAGGGCCCGCCTGTAACCCAGAGAGGGAGAGGGTGAGTGATGAGAAGAAGCCTTTCATTTGCAAGAATGCCATTCATTTGGTCTCATACCTTAAGGGTATAAAGTATTTCCATTAAACTGGCATATTCAGCAGGGTTATCTTTCTGGAGGTAATTATATTCTTGCCATGGGTTCTTGGCAGAGTTCTTCTTGTCTGTCAAGATGCTCTCCTGAAAACCAGCCAGGCTCCGGGGGCTGCAGGAATCAGATAGATACTTCCCAGCTGTGGACAAAATCCTGTAATGAAAGGAATGACCATTATGCCCTGAGCTATTTGCATGGAACTTTCTTCTTGGAGCAGTCAGATTGCTCCTTACTAAATTCAAAGATAATCCTCATGAGACAGACTGAATTAAGGTCCAGTTTATAAGGCAACGAAAGGCTGCCCTTCATCATTGAGGAGTGAGCTGGACCTCAGGTGCACAATAAAAAAAACCCAGTGTTTTTATTCCTGCTGAACATTCACAGTGCCAGAACATGCTATCTCCCTAATATGACCGACAGCCTACATAGGGGCAGCTCTCAGTTTAGTCTGGAACACTGTGCACCTTCTATGGAGACTTTTCTTGCTATATGAGCATCAGGGTGTAGAACAGTCAAATGCCAGCATGGACCACCAGCACCACCATCAGAGAGACCGCTGGGCAGGATAGCAGCTGGCTGGCTCCTAGAGAACAGTGACAGCAGCTCGCTGCACGCCTCTTTACCCATGGGCCCACCTGTCCTACATGCCGAGCTTGCATGGTATTTGTGTTTGGTGGCACTGGGAGGTTTATTTTTGTGGTTTAGGTGCTACAGAGAGATCTATTGAGGCTGGCACTTTCCAAACTCTTTGAGAAAGACAAACGCCTAGAGGAGGTTTCATATGATAATCCACCCCTTGTACTGCTGGGGAAGTGGAATCTTGACCTCCACCCTGTTTTCCTTAGCCCAACTTTACCACCCATCCTACCCATCTAAATATGTACAGAATTACATGAACATGTGTAACACATTATGACACATCCCAAATGTGGCTAATTCCCTGCCTTCTCTTTTACTGTAATTTCTTATGAAAACATTGCTTTGGACATAGCAGTTTTTAGGATGCACTCACTATTTCAAAAACAGATCCTTGAGTTGTTCAAGAAATGCCTGTACTTGCAAATAAATCCCTGTGATACGATCTTCCTCAGAAGCCACTGCTGACATAAGCAGCTACCTGCCTCTGCCATTAAGTTCAAGTTCGTTCTTCCTGTTGCTTGAGCCAACCAGTAACTTTGGTTGGGTCTCTTATCTGTCAAACTGTGGCCTGTCTCTGCCATTGCCTTACTTCCAGTCTTCACTAGTTCTTGTCTGGATCACAGCAGGCTTCCAACTAACTGGCTTCCCCTTCCTCTAGTCCTCGAAGTTCTACTTAATCTGTCCTCCTAAGGGTTAGCAGAATGATCTTCCCAGAAGGCAAATCTGATTTTGGCTTTTTCCCAAAGATAGTGCTTCACAGGGGCATTAGAAAGGCTTGGTAGAGGAGAGGCCTTAAGGACCCCAGGAGGTTTCAGCCCTCTGCGCCATCAGCCAATGGCAGAGCTCCCAAAGGGCTCTTGCTTCTGTTCTGCATTTAACACATGCTGTCTCATTTCCCTCCAACTGGACGGTGAGGACAAAACACGGACTGTTCTTCATTTGTGAATTACTAGCACTAGCACAGTGCCTGGTACGTGGCAGGGGCTCCACAACTGTTGAAGGATGGGTGACCCTGGCTTTAGTGACCAGGTCTTCGGGGGACAGTTCAATGAGACAGTCAGGTTCTGGAAATCTAGCATAAATTTACAAGTTCCCATGGCTGAGAAGTGGGCAATAACTTGTCACAGTTGAGGGAACCAATGGAATTGTAATCCTCCCTCCTCTGTGCACACTGCGTTCTCTTGGCACAGCAATGAGCATACTGGCACATGCTGGATGCTCCCATTAATTTCTAAGCTCTTTGAGGGCGAGGATTGAGTTTAATTAACTGATATCCCCAAGACCTAGCTCAGAGCCCAGGAAAGCTGTGGCACAGTGGGAAGGGAGGTAGGGGTGAGTAAAGTGGGAGACAGAGGTGAGTGGGGCGAGAGATAGGGGCGAGTGGGGCGGGAGGCAGGGGGCGAGTGTGGCGGGAGGCAGGGGGCGAGTGTGGCGGGAGGCAGGGGGCGAGTGTGGCGGGAGGCAGGGGGCGAGTGTGGCGGGAGGCAGGGGGCGAGTGTGGCGGGAGGCAGGGGGCGAGTGGGGCGGGAGGCAGGGGGCGAGTGGGGCGGGAGGTAGGGGGCGAGTGGGGCGGGAGGTAGGGGCGAGTGGGGCGGGAGGTAGGGGACGAGTGGGGCGGGAGGTAGGGGACGAGTGGGGCGGGAGGTAGGGGTGAGTGGGGCGGGAGGCAGGGGGTGAGCAGGGCAGAAGGGAGAGGCGAGTGGCGGGGGGAGGTGGGGCAGGAGGTAGGGGCGAGTTGCTAAGGAAGGTCTGTGCTCTTTGTTGGCAGTTTCTTCTCACGATTCTTTGTTTCCCGTCATTTCTGAGACCACCAACTGTCTTTAGTCCAAGATTTTTTGTGATGGTTCTCATTATGGGGAAAGGCTCACAGCAGGATAGAGTGGGAGCAGCTGCTGCTGTTCCTAACTCACTCCTGAATGCCCAGCACAGAAATTGCGTGACTTTCGGGAGTGAATAAAACCAAAGTGCCACAGGCATACAGTAGAGTGTGTGTAAATAATATAAATGAAGTAAATGGTAATTCCTAGGACACAGATTTTCCTTAATCTCTTAATGAAATCAAGTATTACATTCTGAAGGGTAAGGAGAGACTGGTTAGGAGCACGAATGGGGACACAATAGATAAAAGATGGGCCTCTCTGGGCTGCATTTTGCAGCCCAGAGAGGCTGAAAGCCTGGCTGAGCTTCAAGTCAAGAACAGCCTGGGTGTATCCAAGGGAGCTCCTGAAAGAGATGATGTCATCCTGGAAGCACTAAGCCTGGAAAGGGACAGTCACCATCTGTGTTCCTGGCTGGAAGGCTGCACAGTGTGCATGCGTGTGTGTGTGTGTGTGTGTGTGTGCGTGCATGTGTGTGTGTGTGTGTGTGTATGTGGCAGGCACCTGTAAAGCTTATCTTATCTCCCCATCAATCTCACCAGCAGCACCTAGACTCCTACCAAGGACCACTCCCCACCAACAGGCGGGTGGCAGAGGCAACAGGTCAGAACGCGCTGGGCCGCTCCAGTGACAAGATTGACATTGGCCACCCAGCTCTTATGATCACTTCTCTGCAGAAAGGGATCATTTTGTGATTTACGGGCTGAGTAAAGCAAGGCCGAGTTGAAATCTCATCTGAGAGATTTCTCTCATCCTGGGCAGCTTGGGCCAGATATAGGGAGATTGCTGTGGCTCCTCTGTATTTTCCTAGCACCCATTACTTACTTTTGGAACAGTGGTGCTTTCATTTCACTTTGTACCACCACTAAAAATTTCATCACCCAGAGATTACTTTAGGGCAATAAAGAATCACCTAAGAAGGAGGTTAAGGGATTGCTGCTGGTCCCTCAAACAACTGTATGAAACAGACTTCTTCCCCTTAACTCCTAAGGAATAAAGGCATCAGCCATACCAAGGGAATCAAGAGATTTCATTTAAAGGGATAAAGAAAGAAATGTGGGAAGCCAGAGCCCCTTGAAGGGAAAAACTGTCTGAGGAAGGCCACCTCAGGGCAACATAAAAGCCCTGGCAGGTATGAGAAGAGAGGAAGGGAGTAGGACAAGCTTTTCCAGGGCAGACCCCAGAGATTCCCCTTTGATACACAGCCCTTCAGCAGCACGGAATTTGACTGCAGGACCCAGAAGGCAGGCTGCCTAAGTTCACCCCGATCCTGAAGGCTGGCCCAAGGGACTTCACCACCACTTGTCACACCGTTTCTATATGGAAATTTATTTTTAGTCCCAACAACTAATTTATAAACAAGCAGTCGGAACCAAGCCCATTCCTAATTTGGAGACAAGATGCACTGTTTCCTCATTTAGGCTGAAACCACCATATCAAACCAAAATTACGTGACCCCTGCCAAGTAGGACAAAGCCTTGCCCTTTTTAGGTGCTCAATAAACGTTTAATGATGACAATAATGACACGCTGTATCTAGGTACAGACAGTCCTCCAGCCCTGTGGCCTTCACATCTGGCATATGCTGTCCTTGCTGTACTGTGTACTAGACCAAGCTCGTGCTGATCAGGAACCCCAGGGTGTAGAGGACAATGACTCCTCTCTCCTACCTGTTGGCTAGCTGCTGCTCGAAGTCCCCACAATGCCGCAAAAGCTCTCCACAGGTGGCTATTATCCTAAACAAAACAAAAAGCACTTCAAGTTCAAGTATCTGGAATGCCAGCCTTTACAGGACAAACATTGTCTTATTCATAAAAATCCTAACTATTTGCTCCTTTGGGTAGTTCTGGTTCTGGGAAAGCCGTTAAACATCTGCTGGCCTGAAATGTTTCATTCATTAGTCATTAATGTAAAAAGAAAATGCTGGTCCCTTCCAATAACCTCCATTGTCACTGGCATCTCTGCTACGAAAGCACAATTCTATCCATGGCCCCCTCAAATAATTTTACATTTCCAAAATACTCAGCTTTGTCCTTGAGAAAAACAGGGTAGAGATATTTTATATCTAAAATTTATTATTTATTTATTTATTTATTTTTGCAACTAAGTCTCGCTCTGTCACCCAGGCTGGAGTGCAATGGCGTCATCTTGGCTCACTGCAACCTCTGCCTCCCAGGTTCAAGTGACTCTCCTGCCTCAGCCTCCCAAGTAGCTGGGATTACAGGCGCACGCCACCACGCCTGGCTAATTTTTGTTATTTTTAGTAGAGACGGGGTTTCACTATATTGGCCAGGCTGGTCTCAAACTCCCGACCTTAAGTGATCCGCCTGCCTTGGCCTCCCAAAATGCTGGGATTATAGGAGTGAGCCACCACATCCTGCCTGTATCTAAAATTAAAAACAAAAAAAATGTATCACTTAATATTTGCTAGATGCCTGCTAGTTTCCAGACACAGAAAATGTTTTGGTACTAGAAGTATCTTTCCCTGATCATATGAAAGGCAGATGAAGATTAATCCATTTGTTTCTCAGAGATAAGCCCAAATGACCATCATATCCGTATTGAATGATCCTTTAATTTTCAAGTAATTTTATGCCAAGCCTCAAACTCCCAGCTGCTGGGTCCTTCAACACCAAACTCATAATGTCAGGACAAATCCAAGGATTAAAAACATCTTAAGTCTAGTTAACTTTTAACCTTCTCTAAAAGTGCGCATCATCACCAGGCTATCTAGGCATTCCATCATAAGAAAAGTTTATGAGAAGGTAAAATATTCCACTTCCCTTACGTGCAACAGAACAAACTTGTGCATAATATTTTCCAGAATACCAAACCACCACGGGTGATAAGGGATACAGTTAGCATCTAGAACATTACATTTTTTTTAAATTTTATTTTAAGTTCCGGGATACATGTGTAGGACGTGCAGGTTTGTTAATAGGTAAACGTGTGTCATCGTGGTTTGCTGCACCTATCAACCCATAGAACATTAAATTTCATCAAAACAATCCAGAACAGAGCCTGTGAGGTGAGGTAATAATCTAAAATGGTCCTGAGTGGTCCTGGATCTACCCAACGGCCTTGGGTGGGTCTGGGTCTGCTCTGGCATGGGCCACCGCATTAAGAACCACATGTGTCACGGGCAAGGGTCAGGTAAGACATGAAAGTGGGTGAAGTGCGCCAAGTGAACGGCCATTTCTCTCTTGGGAAAATATATCCAGGAAGAATGGTTTTAAGAAAAAGAAACTTCCAGATTGCTTTTTTTTTTTTTTTTGAGATGAGGTCTTGCTCTGTCACCCAGGCTGGAGTGCAATGGTGCAGTCTTGGCTCACTGCAACCTCCACCTCCCAGGTTCAAGCAATTCTCCTGCCTCAGCCTCCCAAGTAGCTGGGATTACAGGCACGTGCCACCATGCCCAGCTAATTGTTGTATTTTTAGTAGAGACAGGGTTTCACCATGTTGGCCAGGCTGGTCTTGAACTCCTGACCTCAGATGATCCACCTACCTCGACCTCCCAAAGTGCTGGGATTACAGGTGTGAGCCACTGTGCCCAGCCTGCTTTTCATCTGTTGTATGGTGCTTCTCTTCTCTGCCAAGTGGTCTGAGAGCCTAATCGTATCACTATTAGCCCACTTGGGAGAGGAGAGAAGCACTGCACAACAGGGAACCCGTGCCCAGTTTCTCAGGGACCCCTGCTGCCAGCCCCAGTGGCTATGACAATGCAGGCCCAGTGTTGCCTGAGCATCTCATTTTTTAGGTGACATTAGAAATCCGGATCATGTTAAATCTAGTTTTTAAATATTGGCAACAAATCCACTTGTTAAAAACTGCAATGATCAAACATGTCCATAGGTCAAATCTGGCCATAGGCCAACAGTCCATGCTCTCCAGCTGGACATGTCAAGGACCAAATCTTCTCAGGCAACTGCTGATCGAACCTCCATCAAGCCTCAGGGACTGGGGCAAAATAGGGTGTCTACCTAGTGGCCCACAGGCCACACAGGCTATTCCAGAATCTGGCCCTCAACAACGACTTGAGAAGGTCACCTCAATTCCTTTCACTGAACCTTTTTTGTTTTGAGACAGGGTTTTGCCCTGTCACCCAGGCTGGAGTGCAGCAGCAGGATCTCGGCTCACTTCAACCTCCACCTCCCAGGTTCAAGCAATTCCCCTGCCTCAGCCTCCTGGGTAGCTGGGATTACAGGCATACACCACCACACCCAGCTAATTTTTGTATTTTTAGTAGAGACGGGGTTTCACCATGTTGGCCAGGTTGGTCTTGAACTACTGACCTCAAGTGATCTGCCCGCCTCAGCCTCCCAAAGTGCTGGGATGAAAAGCATGAGCCACCAAGCCCAGCCCTTTCACTGAACTCTTAAATGGCCCTTTCCAGGCCAAATAGCGTTGCCTGGAACCATTTAGTACCATGTACCATGGTTCTCAGATCCAGAAACAGGATCCGATCACCTATGCATTTTCTAATACATAAGCCCTAAGTTATTTTAGGTCTATAAAAACTATACGCTAAGGTGGGGGTAAAAAATCTCACATCAAATATAAAAAATTTAAGTCATTAAAGGAGATGAGGCATTTGTAAAGAACTTTTAAAAATATCTTAAGAGCTGGAGGGGTCTTTTTGTTGGTTGGTTTGGGTTGGGTTTTATTGGTTTGTGTTTAGAGTCTGGAGTATTTGCTTTTTAAAAAGGCAGTGAAAGAAAAAAAACGAACCCCTTCCAAACACATTTGTCATTTTTATATACTATATCATGCATGTTTATGCTGGCTACATTAGGAACAAGCTTGAATTACAACCCCCGGTTTACCTAATGGAGTTCTGAAAAGCCGTCCAATCTTCCTGGAAGAGGGAGTTGGGAGGAATGTGGTCCAGTTTGCACTTCTTTCGTATGGACTGGAGAGTGCTGGTGAAATCAGACACATACCTGCCGGGAAAGGGAAGAAAATGGTAGGGAGGTCACCACTGATTCCCCAACTCTAAAGAGACCTGGAATTCTACAGCTCTGGACAAATTGCTAATGGCCTTGAGAGCATCTTTAGAGGCTCCCACCGACGAGTGAAACTGCTTGTAAACCTCTGAACACAAAAAGTTCTTCTCTATGTGGCAAGACTGTCTTCACCACCTGGTTGAGCAGTTTCTAAAAGAGATGCCCAAGAGGAGAAGGAAGGAATAATCGTGAAGTTGACTCCAGGGAGCAACCAGGTGAGAGATGATGCTGATAAATCCCCCCTCATCCAGATAAGTACATTTCTGTGAAAGCAGGTTTGAAGAACTGTTTAAACATCACGGTCCCATGGTAATAACTGACTGTGACCTGGGATAACGTAAGGAAGGTCATGACATCCAAGGTACCTCTGCATCATTCTCATCCTCTAAATTTAGATTAAATACCCGTGGCAAAAAGATTAAAGTTTCACGGCTGGCAAGTGTCTGACTTTAATGGGACAGACGCATGAAAGTGGATTCAAAGCCAGGAGATCCTCCCTCACAGGCTGCGTTGTTTGCTCTCACTGTACACACATACTTTTCCCTCACAGCATCTAAAACACTGTAATTAAACAGCTTGTTTAGACAGGGCATGGTGGCTCACACCTGTAATCCCAGCACCTTGGGAGGCTGAGGAAGGAGGATCACTTGAGCTCAAGGAGTTCGAGACCTGCCTGGGCAACAGAGTGAGATCCCATCTCTAAAAAAAACAAAAAAATTAGGCGGGTGTGGTAGCTCATGCCTGTAATCACAGCACTTTGGGAGGCCGAGGTAAGAGGACCACTTGTGCATGGAAGTTCAAGACCACACTGGGTGACATGGCAAAACTTTGTCTCTACAAAGAATACAAAAATTAGCCTGGCGTGGTGGCGCATGCCTGTAGTCCCAGCTACTCAGGAGGCTGGGGTGGAAAGATGGCTTGAGCCTAGGAGGTCAAGGCTGCAGTGGGCCATGAGCACGCCACTGCACTCCAGCCTGGGTGGCAGAGCAAGACCCTGTCTCCAGATAAAGAAATAGCTTGTATGATGCTTATTGCTGCTGCTAGACTTTAAGCTCTGGGAGAACAGAGTCTGTGCCTCATACTTATATCCCCAGGAACTAGCACAGAGCTGGACATAAAGGAGGGAGTCATGTCCTCTGAAAGCTACGAAACCTGTGCCTCATACTTATATCCCCAGGAACTAGCACAGAGCTGGACATAAAGGAGGGAGTCATGTCCTCTGAAAGCTACGAAACCTGTGACATTTGCATGCATCACAAGAGGCCTTGCCGCTTGCCCCTCCCAAAACGAAGCTCTAAATGAGGAAAGTGAAATGTGAGGACCCAGGGCACAGCCCCAAAAGGTCAGTCCATGCAGTGGAGACACAGGCCACTCAATGAACCAACTGGAAGAAACGGCTTCAGGTCACTCCACTGACTGCAAATGATCCTGCTGCTCCCTTTACAGAGAGCTCGATGCTTTCAGGTGGAAAGCTGCAAAACCCAGAGTACCACTGACAACACCTTCCCCTTGCACCAAGAGAGGTGACAGCTTTCTAGGGTTATAAGTCCCAGGAAGGAGAGGGGCTGGCCTCAAGCACAAACTGACAGGGGAATGTTAAGGAACATGATTGTGCTTTAGCCATGGGAAGTTAAACAACCATGTCACCACCTCTGCAACTATGGCAAATATCCATGTGCTCTGCAGAAAGAGCAGGTACACACTGCAGGAGAAGGAGTTTTGTTTAGCCACTATTCTCAGGTATGGTTATAAGCAAATGCTTTCTCTATTTCATTAGCTGTCAATCCAGAATTCTAAATGGTTTGTCATGAAATCTCAGAGGAAAAGTGTAGCTTTCATCACATCATTTTTGTTCCCAAACCCTCCAGCTGTTTCTCACAATACACATTTCCAATTGTCAACCATGTCAGAGTCACCGTGTTAGGGGCTTTAATGATATGCTTTTGGTTAATATTCACAACCTCCTTGGAAAGGAGATATTGTCATCATCAGTTTACTCAGAGAGGAACACTACCATCTCTAAGGTCCCCACTAGTAAGTGTCCAGAGCTCCCATGCCCATCACAGTCTTAATACCCCTCCTTCTTGAACCACCGGTTGGCCACTATACTCTATGCTTCATCCTAGTTCGAGTTAGGCCAACCTGCACCTGCCTTTCCTGCGTACCCTGTTCTCCTTGCCCCTGCCTCCCTTAATACCCTTCCCCAAACCCTCCTCACTACTGAACAATGTGCCATTTGAACCCTGCTCAAGTTAGCTTCAACCTGATTTCCCTGATTTTATAAGCATCAGCTATTTTGGTAACTTCAAAATCTTCCCTTTTAGAGAAGATGGCCTGGGTTTTCCAGATATACTTTTGTACAGTTTGAATGCTTAATATGGAAATGTATTATTTTGATTTTTTTTTATTTTTTATTTTTTGAGACAGAGTTTTGTTCTTGTTGCACAGGCTGGAGTGCCATGGCACAGTCTTGGCTCACTGCAAGCTCTGCCTCTTGGATTCAGCAATTTTTATGTCTCAGCCTCCTGAGCAGCTGGGATTACAGGCATCCACCATCATGCCTACCTGATTTTTGCATTTTTAGTAGAGATGAGCTTCGCCACGTTGACCAGGGTGGTTTCGAACTCCTGACCTCAAGTGATCCACCTGCCTCAGCCACCCAAAGTGCTGGGATTACAAGCGTGAGCCACCACACCCAGCCTGATGTTTCTTTTTCTGCAGGAACACATTCAGGCTCATCCGGCCACACCAGATGATGTGTTCCTATAGAAATGCCTACGTGGAACTGCCCTGGGAGGTGCTGGATGCCCGATGGCAATGCCAGGGAGCTCTGGGTCCAAGGAGCCTCCACAGTTCACAGAGGCATGCTCAGTATTTCTGGAACAATCAGAGACAGGGCTTCACCATGTTGGCCAAGCTGGTCTCGAACTCCTGAGTTTAAGCAATCCACCTGTCTTGGCCTCCCAAAGTACTGGGATTACAGGCGTGATTCACCGCACCAGGCCAAAGGTCCTTTTTCTTGTTCAAATAAACTTTGTTAAATTTAACTTGTCTAAGGTTTCTTTTTTTTTCTTAACATACTTTAACTGCTGCACAAGTTTCCCTCATATGAATATGTCACATCTTAAGTAACCTTCCCTAATGGGTAGACATTTACGTTGTTTCAAATGTTCCACCATTACAAACAATGCCACTATGAATATCCTTAACAACATCCTCTTGGGTTCAGGTGCAAGTGTTTCCCAGGGTTCAGAGAACAAATACAGAACACGTGCATTTTTATCTGGGACAGACACTGCTCCAATGTGGCCCGTCTGGTCCCCAGTTCCCCAGCCTTACTTGGCAAAGAGGGATTTCAGGGCTGACAACAGGCCGCAGGTCCCCAGGCCATTGGTGAATCTGACGCATCTGTCAACGGCTGCAGACGCCAGACCAAACAGCTTGTTCACGGAGTGGCTCAGCTCCTGCACACAGTCAATCACTTCCCCATGCTCCTGGTCAGCAAATACAGACAAAGCTGCATTAGGCTTTAGAACAGACAATGCTGAGATAGGGGAAGACCTCCAAGCCTTCTCATCTGTAGTAAAATCACTTAATAACGATGTCAGAAATATAGTCCCAACGTTTGAATGCTTCTCTAGAGCCTGAATCAAGGGAGAACAGTCTAAGTCATCAGTGGGATCATGGAAATTCACTCCTGGCAGAAAAGCATGATCGAATGTCTGTCTACTTGATCCTAATGTTTTTCATTGCTTTCCTCTTTTTCTGTGATTATTAAGATGGCATCTCTTCCTCTGGCTCTCGAGCTACGATTCAAATTCTCCTTATCAGACGCTCCAAAGAATGTAGCAAAAGGGGGCTGGGTGCAGTGGCTCAAGCCTGTAATCCCAGTACTTTGGATGGCAGACGTGGGCAGATTGCTCCAGCCCAGGAGTTTGAGACCAGCCTGGTCAACATGGCGAAACCCCATCTCTACAAAAAATTAGCCTGGCATGGTGACATGCACCTGTAGTCCCAACTACTGGGAAGCTGAGGTGGGAGGATCGCTTGAGCCTGGGAGATCAAGGTTGAAGTGAGCTGTGATTGTGCCACTGCACTCCAACCTGGGCACCATTGGACTTCAACCTGTATGACAGAGCAAGACCCTCTCAAAAAAATAAAAATAAAAAATAAGGCAAAAGGAAAATGCTTCCTTCCTTCAGGTGCAAGTATGGCACTGAAGTGCAATAGACTTTCTAGGTATATCCCTAGAAAACAAGAAAATGGTAAGAGGCAGTAGATTTGAACTACTATAAGATCAATTCTGAAATATCAATGTACCTCATGCTAGACAACCTTATGACTTGAAAACAAAATAATATTTGAAATGGAAATGGCCTCAGTTCCACCCCTGGTGCCCACATAGCATAGTGAACCTGCCCCTGCAGCATTGCCCATGAGTGCTAAGATCCTGTGCCCATTTGCATGTCTTCCTTAAACAAAAGACCGCCTTAGTAAGAAATTAGTAAACCAGGGAGATAATCAACTTATCCCCCAAAAGATTTAAGCCTCTCATTTTGTTTAACCTTCATTGGGGATTTTAAATAGAAAACTAGGGCCCGGCAGGGTGGCACATGCCTGTAATTCCAGTACTTTGGAAGCCCAAGGTGGGTGGGTTGCTTGAGCCCAGGAGTTTGAGACCAGCCTGGGCAACATGGCAAAACTGTCTCTACAAAAAATACACAAAAATGAGCCAGGCATGGTGGTGCATGCCTGGAGTCCCAGCTACTCAGGAGGCTGAGGCAGGAGGATCACTTGAGCCCAGGAGATCAAGGCTGCAGTGAGTTGTAATCAATCGCACCACTACACTCCAGCCTGGGCGACAGATGGAGACTCTGTCTCAATCCATCAATCAATAGAAAATTGGTAGCAAATATATGGTCTCATTTTACATTGGGATTACAAGAGCCCACAAGTGCTTAAAGGTCATATTTCAGCACCCCGGATCCCAACCCCCAGCCCTCTCCCAGACGTGGCCAAGACCCTGGCTAACAGAATGCTTCCTCAGTGGCCCCAGGACACTGCGACTTTACCAGAGGCACAGCACTCATCTGGATGAGGAGGTTGCTCTCTTCCATGTCGCCATACTTCAGCTGGTAGGGTTTGTATGGATCATACACAGCATCCACCAGCTCCGTGACTTTTACCAGATTGTGTTCATCTTTAGGGAATCAGAAATGTAAAACGATAATGAACAAAGAATCTGAAATTAACTGTGGGAAAGCAACAATCAAGAGGCGCTCTACTAGAACTTTCCCCATTTGATCTCCAGAGGGGACTATATTTTGTTAAGCAGCTTTTATCATTCATGGAAGCTTCTCCTACAATCAGTTCAGCAAATATCTGGATAAATTTGGGCTTTGCACATTGTTTGCCTAAAGCACTATTAAAGACACCAGCCCCCTGAATCCCATGACCCACCACAAATAAGAATCCCTTCAAAAGATAACCCTCATTGGCCGGGCGTGGTGGCTCACGCCTGTAATCCCAACACTTTGGGAGGCCGAGGCGGGCGGATCAACTGAGGTCAGAAGTTTGAGACCAGCTTGACCAACATGGAGAAACCGAAACCTTGTCTCTACTAAAAATACAAAATTAGCTGGGCATGGTGGCACATGCCTGTAATCCCAGCTACTCGGGAGGCTGAGGCAGGAGAATCACTTGAACCTGGGAGGTGGAGGTTGTGGTGAGCTGAGATCACACCATTGCATTCCAGCCTGGGCAACAAGAGCGAGACTCCATCTCAAAAAAAAAAAAAAAGATAACCCTCATCAAGGTCAGGTTCAAGAATTGCCACAGAGGCTGGGCTCGGTGGCTCACACTTGTAATCCCAGCACTTTGGGAAGCGGAGGTGGGCGTATCACCTGAGGTCAGGAGTTTGAGACCAGCCTACCCATTATGGTGAAACCCGATCTCTACTAAAAATACAAAAATTAGCCGGGCGTAGTGGCGGGCACCTGTAATTCCTGCTACTCGGGAGGCTGAGGCAGGAGAATTGCTTGAACCCAGGAGGTGGAGGTTGTAATGAGCCAAGATCATGCCACTGCACTCCAGCCTGGGTGACAGAGTAAGACTTCATCTCAAAAAAAAAAAAAAAAAAAGAACTGCCACAGAGAAAAGGCAATACAGGAAGAACAATTCCCATGCCACATGTTCCTAGGACTTCCTAGAAACAGAATACCCCCACTGGCAGGTCGTGGTGGCTCACACGTGTAATCCCAGCACTTTGGGAGGCCGAGGTGAGCGGATTTCTTGAGGTTAGGAGTTTGAGACCAGCCCTGGCCAATACTGTGAAACCCCATCTCTACTAAAAATACAAAAAAAATTTAGCTGGGCATGGTAGCATGCATCTGTGGTCCCAGCTACCTGGGAGGCTGAGGCAAGAGAATTCCTTGAACCCGGGAAGCTGAGATTACACCACTGCACTCCAGCCTGGGTGACAGAGCGAGAGTCCGTCTCAAAACAAAAACAAAAAACAAAAGGATACCCCATAGCCCAGGCATTCCAAAAATTCCTACGTTCAACCACATAAAAATGTAAAACACGCTGTATCAGAATGTAAATGTGCATATTCTACAACACAGTAATTCAATTCCTGAAAATCATCTCAAAGAAATCAACAAATACACAGAGACAGAAGGATGTTCATGGAAACATGGCTCAGAATCAGAAAGCTTTGGACACAGTCTCAACAGGGGATTAGTAAATGTAATAGCCTACTTACTGGTATCCTCACATCCTTCTGGTCCCCTCCTTCAGCTAGTTTTATTATTACTTCTACAGCCTCATCCTCCTTCCCTCTTCCTCTAGCTCCCAGCCTTCTCTCAGTTCCTAAAAGCTTCCTTCTGTTCACATGCTGATCCTCTGTCTGGAAGGACCGGCTTCGTCCCTTCCCCTCTTTATCTAGTTAACTCCTACTTCTCCTTCAATACTCACTCAGCTAAAGTCTGCTGCTCTTGATTTCTGGCACCAATTTTACAAGGTTTTGTAGAGATTAGGTAAAGTAATGTGGGTCTAACATGGTAATAATCAAATCTGCACATGTATAGAATCCAAAGTGTTATTTCTTTTTTCTTCTTCTTTTCTTTTTTCTTCGAGACAGGATCTCACTCAGTTCCCCAGACTAAGGTGCAGTGGTCCAACCACAGGTCACCATTGCCTTGGCCTCCCAGGCTCAAGAGATCTCCCCACCCCAGCCTCCTGAGTAGCTAGTACTACAGGTGTATGCTACTATACCTGGCTAATTTTTTTTTTTTTTTTTTTTTTTTGTAGAGATGGGGTATATGTTTCCAGAGCTGATCTTGAACTCCTAGAATCAAATGACTCCCTCACCTTGGCCTCCCAAAGTGCTGAGATTACAGGTGCGAGCCCCCATGCCTGGCCCAAAATGCTGTTTCTGAATGGTGAGTTGAGAATGATTTCTTTTTCCTTCCTTGTTTTTTCCTAGATTTTTCTATAATGATAAAGTCAACCTAAATTTTTAAAAATTTACTTTATATTGCATAATCTTTTATATTTTGAATTGTATTAGGTACATGTATTAACTATTAAAATAATAGAAAAAATGTTAAGGGTAAAATTAAAAGTTAGGCAATATATTTACAACATATTTGATAAGCAATGGTAAAAATTCCTCACTATATAAGGATCTTTCAGGAATATGCACCAAATTTGTAACAGTGGTTAAAGTGGGATTATAGGAGAGTTATTTTGTGTCACAGATTTCTATATCATTAATTCTTATAATACATATTTTGTTGCTTTTTATAATATATTTAATAATATATTATTTTAAATAAATTGCTCTTATAAATTAACCAGAAATAGGTTAAACTCCCAAACAGAATAACAGGCTAAAGAATAAGCAATTCAAAAGAGAAAAGATACTTTTTATCATGTAACTTTCAAACTTGCTAATAACCAAAGTGAAAAACTAAAATGGCATATCAGTAATTGTCTAAGAACCTGGCAATGACAGGAGAAAAAAAGAATCTAGTGCTGGTGAGGGGATGGCAACACAGGCACCTTCGTTCACTACTGATAGATACAAAAACAGGTCTAAAGAACAAAATGTGTCAGGAGGCTGAGGAAGGAGAATGGCATGAACCCAGGAGGTGGAGGCTTCAGTGAGCCGAAATTGTGCCACTGCACTCCCGCCTGGGCAACAGAGTGAGACTCCATCTCAAAAAAAAAAAAAAAAAAAAGAACAAAATGTGACAAGTATCTTCAAAGTTTTCATTTCTGAGCAACTGCAAATTTAAACTTATCCTAAGGAATAATCGGAGCTAGGCTCAAAAACTAATGTATAAAACAGTTCATTATAGTTTTATATATCATAGTGATTAAAAATGGTAGTAAATTGGCCAGGTGTGGTAGCTCACACCTGTAATCCCAGCACTTTGAGAGGCCAAGGCAGGAGAATCACTTGAGCCTAGGAGTTTGAGATCAGCCTGAGCAAAATAGGAAGACCCTGTCTCTACAAAAAATTTTTAAAAATGAGTCAGCCTTGGTGGCATGTGCCCGTGGTCTCAACTACTCAGGAGACTGAGTTCAGAGAATCACTTGAGCCCAGAAGGTTCAAGGCTACAGTAAGCTGTGATAGTGTCACTGCACTCTAACCTGGGCGACAGAGCAAGACCCTGTCTCAAAAAAACAAAAAAAAAATAAAGACAACAAAACTATGTCTTAGGAAAACATTTAATGACATAAGAAAATGCCCATTATATTATTTTGAGCATTTCAAAAAATGAAAATATAAGACTGTCTACAACCAATATTTTAAGATATTTTGTATATATTATATAACATATATTATTACATGTAAATATATAAAAGTATTTAATATATTTAATATGTTATGTATTTATTACATAATATTTATATGGTAGATATTAAGTATATTAATATTTGTGAACAATGTATATTTATATTTGTATTACTGGAAGCAAATAATGTTGTTGGTGGCTCTGACTGATGAGTTTATGGATTGTTCTTGCTCTCTTTTTATTTTTGTGTGTGTTTCCAAAAAATTTTTAAGTTAAAAGAAAAACTAAAACTCTTTTGGAAAACCTCAGGGAGAATCATTAGTAATCTAGGTCAGGTGTGGTGGCTTACACCTGTAATCTCAGTACTTTGGGAGGCCAAGATGGGTGGATTGCTTGAGGCAAGGAGTTTGAGACCAGCCTGGCCAACATGGTGAAACCTCGTCTCTACTAAAAATACAAAAAAATTAGCCAGGTGTGGTAGTGTGTGCCTGTAATCCCAACTACTCAGAAGGCTGAGGCAGGAGAATTGCTTGAACCTGGGAGGCAGAGGTTGCAGTGAGCCAAGATCACGCCACTGCACTCCAGCCTGGGCAACAAAGCAAGTCTCTGTCTCAAAAAAAAAAAAAAAAAAAATGAAATCTAAAGTCCCAGCCAGGCATGGTGGCTCACACCTGCTGTAATCCCAGCACTTCAGGAGGCTGAGGCGGGTCGATCACCTGAGGTCATGAGTTCGAGACCAGCCTGGCCAACATGGCGAAACCCCATCTCTACTAAAAAATACAAAAATTAGCCTGGTGTGGTGGCACACACCTGTAGTCCCAACTATTCAGGAGGCTGAGGCAGGAGAATTGTTTGAACCCAGGAGGTGGAGGTTACAGTGAGCCAAGATCACACCGCTGCACTCCAGCCTGGGCGAGAGTGAGACTCGTCCCATGGCTGACTAGCAAAGCACTTCCAGATCTGTCTCAAGGGTGGTTCTCTTCCCCACTACATCCATCCCCAGGGGAAGGATGCAGCCATTCCTTGCTCCACCTTCGTCCCACTGTGCTGCAGCAACTCGCCTTAGCCCAGCTCTCTCAACTCTCCTTAGCCACTTCCACAAAGGCATCACGGTCCCTTGGAAGCTTCCCCATCCACTGGGCCTTTCCCATAACTAAGGCCTGACCTGTGAGCATGCCAAAAACACCGATGAGTCATCAGGAATCCGAACAATAAACACACTCCCTGGAACGTACAAGGCAATTATACACAGATGTAATTAAAGAGAAGAACTATTAAATAAACCAAGTCAGTGACACACAGCCGCCGAACAGCAGAACAAGGCCTTCCTGAAGCAATTTCCTGATTTGACAGCAACATGCGTCACGGGGTCTGTGTTCTTTAAAAATTTATAAAGCTTTTAACATAGACGGGAAAGAGCTTGGAGAGCATCACACACCAGGCACTGTTTACCCAAATGGGAGTAAGGGGTGCTCTGCTCTCAGTCGGCCACCGGGGAAAGCCCATTTTCTCTACAACCACCTGTAGTCCTAACACAGCTCCCCTGCCCTGGGACACTTGCTGTTGCTCCTTCAAAAAGCCCCTGTAGGCTGGGCACAGTGGCTCATGCCTGTAATCCCAGCACTTTGGGAGGCCGAGGCGGGCAGATCACCTGAGGTCAGGAGTTCGAGACCAGCCTCAACATGGAGAAACCCAATCTCTACTAAAAATACAAAATTAGCCAGGCGTGGTGCTGCATGCCTGTAATTCCAGCTACTTGGGAGGCTGAGGCAGGAGAATTGCTTGAACCTAGGAGGTGGAGGTTGTGGTGAGCCAAGATCGTACCATTGCACTCCAGCCTGGGCAACAAGAGCGAAACTCCATCTCAAAAAAAAAAAAAAAAAAAAAGCCCTTGTAGCCTGTTTGTTCTCTAAAACTGACTTTTGAGGTTGAAATGTCTGAGGCTTCGTGATGACTTCAAAGGATAAGCACACTTGCCTCCTGGTGTAATCTGCCGCCAACTCTTTGCCATAACATCTACCTGCCTCACTGTGATGCCTCTTTTATATCCCAAGCCCCACAGAGGTGTCCATCACTTCCCCAGAGCATGTAAGGCACCCAGGCAGCACTGGAGCCAGGCAAAGATATTAAACAACTATTTCCTTGATGGCAATGTTTTTTCATGGAAAAGCCCTCCACATCTGCTGAGAAGGAAAACACCGATCCCTTCCATTTCTGTAAAATCAGTCATCTGAAAAGGCAAACAAATCCAGGCCCCAGAAGCTTCAGAAAGAGCGAGTAAAGACAAGCTAGAGAACTGGCAGGAAGGAATGTTTACGTAGGTGGGGGAGCAGTGCCATCTCCAAGCCCTTGGCGAAGTGGGCGGTGGCGTCGTAGAACTCCAGCAGCCTGGTGAGCTCCTGCTCGGGCCCTGCCCTCTCCACGCCGTTGCTGAGGCAGGAGGGCAGCGAGGGCATGAGGGCCCCCAGGGTCTGAATCAGCAGCACCATTACCACCTCGTGGGGCTTCTGGAAAACCTGCAGTGAGAGAGAGGTGTACCTGCCTTAGCACATGGAGCCAAATAGGAGCCCACCTTTTTTAAAAAACTTTTTTGAGATGCCAGGCACGGTGGCTTATGCCTATAATCCCAGCACCTTGGGAGGCCAAGGAAGGTGGATCACTTGAAGCCAGGAGTTCAAGACCAGCTTGGCCAACACGGCAAGACCCTGTCTCTACTAAAAATACAAAAATTAGCCGGGTGTGATGGCGCATGCCTGTAATCCCACCTATTCGGGAAGCAGAGGCAGGAGAATCACTTGAACCCGGGAGGTGCAGGTTGCAGTGAGCCAAGACTGTGCCACTGCACTCTAGCCTGGGTGACAGAGCGAGACTCTGTCTCAAAAAAATAAAAATTAAAATTAAAAATTAAAAACTTTTTTGAGACAGGGTCTCACTCTGCCACCCAGGCTGAAGTGCAGTGGCATAATCATAGCTCACTGCAGCCTTTAACTCCCAGGCTCAAGTGATCTTCCCACCTTAGCCTCCCAAGTAGCTGATACTACAGGAACACTACCACACCTGATTAATTTTTTATTTTATTTTATTTTTTTGTAGAGACGGGGTCTCACTATGTTGCCCAGGCTAGTCTCAAACTCCTAGCCTCAAGTGATCCTCCTTCCTCAACTTCCCAAGGTGTTGGGATTACAGGTGTGAGCCACATCACCTTTTAAAGAAGTATAACTTTTAAAGAAGCTATCTCCTGGGTCATCTCAAAAGGATCTCCCCTGATAGATGAAAAGTGATCTAGTTTAGAGCTATAAGCCCAAAGTTTTCCTCATGGCAAATGTGAACATGCTCAGAAAGTAAACTGGCAAGACTTGGAACTTGCAACTTGCCTAGAACAACTGGCAAGTTCATGTCTATCAGTGGCCCCAAGTGTCTAGTTATTTTCAAATCTAACGAACACATTCATGTGGCATTTTTTTGATGGTCACCAAAAATTAACTAGAGAGAGGACTATGGGCCAGGTGTGGTGGCTCATGCCTGTAATCCCAGCACTTTTGGAGGCCTAGGTAGGTGGATCACTTGAGGTCATGAGTTCGAGACCAGCCTGACCAACATGGTCAAACCCCGTCTCTGCTAAAAATACAAAAAAATTAGCTGGGCATGGTGGTGCACGACTGTAATCCCAGCTACTTGGGAGGCTGAGGCAGGAGGATTGCTTGAACCTGGTAGGCAGAGATTGCAGTGAGCTGAGATGTTGCCACTGCACTCCAGCCTAGGTGACAGAGCAAGACTCTGTCTCAAAACAAAAGAAACAAAGAAAAGAGAAGAACTGTAAACCAACATGCCTTATGAATACACATGTAAACATCTTCAAGAAAACACTAGTAAGCTGAGTTCAGCAGCATATTAAAAAACATTGTACACCATGATCAAGTAGGATTCACCCAGGAATGTGAGAATGGTTAAACTAAACAAAAATGGATCAAGGCCGGGCACAGTGGTGGCTCAGCCCTGTAATCCCAGCACCTGGGAGGCCAAAACAGGAGGATCACTTGAAGTTAGGAATTTGAGACCAGGCTCAAAAAATAAAAATATTATAAATCTCTAATTTTTTAAAATGAATCAATGTAATACACCACATTAACAGAATGAAGGGAAAATACATGATCATCTCAATTAATGCAGAAAATATATTTGACAAAATTCCATACCCTTCATGAGAAAAACACTAAACTAGGAATAGAAGGAAACTTCCTCCACATAATAAAGGCCATATATGAAAACCCACAGCTAACGTGATACCCATTGGTAAGAGATGGTAAGAACAGGAACAAGATAAGGATGCCTGCTTTTGCCACTCTATTCAACAAAGAACCAGAAGTCCTAGCCAGAGCAATTGGACAAAAAAAAAAAAAAAAAAAGAAAGAAAGAAAGAAAGAAAGAAAAGGCATCCAAATTGAAAACAAGAGTTATCTCTGTTCACAGATGACATTATTTTATGTGTAGAAAATCTTAATCCACAAAATACTTTTAGAGTTAATAAATTCAGGACAAGTGCAGAGTGGCTCATGCCTCTAATCCCAACACTTTGGGAGGCTAAGGTGGGAGGATCGCTTGAGCCTAGGAGTTTGAGACCAGCCTGGGCAACAAAGTAAGATCCTGTCTCTACAAAAAATGTTCAAAAATTAGCCAGGTGTGGTGGTGTGCACCCGTAGTCCCAGCTACTGGGGAGGCTGAGGTAGGAGAATTACCTGAGCCCAGGAAGTGGAGGCTGCAGTGAGCTGAGATTGCACCACTGCACTCCAGCCTGGGCGAAAGAGCAAAACTCTGTTGCAAAAAAGCAAACAAACAAACAAAAAAAAACCAGGCTAGGCGCGGCGGCTCACGCCTGTAATCACAGCAGTTTGGGAGGCCAAGATGTGGTGGTGGGCACCTGTAATCCCAGCTACTCGGGAGGCTGAGGCAGAGAATTGCTTGAACCCAGGAGGTGGAGGTTGCAGTGAGCTGAGATAGCGCCACTGCACTCTAGCCTGGGCAACAGAGAGAAACTCTGTCTCAAAAGAAAAAAAAAAAACAAAAAACAGCTAAACTGCTGAGGACTCTCCAATTTGTGTTTCTTCCAACCACCTACTGGATGTCACCATTAGGATGCGTCACTCTCACTTGGAATTTAAAAGCAGTCAGAATTGGAATTCATTGTTTTGCCACTGACCTCCCCAGACCTGCTTCCTCCAACTTCTGTGTTCCCGTCAGTAACATCTCCATTGAACCAGGATGAAAACTGCCCTCTGACTCTCTGTTCTTGTGGTCCATTCATCAGTTACCAGGTCCTAACAACTGTTTATTCTTCTTGAACTTCAACATTTCCATCACCATCCTCTACCAAAGGTTCTTACCTGTCTCCAGCATAGCCTCATCAGTTCACCCTCTAGACCACCACCAAATTCGTTATTTTTAAATGTTATTTTTAAAATTCAAGGCCTAGCACGGTGGCTCACACCTATAATCCCAGCACTTTGGGAGGCCGAGTGGGCAGAGCACTTGAGGCCAGGAGTTCGAGACCAGCCTGTGCAACATGGTGAAACCCTGTCTCTACTAAAAAATACAAAAATTAGCCGGGCATGGCAGCATGCACCTGCAGTCCCAGCTACTCCAGAGGCTGCAGCATGAGAATCACTTGAACTGGGGAGGCGGAGTTTGCAGTGAGCCCAGATCATGCCATTGTACTCCAGCCTGACCAACATAGTGAAACCCCATATCTACTAAAAATACAAAAAAAAAAATTAGCTGGGCATGGTGGCACATGCCTGTAATCCCAGCTACTCAGGAGGCTGAGGCAGGAGAATTGCTTGAACCCAGGAGGCGGAGGTTGCAGTGAGCCAAGATCATGCCACTGCACTTCAGCCTGGGTGACAGAGCAAGACTCTGTCTCAAAAAATAAAAAATAAAAAATAAAAAAAACCTGCTACAACTCAATAATAAAAAGGCAAATAACCTGTTTTTTTTTAATGGACAAAAGACCTGAATAGACATTTCGCAAAGGAAGATGCACAAATGGCCAATAAGCACGTGAAAAGTTCCTCAACATCCTTAGTCATCAGGGAAATGCAAATAAAAACCATGATGAGATACTACTACACACCCACCAGCATGGCTGAAATTAAAGAGAATGTCAACACCTAATTTTGGCAAGGATGTGGAACAACCAGAACTCTCACACACTATGTAGGAGTGGAAAAAGTACAACCACTTTGAGCAATGTGGTTGTTTCTTTTCTTTTTTTTTTTTTTTTTGAGATGGAGTCTCACTCTGTTGCCCAGGCTGGAGTGCAATGGTGCGATCTTGGCTCACTGCAACCTCCACCTCCCAGGTTCAAGCGATTCTCCTGCCTCAGCCTCCCGAGTAGCTGGGATTACAGGCATCTGCCACCATGGCCGGCTAATTTTTTGTATTTTTGGTAGAGACAGGCTTTCACCATGTTGGCCAGGCTGCTCTCGAACTCCTGACCTCAGGTGATCCGCCCACCTCGGCCTCCCAAAGTGCTGGGATTACAGGCATGAGCCACCACACCCAGCCATCTTTCTTTTTTTTGAGACAGGGTCTCACTCTGTCGCCCAGACTGGAGTGCAGTAGAGCAATCATGGCTCATTGAAGCCTCAACTTCCCAGGCTCAGGTGATCCTCCCACCTCAGCCTCCTGAGTTGCTGAGACTACAGGCATGTGCCACCACGCCCAACTAATTTTTGTATTTTCTGTAGAGACAAGATTTTGCCATATTGCCCAGGTGGGTCTCAAACTTCTGGGCTCAAGCAATCCTCCTGCCTTGGCCTCCCAAAGTGCTGAGATTACAGGTGTGAGCCACCACGCCTGGCTCGGCAGTTTCTTACAAACCTAAACATACACCTACGATTTGACCCTGCAATTCCACTCCTAGGTATTTACCCAAGAGATGGGAACATGTGTCTACAAAAAAAAAACCTACAGAACAATATTCAAAGCACCTTTATTCATAATTGCCCAACACTGGAAACATACCAAGTGTCTACCAATAAGAAGTGTCAACAGGCTGGGTGCAGTGGCTCACGCTTGTAATCCCAGCACCTTTGGGAGGCCGAGGTGGGCAGATCACCTGAGGTCAGGAGTTCGAGACCAGCCTGGCCAGCATGAAGAAACCCTATCTCTACTAAAAATACAAAAATTAGCTGGGCATGGTGGTGTGTGCCCGTAATCCCAGCTACTCATGGGGCTGAGGCAGGACAACCACTTGAACCTGGGAAGCGGAGGTTGCAGTGAGCCAAGATCGTGCCACTGTACTCCAGCCTCGGCAACAACAGCGAAACTCCGTCTCAAAAAAAAAAGTGTAAACAAACAGGTATATTCACACCATGTAACAGTATTCAGCAACAGAAAGGAACAAACTAGTGATACAAACAACACGAGCAAATCTCAAAAACACGCTGAGTGAAAGAAGCCTACAAAAGATGAAATGCTGTCTGATTCCATCTAGGTGAAATTCTAGAACACATTAAACTAACTTATGATGGAAAAAATCAGGGCAGTGGTTGCCTTAAGGGTGCTGGTGCACAGACCAACTGGGAAGGAGCATGAGGGAACTTTCCAGGGCGATGGTGATATGGATGTTCTGGATCCTGAAAGGGGATTAGGCTACCCAGGTATTTGTAGTTGTCAAATGAATGGGATGGCATATTTAAGATCACTATGGCTGGGTGCAGTGGTTCACTCCTGTAATCCCAGCACTTTGGGAGGCGTGCAGCCCAACAGTGGGAGGATCACTTGAGCCCAGGAGTTCAAGACCAGCTTGGGCAACATGGCAAAACCCTGTCTCCACAAAAAATACAAAAATTAGTTGGGTGTGGTGGCACGCACCTGTAGTCCCAGTACTCAGGAGGCTGAGAGGGGAGGATTACCTGAGCCCAGGGAGGTCAAGGCTGCAGTGAGCCATGATCATGCCACCGTACTCCAGTGGGGAAAACAGGGCAAGACCCTGTTTCAGAAAAAAAAAAAAAAAGATTGTATTTCACAATTTTACCTAAAAAAAATGTAAGTAAACATTGAACTCTAGTTAATAATATGTATGGTCTGAAGTGAATGAAGTTTGCAACTTACTCTGTTTTTTTTTTTTGAGATGGATTCTCGCTCTGTTGCCCAGGTTGGAGTGCAGTGGCACAATCTCGGCTCACAGCAACCTCCACCTCCCAGGTTCAAGCGATTCTCCTGCCTCAGCCTCCCAAGTAGCTGGGATTACAGGCGCCTGCCACCACGGCTAGCTAATTTTGTATTTTTAGTAGAGATGGGGTTTCACCATGTTAGCCAGGCTGGTCTCGAACTCCTGACCTCAGGTGATGTTCCTGCCTCGGCCTCCCAAAGTGCTGGGATTACAGGTGTGAAACACCACGCCCAGTCTTGTAACTTATTTTGAAATGAGTAAAACAAATAAGATGATTGACTGGGCACTTTGGCTCATGTCTGTAATCCTAGCACTTTGGGAGGCTGAGGCGGGAAGATCACTTGAGCCCAGGAGTTCGACACCAGCCTGGGCAACATAGTGAGACCCCATCTCTGTTTAATTTAATATTTTTATATAAAAAAGAATACAAATAAAAATAATTTTAAAAAATAAGATGGATTAATGAACAGACAGAGACAGGGATAGACAGGCAGATCTGCAATAAAGCAAATAGAGCAAAATGCACACTGTACAACGTAGGAGGTGGCTACATGGGTATTCACTGTACAATTCCCTCAACATTTTTATATATTGGAAATTTCTCATATGAAAATGCTAAGGGGAAAAATCTGAAGGAGACACATGTGCCCTGGCTCCTGTGTGCTATACCGACCTTCAGGAGGGGACAGCCCAACTATTATGCTTCCATCCTGAAAAGAAAATGGGCCACAGGCCAACAGTATAAATCAGCAGAAACTCATGTCTCCCAAAATCTAGGATGAGGCCCAAAGAGAAGTCTGAGAAGTCTAAGTTCTTTTTCTTAGATGACGAAAGGCATTCGTATGTATGGACATGAACTGTTTTTATCCTTGTGATACAAGAAGTAGTAGAAGAGGCAAGAACACATGAATAATTTTTTTCTTGGCCGGGCACAGTGGCTCATGCCTGTAATCCCAGCACTTTGGGAGGTCGAGGTGGGTGGTCATTTGAGGTCAGGAGTTCGAGACCAGCCCAGCCAACATGGTGAAACCCCATCTGTACTAAAAACACAAAAATTAGCTGGGAGTGGTGGCGGATGCCTGTAATCCCAGCTACTCAGGAGGCTGAGGCAGGAGAATTGCTTGAACCAGAGAGGCGGAGGTTGCAGGGAGCCAAGATTGTGTCCCTGCACTCCAGCCTGGGTGACAGAGCAAGACTCTGTCTGAAGAAAAAAAAAAAAAAAAAAGAAATATTCTTCTTAAGAAAAATAAAATAAAGTCAGGCATGGTGGCTCATGCCTGTAATCCCAGCACTTTGGGAGGCCAAAGTGGGAGGATTACTTGAGGCCAGGAGTTAGAGACCAGCCTGGGCAACACAGTGAGATCCTTATCTCTACAAAAAAAATTTTTTTTAATTAGCCAGGCATGGTGGCACATACGTGTATTCCTAGCTACTTGAAAGGCTCAGGCAGGAGGACAGCTTGAACCCAGGAGGCCGAGGCTGCAGTGAGCCATGATCATGCCACTGCACTCTAGCCTGCATGACAGAGCAAGACTCTGTCTCAAACAAAACAAAACAAAACAAAATCCTAAGAATGAATTAGGTTAGTTCAAGGAAAAAGAACAAGGATGGAGAAAAGTGCTTTAACCAACAACTTGAATGACATGACCCGGTATAAGGAATTCTCTCCAACCTTAGTCAAATTCATTCCAGCAAATGACTGATGAACATCTGAAGAGTGATTCACAACTATAGTAAAAAATAAAATATGGGGAACGTGACACTAAACCACTCGTAGATGACCTGCTTCTAGGTTGGGGTTTCGTACATAGCAGAGCAGCTCCCTCACTGCAATCTATTTCAATAGCTCTCTATCTGAGTGCTATTGAAAATCAGCCCTCAACACAAGGGTTTGGAGAAAAAAAATAAATAAATAAGAAAAAAATAAATAAAATAAGCCACACTAGAAACAGGCCCAGTAAGTCATTACTGCAAAGTAAGACAGGCTCTTCCCCTGCTTACAAGAGGTTCTACTGTGCCTCCTGTCTCAAGGCAAGAGAACAACGGTTTAAAACCTTTATGGCTGGAAATGCCTAGAGACTTGAGGAAAGTAAATGATGGATAGTTGCCACTTGAAACAAAGTTCCTCTGTCTCTCCTCACTCCTAGTCAGGGGGTACCTTTAAAATTATCTCTTCCCCTACTTCTTGGTGTATCATGAGAACAAGGGAGACTCACTTCAGGTAGGTAAATTTTACCTGAAGTAAAGATAAAAACATTCCTGTTCATTCGAACACCACCTGACGAGGGGCCTCCTGCTTTTAGATGGGAAGAAAATGGCCTTCAGGAATTCCACAGGCTCCCTTGCTGGACAACAGGCGGCATTGTCACATTAGGTCCTATTTAAGTTATAGATAAGAGTGGTAAGAAGAGTTTCAGTGGAGACCTAAAGATTTCACTGACGTGGATTTCTAAGCTTATCTTTTAAACTTAAACCATTTAACTGGTTATCGTTTTTTCTTTTGTTGTTTGTTTGTTTGAGACAGTCTTGCTTGCTCTGTTGTCCAAGCTGAAGTGTAGTGGTGCGACCATAGTCACTGTGGCCTCAACCTCCTGGACGTAAGCAATCTTCCTGCCTCGGTCTCCTTAGTAATTGTGCCACCACACCTGGCTAACTTTTGCATTTTTTGTAGAGTTGGGGTTTCACCGTGTTGGCCAGGCTGGTCTCGAACTCCTAGGCTCAAACGATCCGCCCACTTCGACCTTCCAAAGTGTGGTGATTACAAGTGTGAGCCACCGCACCCGGCCTAACTGGTTATTTTTTAACCCCTTGAATGACAGCAACAAACGGGGAAGTTCTTTGAGCTGTGCTCTGCAGTTGAGGGTGGCCACTCCCGAGGCAGTCACCCGTTCCCTTGTCACCACAGACTCTGTTCTCCCTAGAACAAAAATGAGCTGTTACCTGTGTAGCCCACTGGATTTGTGTGTGCCAAGCACCAAGCAAGGCATCATAGAGTCCGGTAAGCTGCCGGTCCAGGGATAGGTCACTTTGACACAGCTCTTGCCAGGCTGCTAAAAGCTGCACCTGCAGAGACAGAACAAAGGGAACCTTATTGGGTACGTCAACATAGGTTGCCTGTGAACACTGCCCTGCCCTGCTACCCAGCGTAATCACGGATTGCTCAATGGGCTCACTGGGCAGCCCAGTGAGGTCCATTCACTTCAAAGAAAGGCAGGAAAAAAAAAAAAACATTTGCAGTTATCTGCACTGATTCACAGCTTTAATCTGTCACCCTGCGGATGTGATCCCCTCTCCATTTATCCTGCCCTAAAAACATGTAATGTGCAACCACTTGGCACACCATCACTCTTCTGAATAGATGTTGGGGCAAGAGCGGGCAGACATGTATGTTTAAGCTTCATGTCCTAACATCACTGCTTAAAAGACACAGAGCACTGGACTTGAAGGAATTAAGGTCAGTTCAGGAAGCTGTCAAGTTTTTTGGCAATCTAACTTCAGCAAACCTAGAAAACATAAAATTCCAAGCCAGGTGGAGTGGCACGCGCCTGTAGTCCCAACTCCTCACAAGGCTGAGACGGGAGGATCACTTGAGCCCAGGAGTTCAAGGCTGTAGTGCACCATGATCGGATCTGTGAATAGTCACCGCACTCCAGGCTGGGCAAAATAGTGAAACCCTATCTCTAAAGAAAAAAAGAGAAATTCTTACTGCCTTCTGAGGGTGTAATAAAGCTTAAGACATAAATCTCCCTTAAAAGACAAAAATGAGAATAAATTAAAACAACGTTTCAAGTCTATAATGAATCCAGCTGTAAACAGAAAAGAGAATGAAAACGGATAACTTTTTCCAACTGGCAATTAAACAAATCCATATGCTAGACCAAGAGCACCCCCTACTGGCTAACTAAGAGAAAAACAGCCAGAGGGCAAGGAGACAAATGTTCTTACCTTCTGAATTATGAACCTGCGATTCTGTGACCCAGAGTTATGAGCATTCCACAACTGCACAACTGTCATCGCGCACAGCTTCTTACCTTGTGACACTTGTAGTAGTAGGCCAGGAGCTGGGGCATCCGGTCAATTTCAGTAAACACCTTCACAAACACTTTGGACTGATCTAAAGAACATACAATGTATATATACTGTTACCAGCCTTTCTGGTGTAGACATGAGAAAAAACTCACCAGGATGAAGGTGGATATATGGAAGCTAGTATTCACAAGTTCCTGCCTAGATACTGAATTAACTCATGCATGAGGATCATAAATTTGAAAAATAAGCATGACGTGAAAACCAGATACTGCAAGGTATTCCCCACTGTTCCTCACAGAATTCATATTTTAACATGATACTGAGAGGTTATTTATGTCTTTCAAAATTCCTACTTCGATTATACCAGATGGGAACTTTAAAAAAGCAAACACACTGAACTGCTATATGTCAACATATCTGGTGGTTTGAGGAATAAGTAAATAATTTGGGCTGGTCGCGGTAGCTCATGCCTGTAATCCCAGCACTTTGGGAGGCTAAGGCAGGCGGATCACCTGAGGTCAGGAGTTCGAGACCAGCCTGGCCAACATGGCAAAACCCCATCTCTACTAAAAGAAAAACAAAAATTAGCTGAGCGTGGTGGTGCACACCTGTAATCCCAGCTCCTTGGGAGGCTGAGGGAGGAGAATTGGTTGAACCCGGGAGGCAGAGGTTGCAGTGAGCCAAGATCGCGCCACTGCACTCCAGCCTGGCCAACAGAGCAAGACTCCCTCTAAAACAAAGCAAAACAAAAAAACAAAACATAAAATCAAATAATTTGGTAACTATTAGCATTCCACACATAACAATGGATTCTAAGACCCAAGTTATGGGCTTAATATCAAGTAGTTTCTGACATATTTCCCTAAGGGCAGAGGAAATGACTGGGCAAAGCACTTGCTTCCAGGCTCACCGCTGGACAGACAGGAAGGTGGGTTTCAGTGCAGTCTCTGAATAGTGTGCACAGCAGCGCCACCTCTGGCTCCTGTCCGCCCCCTTCTGGCCAAAATGTACATGCCACAGCCTTAGAACTATATCAAAAGAAGGGAAAAAAAAGCCTTGAGCTAACAGGTCTCCAAACTTCTTATATTTGCTCTGTTCCCCTTCACTTCTGGGAAGCCCAATAAACTGCTGAGAAGGAAATGTTGTAACAGCAACCGCTGTGGGACACCCAGCTAAGCGCTGGAGACCTGCCAGTGGAACTTGACTTAATGGGCAGAAATCCATGAGTTAGAAAACGAATATTTGCCTTTAAAATGCTTATTATTTTCATAAGAACACTTAAATAAGTGAATCTTCCTGTTACATTTAAAATTATTCCATAGGCCAGGTGTGGTGGCTCACACCTGTAATCCCAGCATTTTGGGAGGCTGAGGTGGGAGGACTGTTTGAGCCCAGGAGTTCAAAAATGTCCTAGGCAACACAGGACCCCTCTACAAAAAATAGAAAAAATTAGCTGGGCATGATGTGCACCTGTAAACCCCAGGAGGCTGAGCTGGGAGTATCACTTGAGCCTGGGAGGACAAGGCTGCAGTGAACTGTGATCACATCACTGCACTTCAGCCTGAGTGACAGAGCAAGATTCTAGCTCAAAAAACAAAATTCTATAAATTGGGTTTGACCAGTGAGAAGCAAAAAAATTAATTAAAATAATTCTATAAAAAGTTGCTTCAGTGTATCAGCTGAATTCATTGGTTATATAAAATGAACTGGGCATGTATACTTGGCTATACTCACATTGTCATTTTAGGAGATGGAAAAGGGGAACATGTTGGGGATGAACAAATTTATCAGAGAATTCCCTTTAAAAACTGTTAGCTAGGCCGGGTGAGGTGGCTCATGACTATAATCCCAGTACTTTGGGAGGCTGAAGTGGGTGGATCATCTGGGGTCAGGAGCTCGAGACCAGCCTGGCCAATATGGTGAAACCCCGTCTCTACTAAAAATATAAAAAATTAACCAGGCGTGGTGGTGCATGCCTGTAATCCCAGCTACTCCAGAAGCTGAGGCGCTTGAACCCAAGAGCTGGAGGTTGCTGTGAGCCGAGATCACACCACTGCAGTCCAGCCTGGGCAACAGAGTGTAGACTCTGTCTCAAAAAAAATAAAAAGTAAAAACTGTTAGATAAAGAACTACCTCAGCCTTCCAGGAAACATGGCTGATTATAAACAGCACATTACCTGTGGGGCGGGGGAACCCTTCCTGATGCTTGCCAAAATTAAGATTAATCACCAAAAGAAAACATTGTTTTATCTGCGTTGAAGCCAGGAAAATATCTGTACTACATATTTCAGAGAATCCCAACTAGATATCTAATCACTTTGGGCCACAATGGGTGGGGAAGCTGGTAAAAGTCTGGGCGCTAAGGGTGGTGCAGAACAGTACAAAGGGCCAAAGACTGGGGGCCAAGGGGGCTTGGGCCAGGCATGGGAGGGAGGGCTGTTTCCACTGCGGCCCAGCAGAGGAGGCAGCCTATGGAGCTCAAAAGCGCCATTTTCGCCTTCTGAATCCATGTCCTGCCTAGAGTCAAGCCTGATTCAAATTTGTGCACAAAAGCTGTCAAAAACTGCTTATCTCCAAAACCAAACCCATGATGCTGAACCACCAGGCATCACTCAAATCCAACACCAGCTCCCAGAAGCCAGCTCACTCAGAAGGAAACAAACAAAAAAGCTTAAATGCATGGAGCCACCACCTCTCCATCCCCACTCCCACTCCCCCAACCCCACAGAACTGGATGTAACCCCAACCAGAAAAGTGAGCTCTGTAGTAGCCACAAATTCACAAGAGAATGTGAGGAACAAAGCTCCTAGATGGTAACTTTCCAACCCCCCAGCTCCAGCCTTAGAATTCTGTGAATGAAGAAAAGACTCAAAATAAAGAATTAACAAATGAGGAAGAGAGGGAATTACAGGGCTGGAGATGAGTACTGAGGCCATTCTCTCTAGCTAACTGAAGAGCACAGCGGAGAATATAAACTTTCAATCAAGGGCTAAAGGAAAGCGCTCTTAAACAAGGAGGGGCTTCCAAGGAAATTCCACTATTTTTCAGTGAATACCAGGCCCAGAACAAAAGCACTATCACACACAAACATGAATCAGCAGAAACAAAGAAAACTCCACCACGGTACCTATGCACTCAATAAATTGGACTACAACAAAATTAAAAACTTGGGGCCGGGCACAGTGGCTCACGCCTGTAATCCCAGCACCTGGGGAGGCTGAGGCGGGTGGATCACGAGGTCAAGAGATTGAGACCATCCTGGCCAACACAGTGAAACTCCATCTCTACTAAAAATACAAAAATTAGCTGGGTGTGGTGGCACACGCCTGTAGTCCCAGCTACTCGGGAAGCTGAGGCAGGAGAATCGCTTGAACCCGGGAGGCAGAGGTTGCAGCGAGCCGAGATCAAGCCACTGCACTTCAGCCTGGAGACAGAGCAAGACTCCATCTCAAAAAAAAAAAAAAAAAATTAAAAACTTGGGCATCAAAAGATTTTATCAATAATAGAATGAAAACACAATCCATGGAATGGGAGAAAATATTTGCAAGATATATTCAATAAAAGAATAATATCCAGAATATATGAAGAATTTCTACAACTCACCAGCAAAAAACCAAATAACCCAATATAAAATTGGGTAAAGGGCCAGGCACCCTGGCTCACGCCTGTAATCTCAGGACTTTGAGAGGCTGAGGAGGGAGGATTGTTTGAGTCCAGGAGTCTAAGACCAGCCTGAGCAGCATAGCAAGACCCTATCTCTACAAAAAACAAAAAATTAGCTGGGCGTGGTAGTGCACACCTGTAGTCCCAGCTACTTGGGAGGCTGCCGTGGGAGGATCACTTGAGCTTGGGAGGTCAAGGCTGCGGTGAGCCATGATTGCACCACTGCATTCCAGCCTGGGTGACAGTGCAAGACCCTGTCTCAAAAAACAACAAAACAAAACAAAAATGGGGAAAGGATTTGAATAGACATTTTTCCAGGAATATACAAATAGTCAATAAGCAAATGAAAATACACTCAATATCATTAATCATTAGAGGAATGAAAATCAAAACCATAAGATACCATTTCATACTAATTAGTATGGCTATAATCCAAAAAAAAACAAAAAATGACAAGGGTTGGAAAGGTGTGGAGAAATTGGAACCCTTGTGCATTGCTGGTGGTAGTGTAAAATGGTGCAGCCACTATGGAGAACAGTATAACAGCTCCTCAAAAAATTAAACATCAGATTACCATATGGCCGGGTGTGGTGGCTCACACCTGTAATCCCAGCACTTCGGAAGGCCAAGACGGGCGGATCACTTGAGGCCAGGAGTTCGAGACCAGCCTGGCCAACATGGTGAAACCCCATCTCTACTAAACATACAAAAATTAGCTAGGTGTGGTGGTGCGCACCTTTAATCCCAGCTACTCGGGAGGCTGAGGCACAAGAATCGCTTCAATCTGGGTGGCAGAGGTCACAGTGAGCCGAGATCATGCCACTGCACTCCAGCCTGGACAACAGAGTTAAACTGTGTCTCCAAAAAAAAAAAAAAAAAAAAAGATAGGCATATGATCCAGCAATTCCACTTCTGAGTAGATCCCTAAAGGAATTGAAAGCTGGAACTCAAACAGACAGATCATGCCACTGCACTCCAGCCTGGGCAACAGAGTTAAACTGTGTCTCCAAAAAAAAAAAAAAAAAAAAAAAGATAAGCATATGATCCAGCAATTCCACTTCTGAGTAGATCCCTAAAGGAATTGAAAGCTGGAACTCAAACAGACACTTGTACACCCATGATCATTCTAGCATTCTTCACAATAGCCAAAAGGTAGAAATAACCTAAATGTCCATCAACAGATGAATAGATAGAGAAAATGTGGTAATATATGAGATGGAATATTATTCAGCCTTAAGAAAGGAAATTTTGACACATGCTACACCATGGATGAGCTTTGAAGATGTTACGCTAAGCCATAAAAGGAAAAATACTATGTGAATCCATTTATAGGAGGCATGTAGAGTAGTCAAATTCATAGGGACAAAAGTAGAATGATGATTGCTGGCAGGTGAGGGTAGGAGGAATGGACAGTTGCTGTTTAATGCGTATGAAATTTCAGTTCAGAAAGATGAAAAAAGTTCTGGAGATGGATGGTGGTGATGTTTGCACAGCAACGTGAATGTACTTAATGCCACTGAAATGCACACTTAAAAATTATTAAAATGGTAGATTTTGTTACATGCATTTTGCCACAATTTTTTAAATTTTTTTCTAAAAAAGAACACTTCCAAAGATTTTCCCTAAGAAAGAGAAGAAAATTTTAGGCAATAATTGCTTCACACTCTCAAAGAAATTACATGTCCTTTCTTTAACAGGACCTAAGGCTTCAGGAGGCTGAGGTGTGAGGATCACTTTAGGCCAGGAGTTCAAGACCAACCTGAGCAATATAGCAAGACCCCATCTATACAAAAAAAAAAAAAAAAAAATAGGCTGGGCACGGTGGCTCACGCCTGTAATACCTGCACTTTGGGAGGCCAAGGCAGGCAGATCACCTGAGGTCAGGAGTTCAAGACCAGCCTGGCCAACATGGCAAAACCCCATCTCCACTAAAAATACAAAAAATTAGCCAGGTGTGGTAGCGCATGTCTGTAATCCCAGCTAGTTGGGAGGTAAGGCAGGAGAATCGCTTGAACCCAGGAGGCAGACATCATGCCACTGCACTCCACCCTGGGTGACAGAATGAGACTCCATCTCAAAAAAAAAAAAAAGAATCTAAGGTATTACAATGAGATACAAAGGGAGGTTGGCAGAGCTAAGGAAAAAAATTAGGAAGTAAATCATGACATAACAAAAATTAAAAATTAATTAGAAGAACAAAGAAAACAAAACCTATTTTTTTTTTTTTGAGACAAGGTCTCACTCTGTCACTCCTGGGCTCAAGCGATCCTTCTGCCCCAACCTCCTGAGCAGCTGAGACTACAAGCGTGCGCTACCATGCCTAGCTAATTTTTTATTTTTTGTAGAGACGGGGTCTTGCTGTGATACCTCGGCTTGTCTCAAACACCTGGGCTCAGGCGATCCTCCCACCTTGACCTCCCAAAGTGCTGGGATTACAGGCATGAGCCACTGCACCCGGCCGAGAACAGATACTTTATTTTTTTAAATAAGTAGAGAGTTTATTTGGGTGAAGTTTGAGGACTGCAAACCAGAGTCATGGATTCACGCTGCCCTGCATATATGCTCCGGAACAGATACTTCAGAAAACCCCATCAGTCAAATGAAAAACAAGCTTTAGAAAAACCACACATGGCAGGAGGGGACTGAGAGGGAGCAGGCAAACATCCAAAAGAGACCAGAGAAAATATGATATATATGGAGAGGGAAAAAGGAGAGCTAATGAACAGATAGTTGATGTTCTCAAAGACAGAAAAGAGAACAAATAAAACAGAAAAAAAAAATTTTTAAGGAAGGTGATTTTCTATAAATGAAGATATGAATTGGTAGGTGAAAAGGGCTGACGCTGGGTCCTGGAAAAGTTAAAAATTTTCAAAACTGAAAAAGAACCTAGAGAAGTTACTAAACTACAAGGTAAAAGAATCTTATAAGCCATAATTTGGCAAACTATGCGCCAGCAGGCCAAACTGCCATCTGTTTTTGTAAATAAAGTTTTACTTGGCCAGGCATGGTGGCTCGCGCCTCTAATCCCAACACTTTGGGAGGCCGAGGTGGGCAGATCACTTGAGATCAGGAGTTCAAGACCAGCCTGGACGACATGGTGAAACCTCATCTCTACTGAAAATATAAAAATTAGCCAGGTGTGGTGGCGCACGTCTGTAATCCCAGCTACTCGGGAGACTGAGACAGGAGAATCGCTTGAGCCTGGGGGGCAGAGGCTGCATTGAGCTGAGGTCACGCCACTGCACGCCAGCATGGGGAACACAGCGAGACTTCGTCTTAAAAAAACAAAAAAAATTTACTGGCACACAGCAAAGCCCATCCATTTACGAGTGGGCTTTTGTGCCACAACTGCAGAGGTATCTGTGAGAGAGACCACAAGGCCGCCAAATACTAATATTTATGATCTGGCCCTTTACAGGAAATGTTTGTCAGTCCTGTTATAACTATTCAGGGAAAAGAAACAAGCTACATACAAAAAAAAAATAATAGGAAGAAGCAGCAGGCCAATCTCATACTTATCAGAATATAGAGGGAAATGCATTCGCACTAGAAGACAGAATTCACAGAAGTAGCATTTCACCTTTTGCCTTTACAGAAGTATATTTGGCTGTTTTGTGAGACATTCTGCGGGAAAAGAAAAATAAATATAGATGGCAGAAGACAATGAAGAATTCTGAAGGAGAAAGTGTGTGACCCAAGAATTCCAAAAGCAGTTATTGCTTTCTACACATAAAAGCAATAGAAAGACACTCCTGGCCGGGCGCGGTGGCTCATGTCTGTTAATCCCAGCACTTTGGGAGGCCGAGGCGAGGGGATCACCTGAGGTCAGGAGTTTGAGACCAGCCCGGCCAACATGGTGAAAGCCCGTTTCTATTCAAAATACAAAAATTACCTGGGTGTGGTGGCACACGCCTGTAATCCCAGCTACTCGGGAGGCTGAGGCAGGAGAATCACTTGAACCCAGGAGGTGGAGGTTGCAGTAAGCCAAGATTGCGCCACTACACTCCAGCCTCGGTGACAGAGAAAGACTCCGTCTCAAAAAAAAAAAAAAAAAAAATTACAGAGTTCCTTCTAATCTATGTAATTCAATCACCATTAAGACATTCTAAAAACTGAAGACTTACAAGGCCTTATCTTTATAGAGAGATATACACAGAGATGAGAAGCAGCTAGCACTCACCTACAGCCTGAGAGGTGAATGCCGCTACAATCTGTGGACTGGCTAGGGCCTCCAGCCTGTTCTTCAGTGCCTCCAAGTGCACACACTTTTCTGAGTAGTCTGGTGTATCAACAAGCATCATTAAGCTGTTCTGCATACCTGTTAGCTTGGCAGAAATCACAGCTATGTCCTAGAAAAGACCAGAATAGAGAATATTTATTTTAAATGATCCCTACTGCCTCAATTGGGAATAGATAAAATACATGAAAAGGCAACTCATCAAGTATGAAAATGGGGCTGGGCATCGTGGTGGTTCATGCCTGTAATCCCAGCACTTTCGGAGATTGAGGCAGGAGGATCCCTTGAAGCCAGGAGTTCAAGACCAGCCTGGTTAACATGGCAAGATCCAGTCTCTACAAACAGTAAAAATTAGCTGAGTGTGGTCATGCGCACCTGTAGTCCCAGCTACCCAGGAAGCTAAGGCAGGAGGATCACTTGAGCCTGGAAGGTGGAGACTGCAGTTAGCCAAGATCACACCACTGCACTCCAGCCTGGGCAACAGAGAAAGACCCCGTCTCAAAAAAAAAACAAAAAACCTGTACTCAAATAAATGCAAATTAAATTAAAACAATAAAGTGTCATTTTCCTCCTAACAAATTGGAAAAGTGTTTGAAAAATTATAATAGCTATTGTTGGTGAGGGTACAAAGAAAAAAGACAATCTGGTATCATAAATTTAAATTTATACTGTCTTTCTGGAAGGCAATTTAGCAATATGTGCTAAGAGTTTTAAAAATATTCACATCCAGGCTGGGCACAATGGCTTATACCTATAAATCTCAGCATTTTCAGAGGCTGAGGCAGGAGGATTGCATGAGGCCAGGAGTTCAAGACCAGCCTGACCAATATAGCAAGACCTTGTCTTTACAAAACATTTTAAGAAATTGGTCAGGCAGCCGGGAAGGGTGGCTCACGCCCCTGTAATCCCAGCACTTTGGGAGGCCAAGGCTGAAGGATCACCTGAGGTCAGGAGTTTGCAACCAGCCTGGCCAACATGGTGAAACCATCTCTACTAAAAATACAAAAATTAGCCAGGCATGGTGGCGTCCACCTGTAATCCCAGCTACTCGGGAGGCTGAGGCAGGAGAATCGCTTGAACCCAGGAGGCAGAGGTTTGCAGTGAGCCGAGATCATGCCACTGGACTCCGGCCTGGGCAACAGAGCAAGACTCTGTCTCAATAAATAAATAAATAAAAGATAGATTGTTGAGTGAAAAAATAAAGTGAAAAGCAGTGTTCACAATGAGCTTTGTGAGGAAAAAAAGGGGCAGGGAACATAAATATGTATGTGCATATCTGGAAGGATGGGCATAAAGTTGATAACAGGGCTTGTCCGCACAAGAAAAATTAGCCCCCGGCCGGGCATGGTGACTCACGCCTGTAATCCCTGCACTTTGGGAGGCCGAGGAGGGCAGATCACCTGAGGTCAGTAGTTCAAGACCAGCCTGGCCAACATGGTGAAATCCCATCTCTACTAAAAATACAAAAATTAGCCGGGTATGGTAGTGCGCGCCTATAATCCCAGGTACTCGGGAGGCTGAGACAGGATAATCACTTGAACCCAGGAAGTGGAGGTATCATGCCACTGTACTCCAGCCTGGGCTTCAGAATGAGACTCCGTTTCAAAAGAAAAAAAAAAAAAGAAAAATTAGAGGACTAAGGTGGGGGTCAGGGTTAGGAAAAAAACTTATTTTTTGCAGTTTATTCCTGTGTAATAAATTTGTTCCCATGTGCATTTGTAACTTTTTAAAAAAACTGACTGATAAATCATTCATTTTGCTTTACAATTGAGTAAGAGTTCTTCATAAGACATCATCTTACTTCATCCTTACATCCCAGGTGGAAAATGTTACTATTTTCCACACTTTGCAGCCTCAGAAGGGGTCAATAACCCACCAAGTCCCCAAGGTATATAAGGCTCCCCTTTCCCCATGTTCCACCCTCTCGTCCATTTACCCCCAACCTTCTCTGCCTGTGCTGGTTTTTCTTTTCTTCTTCTTTTTTTTTTTTTTTTTGAGACAGGGTCTTGCTCTGTCCCTCAGCATAGTGGTATGATCATAGTTTACTGTAGCCTTCAACTCCTGGGCTCAAGAGATCCTCCCACCTCAGCCTCCTGAGTAGCTGGAACTACAAATGTGCAGCACCACACCTGGCTAATTTTTTAATTTTTTTGTAGAGACGGGGGTCTCATTATTTTGCCCAGGCTGGTCTCAAACTCCTGGCCTCAAGTGATCCTCCCACCTCAGCATCCCAAAGAGCTGGGATTTCAGGTATGAGCCACAGTGCCTGGTGCCTGTACATCTTTATCAAGGCTTCTCTTGAACTCATTCTGTGACTAAGAGGCTTCAGTCACACAGAGGGTGCAAGCTAAAGAGGCTGGAAACACACCGAGCAGCTTCAGATCTTCCCCACCCTGAGTCTGAAGGTTTCTGAATGCTGCTATTGGCTATCAACTTTGTATCTCTTTTGCTTTCTCCAAACCTCAAGTTCTTGCTTAAATACCTTTCATAACATCCCCTAAACAAGAAACCTACCTGAGTCTTAAATGTCTCCTCAATATCGGCGCTCAACGTGCTCCACTTATCTGCTTCCTGAAGAGATTCGGCAGCAAGTTGCATTCTGGACTTCACTTGGTCAATTTCTACCAACACCTGAAAGAGGCGTGAGGGGTGAAAAATGAAGGGGTAGGTCCTTTTTCTCCATCTGCCACCAGGGACTTGAAATGTAAGTATGGTGGCTTGCTTCTGTCTTTAGGGAGCTTCTGTCTCCCAAAACACCAATCATCTGGCTAAATTTATTCAGCAGTGCTGAAGAGATGAACCAGCTGAAAGACCCAAGCAAAAGCATAGTTTCGGGGAGCCAGGCACAGTGGCTCACGCCTGTAATCCCAGCACTTTGGGAGGCCAAGATGGGAGGATCACTTGAGACCAGGAGTTCCAGACCAGCCTGGGCAACATGGTGAAACCCTGTCTCTACTAAAAATACAAAAATCAGCCGGGCATGGTGTTGCACGTCTGTGATCCCAGCTACTCAGAAGGCTGAGGCACGAGAATCGCTTGAACCTGGGAGGTGGAGGTTGCCATGAGCTGAGATCACGCCACTGTACTGCAGCCTGCACTCCAGCTACAGAGCGACACTCTGTCTCAAAAAAAAAAGAGCATAGCTGGAGTGCTGGGCAGAATCTTGAGTGATGGTTGGCCTCCCAAAACACCGTGCTGTTCTAAAGCCCTTACGAGAGTGACCACCTTCCCAAAGCAAGAATCACCATTTACAACAGGAGCCAAAAGGAGCCAAAATACCTGCATGGATTGAGATGTGTCCTGTTCAAATTTTTTAATGTCCTCCTTGACAAGAATCATCTGTTCTTTCAGGAAAGATGCCTCCTGTTTTAGGGCTTCAACATCACGGAGCACTTTGGGCATGTTCTGGAGAGCTTGGTGACTTGTTTCTGTAGTTAAAAAAAAAAAAAAAAACAACAACAACAGCGATAGCCACAAAAGGTGAAAGTTGGACCAGCCACCAGTAAAATACAGGAAACAAATCAGACAACAGAAAGGAAATGCACGACCAACCAAACGGTTTTTGGAGCCTGCAGAAAATATGGGGCAGGAGAGGAGATGGGCAGTGAGGTGGCCCCTGCCGGGATCACGTCCCCAGACTGATGGGAAAGGGCCTTTGATATCACAAAGAATCAACAATCAACCTGTCCCAACACCAACTTGCCACCACCAGTGAAATCATAACTCCACTTGCAAGGAGGCATGCCCCAGGAGCTTTGCATACATCATATTACTTAATGTCCACGGCGGTCATTAGCAGCCACCTCCTACTGATAAGAAAACTCAGAGAGGTTAAAGTAACTTGCCCAAGATCTTACAGAGCTAAAAGTAAGCCTCAGATAGGTCTGGCCCCAATGCCTGCTTTCCATGGTCTTTTTTTTTTTTTTTTTTTTTTTTGATACAGAGTTTCGCTCTGTCACCCAGGCTGGAGTGCAGTGGCGCAATCTCGGCTCACTGCAACCTCTGCCTCCCAGGTTCAAGTGATTCTCCTGCCTCAGCCTCCTGAGTAGCTGGTTTTATAGGCGCCCGCCACCCGCCTGGCTAATTTTTTGTATTTTCAGTAGAGACGGGGTTTCACCATGTTGGCCAGGCTGGTCTTGAACCCCTGACCTCAGGTGATCCACCCGCCTTGGGCTCCCAAAGTGCTGGGAATACAGGCATGAGCCACCAGGCCCGGCCTATTTTAAAATTATTTTTGAGACAGGGTCTCACTCGGTTGCCCAGACTGGAGTGCAGTGGTGAAATCACAGCTCACTGCAACCTCAACCTCCTGGTCTCAGGTGATCCTCCCACCTCAGCCTCTCAAGTAGGTGGGACTACAGGCACACACCACCAGGACTGAATAATTTTTATATATTTTGCAGAGACAGTTTCACCATGTTGCCCAGGCTGGTCTCAAACTCCTGGGCTCAAGGGACCTGCCTGGCTAGGCCTCCCAAAATGCTGGGATTACAAGTGTGATCCACAATGCCAAGCCTAAAAATATCTTAAATATACCCATTACTCATCATCTTCACTGCCATCACCCCAGTTGAAGCCACTATCATCTCTTTTCTGGACCTCAGCAATAGCCTCCTGAACCATGTTACTCTGCTGCTTAAAAATCTTACAATGCCTTATTTTTAAATTAAATTCACACTCTATTTATTTATTTATTGAGACAGAGTCTCCCTCTGTCACCCAGACTGGAGTGCAGTGGCACAATCTCAGCTCACTGGAACCTCTGCCTCCTAGGTTCAAGTGATCTCCTGCCTCAGCCTCCCAAGTAGCTGGGATTACAGTTGTGCACCACCATGCCCGGCTAATTTTTATATTTTTAGTAGAGACGGGGTTTTGCTGTGTAGGTCAGGCTAGTCTCAAACTCCTGGTCTCAGGTGATCCACCCACCTCAGCCTCCCAAAGTGCTGGGATTACAGGCATAAGCCACCGCACCTGGCCTTAAAATCAAACTCTTTAATGTGACACTGAAATCCCTGCATAGCACTCTAACCTGGGTGACAGAGCAAGACCCTGTTTCTTAAAAATAAAGAAATAAAATAAAATCCCTGGCCAGGCGTGGTGGCTCATGCCTGTAATCCCAGCACTTTGGGAGGCTGAGGCAGGCAGATCACGAGGTCAAGAGATCAAGACCAGCCTGGCCAACGTGGTGAAACCCTGTCTCTACTAAAAATACAAAAATTAGCTGGGTGTGGTGGTGTGTGCCTGTAGCCCCAGCTACTCGGGAGGCTGAGGCAGGAGAATCACTTGAACCTGGGAGGCGGAGGTTGCAGTGAGTTGAGATTACACCACTGCACTCCAGCCTGGCAACAGAGTGAGACTCCATCTCAAAAATAAATAAATAAATAAATAAAAATAAAAATAAAATCCCTGCATAACGTGGCCCCTGTGGACCTCTCCAATCCAACACTGGGTCTTGTTCAACAGTGTATTTTTAGAACCTAGAAAAGAGTTTGTGCCCAATAAATATTTGTTGACTGACTAAATGGAGAAATTGGTCCTCCAATTTGGGGTCCTCAACATGTGCTTGAACGGCTACAATCACCCTTCCTCATCGCAGACTTGGGCCCTTGTCTCATCTTGCATAAAAATAAATGAAGCTTTAAACCTATGAAGGCTACCTACTGCCTAAGGGATAAAAGCCAAACTCCCAAGGCTGGCCAGAAAGGTCTTTCGCAGGCTGATCCCGATCTATTTATCTGCCTCATCTTCAGTTACATTTCCCCTACAAAAGTGTGATTCTCTAATAATAACACTACTAATTATCTTGTCTCACTCTGTCCCCCACATTGGAGTGCTGTGGTGCAATCCTAGCTCACTGCTGCCTCGAACTTCTAGGCTCAAGCAATCCTTCCGAGTAGCTGGACTACAAGCATGAACCACCATGCTGGCTAGTTTTTTAATTTTTTGTAGAGATAGGGTCTTGCTATGTTGTCTAGGCTGGTCTGGAACTGCTGGTCTGGAACTCCTGGCCTCGAGCAATCCTCCCACTTCAGCTTCCCAAAGCACTGAGATCACACCCAGACTGTTTATTGATATTATTCATGCAGCTCTGTTTGAACTTCTCACCTTTCCCTGGACTACGCCTTCTTATAGCCACACTCCTGTGCATATGTTACTCTCTCTCTCTCTTTAATACCAAGGAAGTAGTGAAATATAATGGTTAAGGGCCTGGGCTCTGGAGCCAACTGTCTGGGTTCAGTCCAGGCTCTCCATTCATTAGGAACATGATGCCGAGCAAGTTACTTAACTTCTCTCAACCTCAGTTTCTACAAGTCTACAGTGGACATAATAACTGTGCCTACCTCTAAGGATAACTGTCAGGTTTAAATTAGATAACCATGCCCAAAAGCAGGTACTATTCACATTTAGGCCAGGACAATTCTTCACTGTGCAGGACTGTACCAAGCACTGCAGGACATTAAGCATCACTGGGTCCTCCCACTGAATGTCTTATGTCTGAATGCCACTGAATGTCACCCCTTTAATGCAACAACTAAAAAAGCTCCCACAGCCAGGCGCAGTGGCTCACGCCTATAATCCCAGCACTTTGGGAGGCCGAGGCGAGTGGATCACAAGGTCAGGAGATCGAGACCATTCTGGCTAACAAGGTGAAACCCCGTCTCTACTAAAAATACAAAAAATTAGCCAGGCGTGGTGGCGGGCGCCTGTAGTCCCAGCTACTCGGGAGGCTGAGGCAGGAGAATGGTGTAAACCCTGGAGGCAGAGCTTGCAGTGCGTCGAGATCACGCCACTGCCCTCCAGCCTGGGCGACAGAGCGAGACTCCATCTCAAAAAAATAAAATTAAATTAAAATAAAATAAAATAAAATAAAATAAAATAAAATAAAATAAAATAAAAAATAAATAAAATAAATAAAAAAGCTCCCACAGTCCAGGCGCAATAGCTCATGCCTGTAATCCCAGCACTTTGGGAGGCCGAGGCAGGCAGATCACCTGAGGTTGGGAGCTCGAGACCAGCCTGACCATCATGTAGAACCCATCTCTACTAAAAATACAAAATTAGCCAGGCATGGTGGCGCATGCCTATACACCCAGCTACTCGGGAGGCTGAGGCAGGAGAATTGCTTGAACCCGAGAGGCGGAGGTTGCAGTGAGCCGCGATCACGCCATTGCACTCCATCGCACTCCATCCTGGGCAACAAGATTGAAACTCCATCTCAAAAAAAAAAAAAAAACCTCCCACCAATTTCCAAATAGTCCCTGTTCCTGAGGGCAGGAACAAGGATAAGGGGAGGCAAGGAAAGCATTGCAACCCATGTTTCAGAATCACTTAGTTAATACATATAGAGCACCAAAAAGAGTGTCTGACATGTACCAAACCTCATATATGTGCTATTATATCATTATTATTATTATTTTTGAGACAGAGTCTCACTCTGTCACCCAGGCTGGAGTGTAGTGGTGGGATCTCTGCTCACTGCAACTTCTGCCTCCTGGGTTCAAGCGATTCTCCTGCCTCAGCCTCCTGAGTAGCTGGGACTACAGCGCATGTCACCACACCCACCTCTAATTTTGTATTTTTAGTAGAGATGGGGTTTCACCATGTTGACCAGGCTGGTCTGGAACTCCTGACCTCAGGTGATTCTCTCGCCTCAGCCTTCCAAAAGTGCTGAGATTACAGGCATGAGCCACTGCGCCCAGCCAATTTGCTATTATATTATTATTAATGTCCTTTCCTCTTTGCCCTACAAAGTTTTCCTTCAAGGTCTAACACAGGGCAAGTGCTTTATGATTCTCCTAAACAAGAAGTAACTGCACCCTCCTGACAGTTCTCACAACTCCAGATTCTATTCTGAGTAAAGCCATCCGTCATTGTAATTTACTGTTTCTATCTTCCCCAAAGGCAGCAAGCTCGAGCAAGATAAACTTTTCCTCCCCACTGCCCATTTCTGGACACATGCATAGTAGATGCTCAATAATTAGTAAAAGATGCAAGGTACAATAAAGAATAAGGGCTGGGCGCGGTGGCTCACGCCTGTAATCCCAGCACTTTAGGAGGCAAAGGCTGGAGGATCGCCTGAGCTCAGGAGTTTGAGACCAGCCTGGACAACATAGTGAGACCCCATCTCTACAAAAAATCAAAAAATTGTGCCATCTGGCATGGTGGCACAAGCCTGTGGTCCCAGTTATTCAGGAGGCTGGGGCAGGAGAATTCCTCGAGCCCGAGAGGTGAAGCTGCAGTGAGCACTGACCACACCACTGCACTGTAGCCTGGGTGACAAAGTGAGACCCTGTCTCAAAAAAAAAAAGAAAGAAAGAAAACAATCTGCAGTGAAATAGAGCCCCCTCCCTACCTTTTCTTAAACAATGGGCACATCTGGCCGGGCACAGTGGCTCATGCCTGTAATCCCAGCACTTTGGGAGGCCGAGGTGGGTGGATCACCTGAGGTCAGGAGTTCAAGATCAGCCTGGCCAACATCATGAAACCCCATCTCTACTAAAAATACAAAAATTAGCCAGGGGTGGGGCACGCACCTGTAATCCCAGCTACTCAGGAGGTAGAGGCAGGAGAATAACTTGAACTCAGAAGGGGGAGGTTGCAGTGAGCTGAGATGGCGCCACTGCACTCCAGCCAGGGGGAAAGAGCGAGACTTCGTCTCAAAAAAAACAAAAAAACAAACAAAAATGGGAACATCTCTTGGACTATCCACTCCCAGTGGAAGCAGTCTGTTTGGTCTTTCCATCTGAGCCTAGGAGAGAGACTTGTGTGCAGTACGTACTGAATCAACACACAGTGAATCAACACACGGTGAATAAAAGTCAAGTTGAGGAGTTACATGAAATGGTTGCCAGTGCATGTTATTTTTTATAATTTAACTTATCCTCAACAAATGGTTTAGGCCAGGCGTGGTGGCTCACACCAGTAATCCTAGGGCTTTGGGAAGCCAAGATGGGAGGATCACTTGAGGTCAGAAATTTGAGATCAACCTGGGCAACATAGTGCGACCTTGTCTCTAAAAAAAAATTTTTTTTTTTAATTAGCCAGGCATGGTGGCACATGCCTATAGTTCCAGTTACTTGGGAGGCTGAGGCGAGCGGACTGCTTGAACCCAGAGTTTGAGGCTGCAGTGAACTATGATGGTATCACTGCATTCCAGCTTGGGCAGCAGAATGAGGAATGAGACCCTGTCTCAAAAAAAAAAAAAAAAAAAAGGTTTAAGTCTCCACTGAGACCAGCCTATCTTCCTCAGCTGAAATAAAATCCACTAAAACAATGTTTTCTAGATCTGTGTCATTCTCTTATACCTATACTATAATACGTTTTTTCCAGATATATGGATCTGTTGGCTATTCTTTCATACTCTCAAAATTCACTTTTTTTTTCTTTTTACAGTTTATTGTTTGGTACAAAACAGGCTCTTTAACTCTTTGAATAAACACCTCACAGACTCGTGCTCCTAGATTACAAAAAGTCAAAGCCAATTTTCTTTGACACTGGGCTCTTGACTCTGAGATTCAAGTCACTATAACAGAAACTGGAGTTGTTTTATCTTATATTCTGGAAGGTGCCTCAACAAAGACATGTTAAGAACTGGTTAAAACTTCTAGCATTTAAAAAGATCCATCTTGTCTTCCAGTGCCTATGGATAATAATAAAAAGGGAATCCCAGAGATCTGCTATTGAATTATTTAGAGAAGAGCTACTGCAATAAGATCCACTCTTTTAAGTTCCAAAAGGAAACTTCAGGCCAGATGTGGTGGCTCACAGGTATAATCACAGTACTTTGGGAGGCCAAGACTGGAAAACCCATTATGCCCAGGAATTTGAATTTGAGACCAGCCTGGCAACACAGTGAGATCCCATCTCTACAATTTTTTTTTTAAACAGAATTTGTGGGGCGCGGTGGCTCGCGCCTGTAGTCCTAGCGACTCGAGAGGCGAGAGGATCGCTTGAGTGCAGGAGTTCGAGGCTGCAGTGAGCTATGATCGAGCCACTGTAGAGAGACCCTGTTTCAAAAGAAAAAACAAAGAGAAAGAAAGAAAAGAAAAAGGAAACTTATAGCCCAGCCAGAGGAGGAAAAACAACACCCAAAATTAGCAAGTGTTCAAGACAGCCCGGCACCCAGCTGAGACTCCCGCTGACGTGATCAGGAGTTCGGGGCTTGCTCTTTTGCCGAGGGTATTTGCTGTCCATGCGTGCCCCGCCCACCTGAGTGCCTCACGCAAGTTCGGTGACCTCTGCCCAGCCGAGAGCAGGGGAGGGTCCCGCGGCCAGGGCCCCGAGCGGCTCACCCTCCACGGCGTGGTTCACCTCTTGGATGAACAGCTGCAGCTTCATCACCAGGGTGGCTGCGTGGCCATCCGCCTTCCCGGACGCCGCCTCCTTGGAGCCGGCCCTGAAGGCCGCATTGATCCACTCCTTCACGTCGAAGTCGTCTGCCAGGAACTTGGAGAAGTCCATGGCGGAACTGCCTCAGGCCTGGCGTCCAGAACTTAAGAGTTGGCTCCGGGCGGCAACGGGGATGCAGAAGCGAGCGAGCCTGCGAGAGCACCGAGGCTAGCCTCCGAGGCGAACCCCAGAAACGCCAGGACGGGTAACTTGCCCCTTTGCGCTTCCCCGCTCAGCGCACTCAGTTTGCGGCTGGGAATGACCCTCGCCGCCCGCCGTTCTTCTTCCGGAAGTCGTTGGCCGTTACCATAGTGACTGCAGGCGTCCGGAGCGCTGAGCAGAGGTGGGTGTGGGAAAACGCCCCGGACTGAGAGCTCCCGGCACCGACAAATATCCCATGTCTGCTAACATTTGCCGAGGACTAAACTATATGCTTACTATAAAGCCCTGACATACATTAGCGCATTTACGCGGTGGCTCGCGCCTGTAATCCCAGCTCTTTAGGAAGCTGACGCGGGAGAATCGCTTGAGGCCAGGAGTTCTAGGACAGCCTGGGCAACAGTGGAGCGCAGTGGGCAGCAATGGAGTGCAATTGAACGATCTCTGCTCACTACAGCCTCAAATTCCTGGGCAATTGAACGATCTCAGCTCACTGCAGCCTCAAATTTCTGGGCTCCAGCGATCCTCCCACCTCAGCCTCCAGAGTAGCTGGGACTACAGGCGCGCGACAACACGCCCGGCTATTTCTTTCTTTTTCTTTCTTTCTTTATTTTTTTCTGAGACGGAGTCTTGCTCTGTCGCCCAGGTTGGAGCGAAGTGACGCGATCTCGGCTCACTGCAACCTCCGCCTCCCAGGTTCAAGCGAGTGTCTTGCCTCAGCCTCCCGAGTAGCTGGGATTACAGGCGCGTGCCACCACGCCCGGCTACTTTTTGTATTATTAGTAGAGATGGGGTTTCACCACGCTGGCCAGGCTGGCCTCAAACTCCCAACCTCAGGTGATCCGCCTGCCTCGGCCTCCCAAAGTGTTGGGATCACAGGCGTGAGTCACCGCGCCTGGCCTAACTAATTATTTTCTTAATGATGTGTTTTGAGGTGCAGACCTTTTAAAGTTTGTTAAGTTCCTTATCACCTTTTTTTATGGATCATGCTTTTGGTGTTGCGGCTGAGAAATCTGTGCATAACCCATAATCACAAACAATTTCTCAGCCTGGGCAACATAGGAAGACCCCGTCTCTGCAAAAAAATTAAAAATTAGCTGAGTGTGGTGGCGCACACCTGTAGTCTCAGCTACTCGAGAGGCTGGGGTGAGAGGATTGCCTGAGCCCAGGAGGTCGAGGCTGCAGTGAGCTGTGATCACGCCACTGCACTCCAGCCTGGGTGACAGAGCGAGACCCTGTCTCGAAAAGAAAAGAAGAAAAGGTAGGGGAAGGTATGAGGGTATTCTTTAGGTTCTAAGTTTTTATGTTGTTTCAAGAGTGGGACCAACCCAAGGGGGAGGACAAGATGTCATCCTTGGAAACCCTACAGGGGACAGTTTTCCAGGTTGGCCTGCCATTGGGGTATGAGTGGCTGGCTGCCATCTCCAGGCCTGATAGTCACTCGTTTTTCATTGGCATCTCCCTTGGTTTGTCTCATTCTTCTGGGTTGAGTAGGTTTTAACTGGGGTAACCCTTCTGCTAGGAGTCCCAGTTATTTGGGGGGAGGGGAGAGGAGGGAAGGAGAGAGGAGGGGAGCAATGCAGGGAGGGGAGACGAGGGGAGCAATCTGATAGTGTAAGTCCTCTTACTTTGCTCTTGTTAAAAATTTAGGCAGGACACAGTGGCTCACGCCTGTAATCCCAGCACTTTGGGAGGCCGAGGCAGGCAGATGATGAGGTCAGGAGTTTGAGACCAGCCTGACCAACATGGTCAAACCCCATCTCTACTAATAATAAAAAAATTAGCTGGGCATGGTGGCACGCGCCTGTAATCCCAGCCACTCAGGAGGCAGAGGCAGGAGAATCGCTTGAACCTAGGAGGCAGAGGTTGCAGTGAACCGAGATCCGCCACTGCACTCCAGCCTGGGCAACAGACCGAGACTCCATCCCCCCCAAAAAAAAAAAAAATCCTGCTGGGATTTTGACAGGGATTATGTTGAACTGTTGAATTGTTGGATTAATTTTAGGAGAATTGCCATCATGACAATATTGACTGTTCCAATCCATAGCATGAAACGCCTCTTCATTTATTTAGATGGGAATTTTTCAGCCTTGGCACTACTGAGCCCAGATAATTTTTAGTTATGGGGGCTGTCCTATGCATTGTAAGATATTTCGCAGCATCCCTGGCCGCTACCCATTAGGAGCAACATCCTCTCCAAGTTGTGGCAACCAAAAATCTGTCCACACAGTGCCAAGTGTTCCCTAGTAGGAATCACCCCTGGGGATTTAGATCTGATTTAGATCTTCTTTAATTTCTCTCAGCAATATTTTGTAGTTTTCATTGTATAATACAAGTCTTGCACTTATTTTGTTAAATTTATTTATTTATAAGTATTTCCTTTTCTAGGTGCAGTGGCTCATGCCTGCAATCCCAGCACTTTGGGAGGCCGAGGCAGGAGGATCACAAGGTCAGGAGTTCCATACAAGACTAGCCTGCCCAACATGGTGAAACCCCGTCTCTACTGAAAATACAAAAACAGCCTGGCGTGGTTGTGTGCACCTGTAATCCCAGCTACTCAGGAGGCTGAGGCAGGAGAACTGCTTGAACCCGGGAGGCAAAGGTTGCAGTGAACAGAGATCGGGCCACTGTTATCCAGCCTGGGTGACAGAGTGAGACTCCATCTCAAAAAATAAATAAATAAAATAAGTATTTCCTTTTAATGCTAACATGAATGGAATTTTCTTAATTTTCATAGTTTCTTGTTACAGAAAAATGATTTTGTGTGTGTGTGTGTGATGGAGTCTTGCTTTGTCACACAGGCTGGAGTACAGCAGGGCAATCTCAGCTCACTGCAACCTCCGTCTCCCAGATTCAAGCAATTCTCCTGCCTCAGCCTCCCAAGTAGCTGGGATTACAGGCATGTGTCACCACACCCAGCTAATTTTTGTAGAGACGAGGTTTTGCCATGTTGGCCAGGCTGGTCTTGAACTTCTGACTTCAGGTGATCCACCTGCCTCAGCCTCCCAAAGTGCTGGGATTACAGGCGTGAGCCACCACACTCAGCAACAATTGATTTTTATAGATTTATCTTGTACCATTTGACTGTTAAATTTGTCTTCTAGTTTGTGTGTTGGGGTGTTGGTTGGGATTTGTTTACATACAGGATCATGTCATCTGTGAATAGACACTTTTTCCTTTGCAATTTTTTTTTGGGGGGGCGGGCGCGGGGGGACGGAGTTTTGCTTTTTTTGCCCAGGCTGGAGTGCAATGGCGCAATCTCGGCTCACTGCAACCTCCGTCTCCCGGGTTCAAGCGATTCTTCTGCCTCAGCCTTCCAAGTAACTGGGATTAGAGGTGCCCACCACCACATGTGGCTAATTTTTCATATTTTTACTAAAGACGGGGTTTCACCATGTTGGCCAAGCTGGTCTCGAACTCATGACCTCAGGTGATCCACCTGCCTCTGCCTCCCAAAGTGCTGGGTTACAGGCGTGAGCCACCGCACCCGGCCAGAAGTCCCTTTCTATTCCTAGTTTGTTGAGAGTTTTTTTAGGATGTTGGATTTTGTATTTTTTTTTCTCTGCCTATTGAGATAATCATGTGGTTCTTGTCACATTCTATTCAAATGATATAGTAATTGATTTTAAGATGGCAAATGAATCTTGGGACCAGGCACAAAGTGCTGTAATCCTAACACTTTGGGAGGCCAAGGCGACGGATAGCTTGAGGTCAGGAGTTCGCGACCAGCCTGGCCCAAATAGGGTGAAACCCTGTCTTTACTAAAAATACAAAAATTAGCTGGGCATGATGGCACACACCTGTAATCCCAGCTACTCGAGAGGCTGAGGCAGGAGAATTGCTTGAACCCAGGAGGCGGAGGTTGCAGTAGGTGGAGATTGCGCCATTGCACTCCAGCCTGGGCAACAGAGCAAGACTCCACCCAAAAAAAAAAAAAAAAAAATTGTCGGTTTTAGGCCAGGTGCGGTGGCTCACACCTGTAATCACAGCACTTTGGGAGGCCGAATCACTTGAGGTCGGGAGTTCGAGACCAGCCTGGCCAACAGGGTGAAACCTCGTCTCTACTAAAAATACAAAAATTAGCCGGGCATGGTGGTGGGTGCCTGTAATCCCAGCTACTTGGGAGGCTGAGGCAGGAGAATTGCTTGAATCCAGGAGGTGGAGGTTGCAGTGAGGTGAGATTGCGCCACTGCGCTGCAGCCTGGGAGACAGAGCAAGACTTTGTCTAAAAAAAAAAAAAAAAGTCTATTGTATGTGATATTAACATAGCCACTCCAGCTTTCTTATGATTACACTTGCATGGCTAATTTTTTTAAATTTTTTTTTATTTTGTGTTTTTTTTGTAGTCCCAGCTGCTAGGGAGGCTGAGGCAGGATTGCTTGAGCCTGGGAAGCGGAGGTTGGAGGAAGCCGTGATTGTACCACTGCATTCCAGCCAGGGCAACAGAGCAAGACTCCATCTCAAAAATAATTGTCCATTTCATCCAAGTTGTATAATTTGTTGGCATAAAATTGTTCAAAGGATCCTCATATAGTCTTTTCTCATCTGTAGAATTGTGACGTCTGCCTGTTCTTTCCTGACTTTGGTAATTTTTTTTTCCCTTGGTCAGTCTGCTGAAATTTGTGAATTCTGTTGCTCTTTTAAAAGAATCAGCTGCAGGCCGGGTGCGGTGGCTCACGCCTATAATCCCAGCACTTTGGGAGGCCAATACGGGCAGATCATCTGAGGTCAGGAGTTTGAGACCAGCCTGGCCAACATGGTGAAACCCCGTCTCTACTAAAAACACAAAAATTAGCCAGCCGTGGTGGTTGGCGCCTGTAATCCCAGCTACTCAGGAGGCTGAGGCAGGATAATTGCTTGAACCTGGGAGGCAGAGATTGCAGTGAGCCGAGGTCAGGCCACTGCACTCCAGCCTGGGTGATAGAGCAAGACTGTGTCTCAAAAAAAAAAAAAAAAAAGAACCTATTTTGACTTTGTTAATTTTTTTTCTATTCAACTTTGACTTTAATTTTTTTCTATTTTTCATTTTCTATTATTGATCTCTATGCTAATCAGTTTCCTTCTTTGAATTTAGTTTGCTCTTTGGTATATTAAAGTAGAATCTTAGGTTACTGATTTTAAATACTTTATTTTCTCATATAGGCATCTAAAATTACTAATTTTTCCCTCATAGTCTAATGGCTAGGAAAAAATAAAAACAAAAAATAAAATTATAAAGCAAGACACTGTCTCTACAAAAAGTTAAAAAAAATTATCTAGCCATGGTGGTTTGCAACTGTAGTTCCAGCTACTCAAAAGCCTGAAAGGCCAGAGATCATTTGAGCCCAGGAATTTGAGGCTGCAGTGAGCTATAACAGTGCCACTGCACTCCAGCCTGGGTGACAGTGTGAGACCGTCTCTAAAAAAAATTTCCTCTGAGGCCGGCTGCGGTGGCTCACACTTGTAATCCCACCACTTTGGGAGGCCGAAGTGGTTGGATCACCTGAGGTCAGGAGTTCACGACCAGCCTGACCAATATGGTGAAACCCTGTCTCTACTAAAAATACAAAAACTAGCCGGGCGTGGTGGTGGGCACGTGTAGTCCCAGCTACTCAGGAGGCTGAGACTGGAGAATCACTTGAACCCAGGAGGCGGAGGTTGCAGTGAGCCAAGATCATGCACGCCATTGCACTCCAGCCTGAGCAACAGAGCAAGACTCTGTCTCAAAAAAAAAAAAAAAAATTTCCTCTGAAGCATTGCTCTAGCTGTAATTCATAAATTTTGATGTTTTCATTTTTGTTTGATTCTAAATGTTTTTAAATTTTTCTTGTGACTCATTTAACCCATGGGTTATTTAGAAGCATGTTGTTTAATTTCCAAATAATTGGGTATTTCTTGGATTTCCTGTTGTTGATTTCTAATTCAATTCCATGTGATTGGAAAACATACTTGGTATGATTTATATTCTTTTTTTTTTTTTTTTGAGACGAAGTCCCAGTCTGTCTCCAGGCTGGAGTGCAGTGACACGATGTTGGCTCACTGCAACCTCCACCTCCCAGGTTCAAGCGATTCTCCTGCCTCAGCCACCCAAGTAGCTGGGACTACAGGCACCTGCCACCACACCTGGCTTTTTTTTTTTTTGAGACAGAGCCTTGCTCTGTGGCCCAGGCTGGAGTGCAGTGGCACAATATCCACTCACTGCAAGCTCCGCCTCCCGGGTTCACGCCATTCTCCTGCCTCAGCCTCCCGAGTAGCTGAGACTACAGGCACCCGCCACCACACCCGGCTAATTTTTGTATTTTTAGTAGAGACGGGGTTTCACCGTGTTAGCCAGGATGGTCTCGATCTCCTGACCGCGTGATCTGCCTGCCTTGGCCTCCCGAAGTGCTGGGATTACAGGCGTGAGCCACCGCGCCCAGCCTACCCAGCTAATTTTTGAATTTTTGGTAGAGACAGGATTTCACCATGTTGGCCAGGATGGTCTCCATCTCTTGACTTTGTGATCCAGCCGCCTTGGCCTCCAAAAGTGCTGGGATTACAGGCGTGAGCCACCGCACCCGGCTGGTTTATATTCTTTTATTATTTATAGAGATGGCATCTTGCTTTGCTGTTAAGGTTGGTTTCAAAATCCCCTGCAGATTCAAGCAATCCCCTGTCTCAGCCTCCCAAAGTGCTGGGATTGCAGGCCTGAGCCACCGTGCCCAGCCCTTAAATTCTTTTAAATTTATTGAGACTTGTTTTATGGCCTAGCATTGGTCTATCCTGAAGACTGTTCCATGTGCACTTGAAAATATATATCTGCAGTTATTGGGTGGAGTGTCATATATATTTTAGCTACATTAATAGTGTTGTTCAACTATTTTATATACTTGCTGATTTTCTATGTAGTTGTTCTGTCATTACTGAAGGTAAGGTATTTAGATCTCCAATTATTATTATTTTGAGACAGAGTTTTGCTCTGTCGCCCAGGCTGGAGTGCAGTGGTGCGATCTCAGCTCACTGCAACCTTGCCTCCCGCGTTCAAGCGATTCTTCTGCCTCAGCCTCCTGAGTAGCTGGGAGTATAGGCATGTGCCACTATGCCTGGCTAATTTTTGTATTTTTTAGTAGAGACGGTGTTTCACCATGTTGGTCAGGCTGGTCTCGAACTCCTGACCTCGTGATCCACCCGCCTTGGCCTCCCAAAGTACTGGGATTACATGTGTGAGCCACTGCACTCGGCCCTATTATTTATTTATTTATTTTTTTTGGAGATGGAGTTTGCTCTTGTTGGCAGGGCTGGAGTGCAATGGTGTGATCTTGGCTCACCACTACCCCCGCCTCCCAGGTTCAAGTGATTCTCCCGCCTCAGCCTCCCAAGTAGCTGGGATTACAGGCATGCACCACCACACTCGGCTAATTTTGTATTTTTAGTAGAGACAGGGTTTCTCAATGTTGGTCAGGCTGGTCACAAACTCCTAACCTCACGTGATCCATCCACCTCAGCCTCCCAAAGTGCTGGGATTACAGGCATGAGCCACCATACCTGGCCTCCAGTTATTATTGAATCATCCATTTTTACATTTGATTCTATTTAATTTTTGCATTAGGTATTTTGGGGCTTTGATGTGAGGTGCATATACATTTTATAATTTTATGTCTTCCTGGTATATTCACCTTTTATCATTATTAAATGTTCTTTTCTGTCTCTAGTAATATTTCTGTCTTAAAGTCTATTTTTATGCCAGGTGCGGTGGCTCACACCTGTAATCCCAGCCCTCTGGGAGGCCGAATCACTTGAGGTCAGGAGTTCAAGACCAGTCTGGCCAACATGGTGAAACCGTCTCTACTAAAAATACGAAAATTAGCCAGGCATGGTGGTGGGCGCCTGTAATCCCAGCTACTCGGGAGGCTGAGGCAGGAGAATCGCTTGAATCCAGGAGGTGGAGGTTGCAGTGAGGTGAGATCACACCACTGCACTGCAGCCTGGGAGACAGAACAAGACTGTCTCAAAAAAAAGAAAAAAAAGTATTTTGTGTGATATTAACACAGCCACTCCAGCTTTCTTATTACTACTTGCATGGCTAATTTTTTATCCTTTACTTCCAACTGATTTGTGAACCTAAGTGTACCTTTTGCAGACAGCATAGAGTTGGAATTTGGTGGTGGTGGTGTTTTCAATCCAGTATGACAGTTTCCGCCTTTTTGGAGACAGGGTCTGGCTCTGCCACCCAGGCTGGAGTGCAGTGGTGTGATCTTGTCTCACCACTGCCTCCTCTGCAACCTCTGCCTCCTGGGCTCAAGCCAACCTCCCACCTCAGCCTCCCAAGTAGCTGAGACTACAGGCACATGCCACCATTCCCAGGTAATTTTTTTGTAGAGACAGGGGTCTCACTGTGTTGCCCAGGGTGGTCTCAAACTCCTGGGCTCAAGCAATCCTCCCATCTCAGCTTCCCAAAGTGCTGGGATTACAGGCTCGAGCCACCACACAGTTTCCTCACAGCCTTTTGAGTTAAGGCAGGTAGTATTTCTATTTCCAAAAGAGGAAACTAAAGCTGAGATGAGGCCATGCTGTAGAGAAACTTGAATGCTAGGGCAATTGATTTTATTTAATCCAAAAAGATATGCAGTACTAATTAAATATGATTAGAGATGCAGTAGGGTCAGGCTAGGCATGGTGGCTCATGCCTGTAATCCCAGCACTTTGGGAGGCCAGGAGTCCAAGACTAGCCTGGGCAACACGGTGAGGCCCTCATCTCTACAAAAATCTAAAACTTAGTCAGGTGTGGCAGCACGCATCTGTAATCCTAGCTACTTGGGAGGCCAAATTGGGAGGATCCCTAGAGCCCAGGAGTTTGAGGCTGCAGTGAGCTATGACCATGCCACTGCACTCCAGCATGTCTCTTAAAAAAAAAGAAAAAAAATGGTCTGTAAAGAAGGCACAAGGAGAACACCACGTGACAATGAAGGCAAAGGCTGGAGTTATGCAGCTACAGGCTAAGGAAGTCAAAGATGGTGGAAGCCAGCAACCACCAAGAGGGAGGGAGCACCATGGCTCCAATATTAGACTCCCACCCCACAGAACTCAGACAACACATCTGTTGACTTAAACCACCCAGCTTGCGGCACGTTGTCATAGCAGTTCTAAGGAACTAATACAGAGAAAAATAAACATTTCGACTGTTACTTTGGGTTTGTTTATTGCAGCTGATCCTGATCTTAACAAAGGGTATGGTCAGATTTTTTTTTTTTTTTTGAGACGGAGTCTTGCTGTGTTGCCCAGGCTGGAGTGCAGTGGCACGATCTCGGCTCACTGCAAACTCCACCTTCTGGGTTCGAGCGATTTCCAGCTAATTTTTGTACTTTTAGTACATGGCCAGGCTGGTCTTGAACTCCTAATCTCATGATCCTTCGCCCTGGCCTCCCAAACTGCTAGGATTACAGGTGTGAGCCACCACGCCCAGCTGGTATGGTCAGATTTTATTAAAAGTATCAACCTTTTCTGCTGCCTATAAAAATATTCATAAGTTATCAGTATTCTTAGAACAATTTCTGTGGTTTTATGAGAGCAGGAGAGGCTGTGAAATGAACAGTGATGAAATGGAAGTCACCACTGTTACAACAGTTAAGAAAATCTCAGATGTGAAGGTGATTTGAGAAATAGCACCTAAATTTATAGAATATCCTATCTGCTATTTTGTACACCTCATGACATTCTCACCAAAATGTGTGAAGTAGACTTCTAACATTTTTACCATTTACGGATATAAAAACTGAGGCCCAGAGACCACTGACTTGCCCAACATGCTACATAGATGGTAAAAAACTAGAAATTAAACCTGACTCCCCAGCCCACACTTGGTTCACTCTAGCGCACCTAAATTTATAGAATATCCTATCTGCTATTTTGTACACCTCATGACATTCTCACCAAAATGTGTGAAGTAGACTTCTAACATTTTTACCATTTACGGATATAAAAACTGAGGCCCAGAGACCACTGACTTGCCCAACATGCTACATAGATGGTAAAAAACTAGAAATTAAACCTGACTCCCCAGCCCACACTTGGTTCACTCTAGCGCACAGGGCTGCCAGAATTGAGGCGAGAGGGTTGCCAGGGAAAAGTCCGGCCTGCTTGGCTGCCTGGGAATGGTGCCAGCGGGAGGGAGAGGATACAAGGAAACTATGAGGGAACTGCTACCCCAGAGTTTTAACATGCAGCACTTTCAACACATAAGTGCTTGATTTGTACCATATGAGCTCAGGGAAGAGAGCGGGGTTATGTTTCTAAGTAATTCATATTGATAATGGCATTTTCTCCAAGCTATCTATGGTGTTACATGAAAAGAACAAAACACAGAACAGTATACTATATTTTCTTGAACATGCCTAGAATCCCTCTGAAAAGACAGAGGATGGTAACTGGGTGGGAAGAATTTTCACCTTTCATAATTTTGAATCATGTCAATGTCTTTATCTTAAAAAAGACGACACTGAGCATAAAAAAATAAGGTTTTATTTTCAGCTGATTTTAGAAAGCTCAGAAAAAATTTAAAGAAAATTTATCTATAATTCCCTGACCCAAAGATTACCACTGTCAGATGTGCACACAAACATCTTGGTGCATCGCTTGGCTTTAAAACAAACTGGGGTCAGGACATGGTGGCTCATGCCTGTAATCCCAGCACTTTGGGAGGTCAAGGCAGGAGGACTGCTTGAGCCCAGGAGACCAGCCTGGGTAACACAGAGATCCAGTCTTTACGAAAAACTGCAACATTAGCTGGGCGTGGCAGCATGCACCTGTAGTCCCAGCTACTCCAGAGGCTGAAGCCGGAGGATCGCCTGAACACAGGAATTCAAGGCTGCATTGAGCTACAATCACGCCACTGCACTCCAGCCTGGGCAACAGAGCAAAGCCCTGTCTCAAGAAAACAAACAAACCCACTTTTATACTCTTGACGCTGGGTAAGCATCTTCTATAATGGGTATATTTAAAGGATTTGGGATTAATATTGTAGTAGGCAAGCACTATTTGTATTCTAGAATATTGCCCTTGCTTTCTAGCTTTAACATTTTCTGTCTCAATTTACACTATTTGTACTAGGTAATATTCACTTTTCTTTTGGTTGTCATTTATTGTTTTCAACACTATCTTCATGACCTGTTTGTGTTCAGAGTGGCTCACAGATAAGGAAACATTTTTGCCCAGTCTTAAGTTCATGGAAGATAATAGGAAGAGTAATTAACTGCAGCAAAAGGTTAGGACAAAACATGGCATTATCAGGGCTTGAAAGGACTTTATTGTGGCTGTGGTGAAGCAGGCCCTGGTCTTGGCAGATGATACCAGAAGGGCACTGAGTGCCAGCGTGCAACTTGAATTTGATCCCATAAAGTCAGGCATCAGGAAGCCATTCAGAATTTTTCACCCTGTCAGATGCTCAGATTTGCTAGAGAACTCTGGTAGTGGCAAGAACCAGAGCTGTTACTCAGAATTGGGACAGAGGCATTGTCCCAAAAAAAAAAAAGCCCAAATCAGAGCAGTGGCAATGTAAGTGCAGGGAGGACATGATGTGGGATTATTTAGAAAACAGGCCAAATGACATGCAACTACTCTGCGGATACAGACGAAGCAGGAATCAGGGACCCAATAAGTCTCAGGTGCTTTCAAGTAAGAGCATGTAGGTGGAAAGGGGCAGGACTCTGGGTTCCATTCTAAGTAACTGAGACTGAAGCAACAGTGGAACCTCCAGATACAGATAACCCCTGACAGACTGAAATACGATCTGGCGACAGCAAGGAGGTGGCAGCTTGAGAGAGGTCTACAACCCACCTAATGGTTTAGAGCCACCTGACTACCAGGCCTGTGTGTGGACGGGAAAGTCCTGAGGATTGGACTCTGGAAAACCATCACACTTAAGAGACAGAGGAAAAAGAGCAGTCACGGAGGTAGGTCACGAAATGGGTCAACAGGACCCCCGAAGAGTTCAAGATACTGGAAAGCACTGGCCATGAGTGCCAGATCTCCAGCACACACATCATGAATTTGCTTCTCCCCAGAGGAAAAGAAGCTCCTTCAGGGTGGTGCCTGGCTCAGGGTAGCTGGTCAACAACTAGCTTTTAAAAAAACAGAGACACGGTCTCACTATGTAGCCCAGGCTGGACTTGAAATCCTGGGCTCAAGCGGTCATCCCACTCAGCCTCCCAAAATGCTGGGATTATAGGCGTGAGCCACTGTGCACAGCCAATAACTACTTGTTAAGTGAATGAAGAGGTAGGAGCTGGGCTCTAAGTGGCCACTGGACTTGCTGATTAGAAGGGAGTGATGCCATAAACCACAGCCACTTTCAGGACAGCAGCCTGCCTCCTCTCCTCCTACCCCTATCCTGTCCAACACCTAAGCATAGTAGTACCACTGGGAGTCTGTCTCCTCAAAAGCAAGAATGTTCAGGTACACATGTGTGAGTTCACCTCCTAACTATAGGGGAGAAAGCCTGTCTTTATGTATAAGTCTCATTCACCCATTTTGACCAAAACCCTTCAGAGGGAGATGCTGTCATTATGATGGGTACCTCTTCAAGACTACGCAACAGTAACAGAGCCTATAAAAGCTACACAGAGGCCGGGTGCGGTGGCTCACGCCTGTAATCCCAGCACTCTGGGAGGCCAAGGCAGGCGGATCACCTGAGGTCAGGAGTTCGAGACCAGCCTGGCCAACATGGTGAAATCCTGTCTCTACTAAAAATACAAAAATTAGCTGGGCGTGCTGGCTCACGCCTGTAGTCCCAGCTACTCGAGAGGCTGAGGCACGAGAATCGCTTGAACCTGGTAGGCAGAGATTGCAGTGAGCTGAGATTATACCACCGCACTCCAGCCTGAGTGACAGAGTGAGATATGGCCTCAAAAAACAAAAAAAAGCCACACAGAATACAAGCAAGAAAGTACTTTTAGATTAAAATTCGTCTTATGTGAATTATGGCAAATGAAATCACCCCACTGTTTACCTGTTTTATGAGTTTTTACATTTGCTTAAAATTAGCATACTTGATCTTTTACAGTTCCCATCTCCACCAATTAGTATTGGCAGATTTCCACTATATGTAGAAGTCAAAAGATCAGACTGTAAAAATATCAGATATTGTAATTAAGAGCTCCAAACAAGTCTTGCAGTTTCAAAGGTAGAAACCCACCCAGCCAGTTCAGCTGCTTGGACTTCAAAGCCCTCCGCCTAGCCATCTCAGCCAGGCTCAGGTTCCTTCTCCCACCCATCAGGCCAAGCAGGACTTGTCAAACATACACATTCAAGTTCCTAGCACACAGTAGGTGCTAAGTGGGAATTGATTATAAACTTGAATTCTTCCATCAACAAATATCCACCTCTCCTGTCCAGCTTGCCTCAGATCTTCAGGTTCTCTCTTCTCTGAGGCAGCTAAGCTTCTACATCCTTCATGAAGTTTCCTTTACTTCTCGACAGAAGACAGTTCCCTTTAGGCCTATCATCTCTAAATGCAACTGGCTTTCCATTTTCCACTTACTCAACACTCCACAAAGTACACTTGCTACATGGTATTTATTCAATGACTGTATATTTAGTCACCACCTCAATCACTGCTAAGCTCTCTTCATGTCTATCTGTACCACAGTTTCCCATCTTAGACTGTGACGTCAGCTGGCAAGGGCTGGCTGTTGGCCGATTCATCATGACTGACATGGTGTGTCACAAAGAGCTCCAAGTAAATGCTGTGAAGGAAGAGGATGAGGATGGAGATGAGGATCCTGAGAAGGGCCCAGACTGGCTGCCCAACCCATGGACCTGAGGCCTGAGTAAGGCCTGGGAGCTGCTTTCCCCTCTGCCCAGGAACTCTGTCCAGGGGCGATTCTAAGGCACAGTGGTGAAGGACATGATTGGTCCCCCAAGTGTGGTCCTCAGGTCTCATGGCAGCCACTCGCCTGGGAACAGTGCAACAAGCATTCCATTTAGAAGATCTTCCAGAACACACACAAGAAGCATTGTCTAATGAAAATGGAGACAAGGTCTTTCTTGGAAGAGAGTGCCCAAGTAGATACTCTCTGCCCCAAGACTAACCAGGTCCCTTTTAAGGTCCCTGAGAACAGCAGCCTGGGAGCAACCAAGCCTTTCAAAGGCTGACAAGGCACAGAGTGGATGAATGGAACGAACGATACATGAAAAAAACACTTTGGCTGATAAAACCTCCAACCTGAGGCAGGGACAGTGTCGCTCGCTGACATGCAGAAACATGACTGTAGCAGAGATGATGATGATGAGAAATGCTTCGCATTTCCCACACTGCCGATATCCCAAGCCCTGTGCTACCACCCTCTCCCCGAACACACACACACACACACACACACACACACACACACACACACACACAGAGCATCTGCAGAATAAGTCAGAGGTTGACACCCAGAGCCTGACGTCAGGATAGGACTCTTGGCACTCCGCACTGAAACACCGTGATTAGTCCTGACTAGACAGCAAAAGTAACGCCAGCCTAAGCTTGAAATGAAGGGTCCATCTTGTGAAAAGTTAGGCTGCGCCCAAGACAGCCAGGTCTGGGAAGTCTTTCACTTCTCCTACTTCGCTGAAAGGCTGTCCACCTTGGTTGAATGTCAGCTTGTACCGTAAGCGGATAGGTTCCTGGGACAGAAGAGACAGAAGATGTCAAATCAGTGGAGAGCAACCCAGGAACAGGGGTCAATGTTAAGTCAAGTGAGTGTTTCAAACAATTCTGACACAAAATACCTGGGATACTCTCTTTGGGACTACAAACAAGGGGAAACAGGCACATATCCTGGGAACCCTTCGATAATTCTGCAGTCCTGAAATCCTGAGATGGGCTGCAATTCAGAGACCAGCTAAGGAAGACAGACCTTGTCCTTTCAGAGGACTCCAGAGGATTAGGGAGAGTTCATGTGTCCCTCCCTTGGTCCCCAGCTATGACAATCCATCTGATCTTCCTTCAGTGAGCCCCAAAGACAGACTCCAGCGAGGGATATTCCACATATACCCCTAACACCCAACCAAACCAGAGACTGACTTTCTTTTCTTTTTCTCTTCTCCTTCCTTCCTTTCCTCCTTCCCTCCCTCTCTCTCTCTTTCATCTATCTGTCTGTCTGTCTATCTATCTATCTATTTGATAGAGTCTCGCTCTGTCACCAGGCTGGAGTGCAGTGGTGCGATCTTGGCTCACTGCAACCTCCGCCTCTTGGGTTCAAGCAATTCTCCTGCCTCACTCTCCCGAGTAGCTGAGACTACAGGCGCACGCCACCATGCCCAGCTAATTTTTGTATTTTTAGTAGAGATGGGGTTTCACCATGTTGGCCAGGATGGTCTCGATCGCTTGATCTCGTGATCCATCTGCCTCAGCCTCCCAAAGTGCTGGGATTACAGGCGTGAGCCACTGCACCTGGCCGACTTTATTTTTTTTTGAGATGGAGTCTTGCTCTGTTGCCCAGGCTGGAGTGCAGTAGTGCGATCTCGGCTCACTGCAACCTCCACCTCCTGGGTTCAAGCAATTCTCCTGCCTCAGCCTCCTGAGCAGCTAGGACTAAAGGTGCGTGCCCCCACAACCAGCTAATTTTTGTATTTTTAGTAGAGATGGGGTTTCACCATGTTGGCCAGGCTGGTCTCAAACTCCTGACCTCAGGTGGTCCACCTGCCTCAGCCTCCCAAAGTGCTGGGATTACAGGGGTGAACCACTGTGCCCAGCAAACCAGAGACTTTAGAGCAAGGCCTCAATGTGCCTCTCTCTACCCACAAAGTTACCTCCCCTTACAGTTCAGGGGCCCCCATCTCCCTGCTACCACAGACACTGGAACATACTTTGTGTGGATTGTCAAGCAGCAGCATCTGAGATATCACAGCTGGAGGCATCAAAGGACTGAATGCAGGAAGCTTGGAGCTGGATGCCGGCTGCAGCTTCACTCTCATTGACTATCAGGGGAAGAAAACCAACATGTAACTCATTCCTAACCACAGCTTCTAGGATGGAGATCAGGTGAGGGGGAGCTGGACCTCCCCAACACCCCTCCAAGAGGAAATGGCCCTCTTAAACGTGGTACCCCGAGGCACCTATGGGAGCCCAAGCAGACAGACTCCCACTAATTGATAAAAGGATCTAAGAGGCCTTTCCTTCCACACACAGAATGGATCGGGAGTTGTGTGGTCAATAACCGGCATCTGAGACGCAGCATCAACAGCCAGGGCACATCTTGGGTTGAATTCTAACTGCTTCTCACTAGCTCTGTGACCTTGAGTAAAATATTTAATTTCTGAGCCTTGGGTTAACTTATAAAACAGAGGTAGTAGCAGAACATTGCCCATAGGACTACCGTAAGAAGTAGAGACTGCAGGTCATATTTTTGTCTGTCTCGAATCTTTTCCTTTCAGGACAGGCCCCTTCCCCTGTGACTGTGGGGTGCCTGTTAATCAGTAGGGCCCCACTTCCCTTGAAAAGGGATGGATGTTATCTCACATTGGCCAAGTGTCTCATATCCCAGGATACAAGTTCCTGGTCCAAGGTATGGAAGTAACACCAACAAGCCCAATCAGAGCCCTTTCCTGGGTAATCAATATATGTGCTTCATGCCCGGTGAGAGTTTCTGAGATAAAGAGGGTTAAGGACCATGCAACCCTGGAGCTGTGGGTAGCCACTTTCCTGTTTGTGGAGAAACTGTCAGAATGGTGCCAAAGAAAAGCAGAGTCAAGAGATACAGATTCTTAAGGCATTGTTTAAGAACCTATTTGGATTCACTCATATCTGAAGTCAGATATTCAGGAATCCCCAGTCAGGTAAGCCATTACATTCCCACTTTATCTTCAGTTAGTTTGAGTGAAGATTCTTTCCTTGACACTCGACAGGTAAGTCCCAGAAAAGAACCTGGCACTCAAAAACGACAGCCATTACTGAGAAATCCCCAACAGATGACTCACCTTTGGCACAGCCACTTGAAACATGATATCCCAGACAGGCTGGGGAGCCGTGCTCATCATGGTCAAGAGCAGCACCTGTACCTCTGGGTGCCCAGGGGCTCCCGTCTGGGAGAAGTGGAGCAGAATTCTGAATCCATTCCGGTCATACACAATGAGAGGCGGCAGGCTGCCTGGTATAAAGGGCACAAGCAGAAGGTTTAACACCACTACAAACCCCCCGGACAGCCAGGCTGGAAAGAGATGTACATGTTATCCCCAGATGCTGTTGCTTCTCCATGCAGAACATGTCCAGGACTGAATTCCTCTGCACTACCATAATCCAAGTCCTCATGACTCTAGCTGGACTCCTATGACCCTCCAAACTGACCTTTCCCCACCATCCAACCATCATACACACACCACCAGTTATTAAAAATCACATTTTTGAGGAAGATACGATCATTATTAAAATAATGCATGAACACTATAGAAAATAGAGAATTATCAGCCAGGCGTGGGGGCTCACGCCTGTAATCCCAGCACTTTAGGAGGCCAAGGCGGGTGGATCACTTGAGGTTAAGAGTTCAAGACCAGCCTGGACAACATGGCAAAACCCCATCTCTACTAAAAATACAAAAATTAGCTGGGCATGGTGGTACACACCTGTAATCCCAGCCATTTGAGAGGCTGAGGCACGAAAATCACTTGAACTCGGGAGGCGGAGGTTGCAATGAACTGCACTCCAGCCTAAGTGACAGAGCGAGACTCTGTCTCAAACAAACAAACAAACAAAAAACAAAAAGCCACACACACACAAAAACAGGATTATCATTAAAAAATGAAATAAATGCTTTTTTTTTTTTTTTTTTTTTTGGACAGACTTTCGCTTTTGTTGCCCAGGCTGGAATGCAATGGCATGATCTTGGCTCACCGCAACCTCTGCCTCCCGGATTCAAACGATTCTCCCACCTCAGCCTCCCTAGTAGCTGGGATTACAGGCATGCACCACCACGCCTGGCTAATTTTTGTGTTTTTAGTAGAGATGGGATTTCTCCATGTTGGTCAGGCTGGGGGAGGTCAGGCCTCAAACTCCCGACCTCAGGTGATCCGCCCACCTTGACCTCCCAAAGTGCTGGGATTACAGGCGTGAGCCACTGCACCCGGCCAATGCATTCTTAATTCTACCCAGAAATAAGCACTTACTTCCTTCTGGTCTCTTTTATATGAGTACAAACACACACATATGCTCACACACACACAATATACCACCTTATATTTAATTGTACAAAACTGTAGATACCAAATCACCTCAAATTAATAAGTTTAATAACATTCCAATGGAAATTCTAAAGAGACTTTTAATTTAGCTAAGGAGTGACTCTAATGTTTATTTGAGGGGGGAAAACTATGTAAGACTGACCAATAAATTTAAAAAGGGGGGCAGGGCTATAGCAAATACTCAGATAAAATTACAATTCAAGTAAAGTGACATAAACAAAACGTGTGGAACAGATCTAAATGAGACTGTAACATAACATATCCTTCAAAAATCAGGGCTGGCTCAATGAATGGCACTCAGACTGGTTAATCAGCTAAAAAAAAAACCTTAATATCAAAATATACATTACTAAAATATAGCTTAGAGCTGGGTATGGTGTCTCATGCCTGTAATCCCAGCTACTCAGGAGGCTGAAATGGGAAAACTGCTTGAGGTCAGGAGTTCAAAACCAGCCTGGGCAATACAGTGAGATCTGCCTCCCACCCTCAAAAAGACAATAAAAATTTGCTGGGTGTGGTGGTGCATGCCTGTCATTCTAGCTACCTGGGGGTCTGAGGCAGGAGGATTGCTTGAGCCCAAGAAGAATATGAGGCTGCAGTGAGCTATGACTGTGCCACCGCACTCCTGCCTAGGCGATGGAGCGAGGCCCCATCTCTAAAAAAATTTAAAAAAAAATTAAAACATAGTTTAACAATGAAACTACCAAAGATTTAAGAGACTGAAAATACCAGTGGGGTATGGTGGCAAGAGTATGGGGAAAAAAAGCAACCTTTTCAGACGGGAAATTGGTAATGCAGATCAAAATTTTAAATGTCTACATGTGGCATTTCACTGGTATTATGATCTCCTCATAATCAGGAAGGTATAAAGAAAGGCATCCAAAGATGTTCTTTGTAGCCCTGGCATCCAAAGATGTTCTTTGTAGCCCTGGTTTTTTTTTTTTTTTTTTTTTTTTTTTTAGACACAGTCTCACTGTGTCACCCAGGCTGGAGTGCAGTGGCGCAATCTCAGCTCACTGCAACCTCCGCCTCCCAGGTTCAAGCGATTCTCTTGCCTCAGCCTCCCAAGTAGCTGGGACTACAGGCGCCCACCACCACGCCTGGCTAATTTTTTTTGTAGTTTTTAGTAGAGACAGGGTTTCACCATGTTGGCCAGGTTGGTCTCAAACTCCTGACCTCAGGTGCTCCACCCACCTTGGCCTCCCAACGTGCTGGGATTACAGGCATGAGCCACCACACCCAGCCTGTAGCCCTGTTTTTAACAGCAAACAGGTAGAAAGAAATTGACCTTCAGAGAAGGACTTAATAAGCTGGACATAGTGGCGCATGCCTGTAGTCCCAGCTACTTGGGAGGCCAAGGTGGGAGGATGGCTTGAGCCTGGAGGATGGAGGTTGTAGTAAGCTGAGATGGCGCCACTGCACTCCAGCCTGGGTGATAGGGCCAGACCTTGTCTCAAAAATAAAATAAAATAAAATAATTTAAAAAAAAAGACTGAATAGGGCCGGGCGCAGTGGCTCACGCCTGTAATCCCAGCACTTTGGGAGGCCGAGGTGGGCAGATCACGAGGTCAAGAGATCGAGACCATCCTGGCTAACACGGTGAAACCCTGTCTCTACTAAAAATACAAAAAAGTAGCTGGGCGTGGTTGTGGGCACCTGTGTCCCAGCTACTCGGGAGGCTGAGGCAAGAGAATGGTGTGAATCCAGGAGGTGAAGCTTGCAGTGAGCCGAGATCATGCTGCTACACTCCAGCCTGGGTGACAGCGAGACTCTGTCTCCAAAAAAAAAAAAAAAAAGACTGAATAAACAGATTACAGTACCTCTACTTAATAGTGCATATATATATAAGTTCATTAAAAATCAAGTTTTTAAAGAACAACTAAGGGCATAAAAATGGTATAGGCTTATAAAGTAACAGTAAATAGAGTATAAAACATTCTATACACACTGTGGTATCAAATTATTAAGAACTGTATGTACATATATATGTATATGATAAGACAAGAAAATCTATCAAGACATGAAGAGAATTTCCATCTCTGGCTGTTAATGGTATAGATGATTTTACTTTTCTAGTCTTTTTTTTTTTTTTTTTTTTTTTTTTAGACAGAGTCTTCTCTGTTGCTCAGACTGAAGCGCAGTGGCACGATCTCAGCTCACTGCAACTTCTGCCATCTGGGTTCAGGTGATTCTCCAGGCTCAGGCTCCTGAGTAGCTGGGATTACAGGTGTACATTACCACACCCAGCTAATTTTTATATTTTTAGGGTTTCACCATGTTGGCCAGGCTGGTCTCGAACTCCTGACCTCAAGTGATCTGCCCACCTTGGCCTCCCAAAGTGCTGGGATTACAGGCATGAGCCACTGCGTCTGGCCTATTCTATCTTTAATAAAACTCTACATTTTGAACATGTATTTTTGTTTTTAACTTTTTTATTTTTTAAAGTTTGTTTTGTAATAATTTCAGACTTATAAAAAGTTATAAAACTAATACAAAAATTTCTATATACCCTTCATGTAGCTTCCCCAGATGTTAACATCGTAACTACAATACAGTTATTGAATTCAGAAAATTAACATTGAACATGTATTATTTCTTAAATCAAAAATCAATAAAGAAATGTGCAAAGAGCTCCCATTGTTTATCAACTCTGTTTATTTATAAATTTGTCTGCCTGGCTTTCAGGGCTCTCTGCAATCTAACCTCACCACAAAGAGCCATAGGAGGGCTCTGTGCTAAAGAGTCCAGGCCCTGGAACAGACGACCTGAGTTGTGTCCTGCTCTGCATACTGGTGTAGAGACGGTAGGCACCTTAATTAGCCGAGCCTTCCATTTCCTTCCCTTTTAACAGAGATAATATCCACTTTTCTGCCTTAAGGAGGATCCCTAGAGAAGGAGGATCACTAGCCAAATTCATCCACTCGTTTGAATTCTACCTCTTGCCAGTCATTTCAGGCCACATTAAACATTCCCTTCTTGAATCCCAACCCAAATCAACGAACATTATGTGCCTAAGTAAGCCTTTTAATTAAATTCTGCCTGCCCATATCCTTGACAGTGTCAATACTAAGGAAGGCTAAGAAATCAGCTAAAAGACAAAGAAGCAAACTTTTTTTTTTTTTGGAGACGGAGTCTCACTTTGTCACCCAGGCTAGAGTGTGGTGGCATGATCTTGGCTCACTGCAACCTCCACCTCCTGGATTCAAGCAGTTCTCCTGCCTCAGCCTCCCAAGTAGCTGGGATTACAGGCATGCACCACCATGTCCAGCTAATGTTTGTATTTTTTGTAGAGAGAGGGCTTCGTTATGTTGGCCAGGCTGGTCTGGAACTCCTGGCCTCAAGTGATCACCTGCCTTGGCCTCCCAATTTTTTTCTTCCCCCCCAAATAGAGACAAGGCTATGTCGCCCAGGCTGGTCTCAAACTCCTGGCCTCAAGTGATCCTCCCACCTCAGCCTCCCAAAGTGCTGGGATTACAGGCGTGAGTCACCATACCTGGCCACAACCTCTTACTTTCTGCCCTCATGCAAAATCTCTCCCATTTATCAACCAAATTTAAGGGCCACCTCTATCAAACTGGAGTGGAAAAAGCTGGGAGTCTAATAGATTCCCAGGGAAAAAAAAAAAAAGGTGGGGAGTGAAATTGTACTTACTGGGCTTAACAGACTCCAAAGGGACAAACACTTGAGCCAGAGGTGTATTCTGTGAAGATGGGGAAGGAGCCAACGGGCCAGCCTCCCAGGACCAACCTGGAGAGGACTTAGTACCTGGTGGCACTTCCTTGGGGACACTTTTCTGCGAAACATAATTCCTACAAAGAAATAAAAAATATCAAAGACTAGCAAAAATTGTAGCGATTTCCTGGAATCTGGGTTAGGCTTATTAAAGAACAAGGAAAAAATAACACACACACACACACAGAGTTAGATGTTATATGCCTTTTTTTTTTTTTTTTTTGATACAGTATCTCGCTCTGTTGCCCAGGCTGGAGTGCAATCGAACAGTCTCGGCTCACTGCAACCTCTGCCTCCCAGGCTCAAGCGATTCTCCTGACTCAGCCTCCCGAGTAGCTGGGATTACAGGCACCTGCCACCATGTCCGACTAATTTTTGTATTTTTATTAGAGACAGGGTTTCACCACGTTGGCCGCGCTGGTCTCAAACTCTTGACCTCAGGTGATCCGTCCGCCTCGGCCTCCCAAAGTGCTGGGATTACAGGCGTGAGCTAATGCGCCAGATGTTATATGACTTTTGTCAAGTAATCGAACTCATACCTCAGCTTCCTCATCTGTTAAATGGGAATAACAGAAGTAATTTACCTCCTAGGGCTACTGTAAGAATCAAATGAGACGATGTATGAAAAGCACTTAGAGGCTGGGCACGGTGGCTCACGCCTGTAATCCCAGCATTTTGGGAGGCCGAGGCAGGTGGATCATTTGAGGTCAGGAGTTCAAGACCAGCCCGGCCGACATGGTGAAACCCCATCTCTACTAAAAATACAAAAATTAAAAAAAAATAAAAAATAAAAAATTAGCCAGGTGGTGGTGGCACACGCTTGTAATACCAGCTACTCAGGAGGCTGAGGCAGGAGAATGGCTAGAGCCTGGGAGGCGGAGGTTGTGGTGAGCCGAGATCACACTACTGCACTCCAGCCTGGGCAACAGAGTGAGACTCCATCTCAGGAAAAAAAAAAGAAAAAAACAAAAGCACTTAAAATGTCCACACATAATAAGAACCCAATAACCTAGAGCCTTTGTTATGAAGGTTGTTCATGTTGTACCTGTCGGGCAGTCCCTGACAATAAGTAGCTCAGTCAGGTTGTTTCCCAGGTGTGATCACAAAGGGACTTGAGCCAGGCAGATGATACACAAATTATACCAGCTACTATCCACTCCATGATTTTGTTCATTTGGGACACAAACTGAAAACATTTTAGAAAACTAAAGTCCTGAGAGGAGAAATAACCCACCCTGCCCGAGTGGCTGAAAAAAAGAAGACTGCAAGAAATGACCTCTGGGTGGCAAATGGGAATGAACTCCCAGGACATCCCACTTCTGCCTGAGCCTGGTGGTTTCTATCAGGAACATGGGCACTTTCAGGCTGTTTGGGTGAAGGTAAGCTGCACTTTTCCAGAGGCAAAGGGACAGGATCTATGAAAATGTTGTTACATTCACACCTTAGAGAACCTCTCCCTTCAGGGATCTATACTATAAGGCACTCCCCCAAGCACCTCCAAACCAGAAATTATGTAAATGTCCAAAAAAGGGAAATGATCAAATACATCCATGCAATAAATTGTAATGTAGCTATTAAGACTGAGGCATATTTATAGAAACTGATATGAAATGCATCACAGATATAATATGAAAAGGTCATGCTGGAGTGCGGTTTATAAATTAAAATCCTGTTTGTGTAACAAGACACAGGAATGTACCACTACATGTATACAAAAAAAGCAAAAAAGGAACGTTCAACCTTGTTTTTAGGGAGTGGCACTTTGCACTTTGTTGTATGTTTCTCCATGGATCAAATTTTGCTTAACTTCAATTATATGGTTATTAGAAGGGAAAACAAAAACAAACGGCAAAAACCTCATGTTCTACTACTCCTAGTCCTTAAATAAACCTCTTTTCAGATGTCTTGGCCAAAGCAGGTATTTTCCTACGACTTAGGAAAAGAAGTAAAATGAGAAAAGGGAAGCAGCACATTAAACTTTTTTTGAGACAGGGTCTCACTCTGCTGCCCAGGCTGGAATGCAGTGGCATAGTAATGGCTCACTGCAGCCTCGACTTTCCGGGCTCAAGTGATCCTTCTACCTCAGCCTCCTGAGCAGCTGGGACTACAGTCATGACCTACCACGCCTGGCTAATTTTAGTATTTTTTGTAGAGATGGGGTTTTGCCATATCTCCCAGGCTGGTCTTGAACTCCAGGGCTCAAGCGATCCACCTGCCTTGGCCTCCCAAAGTTCTGGGATTACAGGTATGATATGGTTTGGCTGTGTCCCCACCCAAATCTCATCTTGAATTGTAGCACCCACAATTCCCACATGTTGTAGCAGGGACCCAGTAAGAGATAACTGAATCATGGGTGCAGTTTCCCCATACTGTTCTCACGGTAGTAAGTCTCATGAGACCTGATGGTTTTATAAGGGGAAACCCTTTTTCGTTTGGCTCTCATTCTCTCGTCTGCTGCCACATAAGACACGCCTTTTGGCTGAGTGTGGTGGCTCATGCCTGTAATCCCAGCACTTTGGGAGGCTGAGGCAGACGGATCATGAGGTCAAGAGATCGAGACAATCCTGGCTAACACAGTGAAACCCCATCTCTACTAAAAAAAAATACAAAAAATTAACCGGGTGTGGTGGCACACGCCTGTAATCCCAGCTACTCAGGAGGCTGAGGCAAAAGAATCGCTTGAACCTGGGAGGCAGAGGTTGCAGTGAGCTGAGATCGCGCCACTGCACTCCACCCAGGGCGACAGAGCGAGACTCCATCTCAAAAACAAACAAACAAACAAAAACACATGCCTTTTGCCTTCCGCCATGACTGGGAGGCCTCCCCAGCCACATGGAACTATGAGTCCATTAAACCTCTTTTTGTTTTTAAATTACACAGTCTTGGGTATGTCTTTATCAGCAGTGTGAAAACAAGTACAAGGCATGAGCCACTGCACCTGGCCTAAACTTTCAATAGAAAGATGTTTCTTGGCCAGGCAGACGGATCACCTGAGGTCAGGAGTTTGAGACCAGCCTGGCCAACATGGTGAAACCCCGTCTCTACTAAAAATTAAAAAAAAAAAATTAGCTGGGCATGGTGGCGCGTGCCTGTAATCCCAGCTACTTGGGAGGCTGAGGCAGGAGAATCGCTTGAACTCAGGAGGTAAAGGCTGTAGTGAGCCGAGATTGTGCCACTGCACTCTAGCCTGGGCAACAGAGTGAGACCCCGTCTCAAAAAAAAAAAAAAAAGAAAAAAAGACAAAAAAAAAAAAAAGAAAGAAAGAAAGATGTTTCTCCAGGGCGAGAGGCTGTCTTAGAGCACCATTCTCTGGCCCTTGTCCCATGAGAAGGAACCGCACTCAGGAGCCACACTCTCCCACTCCCCTTGCCCAGAAGACTCACAGAGGGCACGGAGCTGGCTGTGCTGAGAGGAGGTCCAGCAAATTCCTGTCTGCAGAAGGGTTCTGAACACCACCGCCTGGCAGCGTGCTGGAGGAGGGATTCCTCTTTTCCTCACAGCAATTCTGACCAGAAACCTGTCAAATCAGGAATGGCTAAAATAAGACCAGGGTATGAATGACCATCAGCCACAGTAAAACCAAGGCACAGCTCTCCTGAGCCCACCCAAGCTGCTGTGGCCCAGACTGGTGACATCTCTTGGGGCAAGAGGGGAAAGAAAGGGCAAGATCACATGCAGCTCCTGGGCAGACCTCCAGGAAGCAGGAGCCTGGTGCAACCTGTCTCCCCCAGGTATCAGCCAGACAGTATGGGTGAGGAAGAGGCTTTGGACCTCCAAGGCCATGATCCCACCGGGACAGTGCAGGAGCACCTCTCTGCTCGCCAGGCAGTGCTGCCTCACAAGGGCAGGTCTGAGACCCTCCCATTCTCTCTCCGGGCCCTGGGAAGGGCATCCTTACCATGCCTGTAACAGGAGCATCACTGATTCCTGTAAGAAAGGAGTAGAGTGAGATGCCTAACAGTAACTCCACCTGCTTCCAGATGAAGAGTAATGCCACACCCATCCTTTCTAGGACATCCAGAAAGTCTAGACAAATAAGCAACTTACTGAAGGTCATGTGACTCGTCCATGGCCAATCTGTGACTAATATGCAAGGGGGACCCTCTGAACTGCCCAGAACACCTGATTCCCTTGGCAGCAGGTATGTGCTCCCCAAGGGAACCAGCTCACTCTCCTACTCACAACCACCCTGATTGCCTCAGCAGCAGGTATGTGCTTCCTGAGGGGACCAGCTCACTCCCCTACTCAAAACCACCCTGATTCCCTCAGCAGCAGGCATGTGCTTCCTGAGGAGACCAGCTCACTCCCCTACTCAGAACCCTGCTGATTCTCTCAGCAGCAGGCACTTGCTCCCAGAGGGAACCAGCTCACTCCCCTACTCACACCCATCCCGATTCCCTCAGCAGCAGGCATGTGCTCCCTGAGGGTCCAGCTCACTCTCCTACTCACAACCACCCTGATTCCCTCAGCAGCAGGTATGTGCTCCCTCAGCAGCAGACACGTGTTCTCCGAGGGTCCAGCTCACTCCCCTACTCACACTCTCCCTGACTTGCTCAGCAGCAGACACGTGCTTCCCAAGGGGACCAGCTCACTCCCCTACTCACACCCATCCTGACTCCCTCAGCAGCAAGCACGTGCTCCCAGAGGGAACCAGCTCACTCTTCCTATTCACAACCATCTCGACTCCCTCAGCAGCAGGCATGTGCTCCGCGAAGGGAACCAGCTCACTCCCCTACTCGCACCCATCCTGTGCCTGCTCCCCACAAGCACCTGCCCTCACCCAAGGCTGCCAGGTCCTGATGAAGCAAAGATGGCACCACAGTCCCCATCTGCGCAGGTCCATTGTCCACCTCCAAGTCAATCAGGGGGCAGGTCTTCATGCAGCCTGCTGGATTCTGAAAGACTAGAAAGCCCAGGGTTAGGAAGAGAAGTCAGTTGGACATGAGAGCAAAGTCTCCACATAAATCCTATCAGCTTCCCTCAGACCACCTCCTAATCAAATGGTAACGCCCTCCCTGCCCTTCCAAGAACCTTCCACTCAGCTGAGTGTCCTGACACACAAGCTCAGCTGGCATCCAAGACAAGAGGGAGCCAAGGCCTGCCTTCCTACCCCAGGGATCATAGGCCCTCCTGCAAAGATCCCATCACTCTGGAGGAAAGCAGATTCGGCCTTCTCCAGCTCAGGCCATTCTGAGGCTTCTGACCACAGCTGATTAGAATCACCCACAGTGCTTGAAAGACGCACACCTCCAGGCCCAGCTCCAAGCAGTCTTGATTCAGAAGGTCCAAGCCAGGGACCGCATTTCAACCAGTGCTCCAGGTGATTCTGATACAGCTGACCTGGCACTAGGAACCACTAAGGAAGATCATTTCTTTTGTCTCTAGCTCCTGTATGCAAGCATTTATGAGAATTCAAACGCAGGCACAGCTTAGCCATCTGCTTTTGTGTGTAGTCAAAGCTGGGGTCCAGCCCGGCAACCAGCTCATGACAATTCCTATGGCTGGGTGTGGCAACATATCCACTTTCACAGGAAGGGGAACAAAGGGCGAGTTCTCTCATTTCTATTCCTTAACCCAGAATATGTTTAGGACCCATTTCTTTTCTGGGAATTACAGGCTGCCCCAAGGCAGAGAAGGCAAGGAGAAGCTTTCAAACATACCTCTGGAGACAGGGATGTCTCCCAATGAGCTGGTCACTCTGTTTCCAAAGGTGACCCGGCCCTCCATCACCTGTTTGTACAGCAGAACTCCTTGGGTGAGGAGGTCATTTGCCTGGAGAATTTCCGCTGAAGAATGAGGGAAGACTCAGAACCCCCTGGTTTGGCAACCAACAATCTCAGTCTTTTCTAAGCTTTTCCATAAAACAGCCTTCATATGGCTAGACTATGTTCAGTTTATCCACACCTCCTGCCTCCAGGTTGTGTCATCGGACCCTATCAGGCCTAGTCAGTTAACCTGAGTCCTAACATGTTAGTAGTTCTCAATGCAGAAGGAAGCAAATCTGTTCACCTTCTACACCTGTACTGTCCAGAGTAATGGCCAGCAGTAAGCACTCAAATTAAGGCCCTTTCAATAACAAACTTTTAACTTTAACTCAGAATCTGAAGCTGCTGGCTCTGTGCAGTGGCTCATGCCTATAATCCCAGCATTTTGGGAGGCCGAGGCGGGTGGATCACCTGAGGTCAGGAGTTCGAGACTATCCTGGTCAAAATGGTGAAACCCAGTTTCTACTAAAAATACAAAAAATCAGCCGTGGCAGGTGCCTGTAATCCCAGCTATTCGGGAGGCTGAGGTGGGAGAATTGCTTAAACCCAGGAGACGGAGGTTGCAGCGAGCTGAGATCGCACCATTGCACTCCAGCCGGGGCAGCAAGAGCGAAACTCCATCTCAAGAAAAAAAGAAATATCAGAAACAGAACATGAGCAGCATCATGGGGGATGCCACGAGCAAAACTGAGACCGAGAGAACTGTCAATTCAGAGGGCCTATTTTCATGCAAGGAAAAAAGGCTGTGTGTGGTGGTTCACGCCTGTAATCCCAGCACTTTGGGAAGCCAAGGCGGGCAAATCACTTGAGCCCAGGAGTTTGAGACCAGCCTGGCCAACATGGCAAAACTCCATCTCTACTAAAAGTACAAAAATTAGCCAGGTGTGGTGGTGCGCAACTGTAGTCCCAGCTACTCAGGAGGCTGAGGCATGAGAATCGCTTGAACACAGGATGTAAAGGCTGTAGAGGCTACAGTGAGCTGAGCACGCCACTGGACTCCAGCCTGAGCAACAGAGTGAGACTGTCTCAAAAAAAAGGAAAAAGGATTGCAGAGGGCATGCACATGCTATCCACTAAGAGAGACAGAAGAAATATAAACCAATTATATGGCTTTTCTTTTATGTCTGATTTAGAACAATTTTTTTTTTTTAAGTTAGCAAGAGATGATTAAGGAGAAATTTTATCAGGGCAATCTGAACACTGACTGAATCTTTGATTATTCTGAAATGTCCAGAGGCCGGGGATCGTGGCTCACGCCTGTAATCCCAGCACTTTGGGAAGCCGAGGCAGACGGATCACTAGAGGCCAGAAGTTTGAAACCAGCCTGGCCAAAATGGTGAAATGTCATCTTACAAAAATACAAAATTAGCCAGGCGTGATGGTGGGTGCCTATAATCCCAGCTACTTGGGAGGCTGAGGAAGGAGAATGGCTTGAACCAGGGAGGTAGAGGTTGCAGTGAGCCAAGACTGCACAACTGCACTCTAACCTGGACGACAGAGCGAGACTCCATCTCCAAAATAATTAAAAGAAAAAGAAATGTCTAGAATTTGCTTCAAAACAGACTAGGGAATGGGTGTGTACAAAGAGAGGTACAGATGAAGTAAGATTAAAAAAATCAGCTATGAGCTGGTAATTATTAAAGATGAGTGAAGAATATATAGGTTTTACTATTCCCCTCTCTCATGTTTCGAGATTTTCCACAATAAAGAGTTAAAATTCTTTTTTAGTAACTGTGGACAATTCTCCACTTCCTTACAGATGTACCTTCCATTTCCCATCGGCCTGGCCCTCTTAGTTGACCTACCTGGCCCCTGAAGGTACAAAAGCCCGTGATCCCCTTGAGACACCACCCACAGCTGTTTCTCTGGCCCCTGCGATTGGTCAGCTTTTCCTGAAGCCTCCAGTGGGATCTTTCTTCTACCTCTCACACCCCAATCTCCATGGTCAATTTCCACTTCTTTTCAGGCTTTAGACCTGCTGCTGATTTCTTACTGAAGCCTGGATCCTGCTGGAAGTCAGTTCTGAGGCAACTCAGGCCACACCCTCCCCAAGCCCAAGCTCCACGGAACCGAAAGTCCACTCTGTCTTGTTCCTGGCACAGCAGTGTGACAGGAGGGACCGAGTCTGTCTTGCACCTGGGCTGCTAGCTACACCCAAGGAAAGAAAACTTACCGAGTGCATCATCGTCATCAGTGGTGTCACTCGCCAACCGGAACAGCGTGGGCCGCAGCTTTTCACACCTCTCATACACGACCTGAAAGAGCAGAGCTTGGTTCATGACACACGCCCAGGCACCCCATAACGCCCCCCTCCAGGGCCCCAGGAGCCTTCGATCAGGCAGACGGCAGAGTCTGGGGCTTCAGAAGGCCTCCCAATGGTCCTGACTTAGAGACTGCAGTTTTGAAGTAACATGACAGAGTTTCAGAAAAAGACTACAGGCTACAAGTGTATGATTTCTGAAAATAAAATAATCTGACCGGGCAGGGTGGCTCACGTCTGTAATCCCAGCACTTTAGGAGACCAAGGTGGGCTGATCACCTGAAGTCAGGAGTTCAAGACCAGCCTGGCCAACATGGTGAAACCCTGTCTCTACTAAAAATACAAAAGTTAGTGGGTGCCTGTAATCCCAGCTACTCGGGAGGCTTTCTCTTAGGAATTTGGAAAGACAGTAGTTCATTTCTACTAATCTTGTGAAGTGGAAGGACAGGTAAATAAAGAAGTTACGTGGAGGCTGGCTCTCCTCCTGTGCAGAGAGACATAAAAAACTGGAATGCAGAGGGAGATGGCTGAAACAGACCTGCAGAAGGAGGTGGAGAACAGAGTTCCAAGGGAGACCAACAGCATGGCTGCCTCGAACCTGGCACAGACAGGCTGTGGTTTCTTTTTGATTGTTTGTTTTTTTGGTTTTTTTTTGAGACAGAGTTTCACTGTTGTTGCCCAGGCTGGAGTGCAATGGTGTGATCTCAGCTCACCGCAACCTCCGCCTCCTGGGTTCAAATGATTCTTCCTGCCTCAGCCTCCTGAGTAGCCGGGATTACAGGCATGCGCCACCACGCCCGGCTGATACTGTATTTTTAGTAGAGATGGGGTTTCTCCATGTTGGTCAGGCTGGTCTTGAACTCCTGAACTCAGGTCATCCGCCTGCCTCGGCCTCCCAAAGTGCTGGGATTACAGGCATGAGCCACTGCGCCCGGCTGGGCTGTGGTTTCTTAGATGTGATAACAAAAGCACCAGGAAGACATTAAAAAAAAAAAAAGGCCAGGCATGGTGGCTCATGCCTGTAATCCCAGCACTTCAGGAGGCCAAGGCAGGTGGATCACCTCAGGCCAGGGTTCAAGACCAGCCTGGCCAACATGGTGAAACCCTGTCTCTACTGGCCAGGCACAGTGGCTCACACCTGTAATCCCAGCACTTTGGGAGGCTGAGACGGGTGGATCACCTGAGGTCAGGAGTTCGAGACCAGCCTAACCAACATAGAGAAACCCTGTCTCTACTTAAAAAAAAAAAAAAATACAGAATTAGCCAGGCGTGCTGGCACATTCCTGTAATCCCAGCTCCTCGGGAGGCTGAGGCAGGAGAATCGCTCGAACCCGGGAGGCAGAAGTCGTGCGGAGCTGAGATCACGCAATTGCACTCCAGCCTGGGCGACAGAGCGAGACCTTGTCTCAAAAAACAAAACAAAACAAAACTCCCGCTTCAAAAGATGCTATCAAAATAGTGAAAAGACAGCCCAAAGGAAGGGAGAAAACTGTCTGATAAGGAACCTGTATCCAGAATATATAAAAAACGCTTGTAACTCAAAAAAGACAATCCAAAAGATGGGCAATGGATTTGCACAGACATGTCTTCTAAGATGCACAAGCTGCCAATGAGCATAGGAAATAAATAAGCCATCAAGAAACAGAAAGTTGCAATGAGACAGTACTTCACACCCTCCAGGAGGACTCCAATCAAAAAGATAACAGCAAATGTTGGCAGGATGCAGAGAACTGGAGCCAATACATTGCTGCTGGGAATGTAAAATGGCATGGCCACTTTGGAAAACAGCTTGGCAGTTCCTCAAAATGTTAAATATGGAGTTACCCCAAGATCCAGCAATTCCATTTCTAGGTATATACCCAAGAGAATTTAAAACCTATGTTCACATAAAAACTTGGACAAAGTTCAAAGTCATTATTCGTAATGAATAATTCAAAGGCATCATTCATAATAGCCAAAAAGTAGGAACAACCCAAATGCCCATCAGCTGATAAATGGAGAAACAAACTGTGGCATAGCCACACAATGGAACGCTATCCAGCCATGAAAAGGAATGAAGCAGTGACACATTACCAGATGGATGCACCTGCAAACATTAGGCTACGTAAAGGAAGCCAGACACGAAAGCCCACGTATTGTGCAACCGCATTTGGACGAAGCATCCAAATAAGCAAATCCAGAGAGACAGAAAGTGGATTAGTGGTTGCCAGGGACTGGGGAAAGGGGAGTTTGGGAAAGGGGGAATGACTGTTAATGGGTACAAGGTTTCTTTTAGGGGTGATTAAGATATTCTATAACTAGGTAGGTGTGATGGTTGCTTTTATGGTATGTTAATTATCTCATAAAGATGCTATATAAAAACCAAGATCTCAAGATGTGGAGGAGCTAGAACTTGCATATGCTGCTGTTAGGACTGTAAAATGGTGCAATCACCCTTGAAGATAGCTTAGCCACTTTGTTTCCTAACAAGTTAAATATATACTTAGCATATGACCTAGTAATCCCAGACATTTACCCATAAGAAATGAAAATCGATGTTCACACAAAATCCCGTACAAAATTGTTTACAGTAGCATGATTCACAATCACCCAAAGCTGGAAACAACGCAAGGCCCATCAACAGGTACATGCTGTGGTACATCCAGGTGACGGGACAGTACCCGGCAATAAGAAACAAGCTACTGCTACACACAGCAACGTGAATGGATCTCGAGTGAGATCCAGAAACCAGGCAAAAATAGAGGGTTATGTACTGCATCATTCCATTTATACAAGAGTCTGGGAGTTGTCAGCCAATCAGAACAGAAAGCAAATTAGCAGCTGCCTGGGGACTGGGGAGCAAGGGACAGACAAAGGGAGGACAAAGCAGCACAACGACATTTGGGGAGGTGTCAGATATGTTTACCGTCTTGACTCTGAGATGGCTTCATGGGTGCAAACAGGTGAAAGCATTTCAAACCCACTTTAGTAAACATGTGCAGCCCCCTGTGTTACACCTGTATTACCTGCAGGGCCTCCTGGTCGGGCGGGGCCTGCCCTGGCCTGCGGTACATGCTCAGCATCTCCTGCAGCACCTTCACATGGCTTCGCACTTCCTCCACCGCACTGACCCTCTTGGACACCTTCTCCGATTTTTCTTGTTCCTTTTGGGAAAAAGAGGAGGATGGGAGTGAGGGAGCAGAAACCCTGGCTGAAGCCTGAACAAGGGATGGGAAAGAGTCACTATTGAGAGAGCTCGCTCAGGGGCATCACCAGGATGTTAAGTGCATGGGAGAACTCACACAGTGGGTGAAAAAATACTCAAAAGCCCAGAGTTCCTGGGGAGGAAAATGCAGTTTGGGGACTGGTGACCATGACCTCTGCCTTTGTGCCACCAGCCTCAAGTCCTCTGAAAAGCAGATTCCTAAACCTGGACTTTGTCCATACCAATACCTGTTGCTGGGACCCAAGCTGGTGTCTAGGAAATGCTTTGAGCAGCATGGATGAAAGCAGCTGAGAAGTACGGCAGCGGGATTTCTGGTTCCAATCACCACCTTGCTGCCCTTGAGGGAGACTATGGCTGTTCCCCAGAGTTCAGGGCTAGGAGCCACTCTTTCTCCCAGGCAACCGTTCCTCTACCCCTCAAGCATAGGCTCATATGCACTGTCCTTCAGCCTCTGTCAAATGCTACTTCTACTGAACCAACTGGAAGAATGCCCACCTCCTTGACCAAATTCTTGATTAACCGGTTTGCAGCCTGAAGGTCCTCGGGGTGGTTGCTCTTTAGAAGCCTTGTCAGAAGCTGCAGAGAGTGAACAGGAAGAGTAGGTGAGACCACAACTCCCTCAGGCCTAGAGCAGAAGCAGCAGCAACAGAAGAGTTAACACTAACAACAGTGCACACATTTTACATGCACCATCTCACCAAATGGTCCAAGGACACTACGATGCAGGCACTCTGACTATCCCAATACACCACTGGTTTTCTTTTCTGTTGTTTTTTTTTTTTTTTTGAGACGGGGTCTTGCTCTGTTGCCAGGCTGGAGTGCAGTGGCGCAATCTCGACTCACTGCAACCTCTGCCTCCCGGGTTCAAGCAATTCTCCTGCCCCAGCCTCCCAAGTAGCTGGGACTATAGGCGCGTGCCACCATGCCCAGCTAATTTTTGTGTTTTTAGTAGAGACAGGGTTTCACCATGTTGGCCAGGATGGTCTCAATCTCTTGACCTCGTGATCCACCCACCTCGGCCTCCCAAAATGCTGGGATTACAGGCGTAAGCCAGCGTGCCTGGCCTGCCACTGGTTTTCAGTGGGGTAGGGGGATGTGGGGGTTACTTCTCCCAGGGGATGTCTGGCTAAGTCTGGAGAAATTTGGTTGTCACAACTAGAGAGGGGGTGCTACTGGCAGCTCGTGGGTAGAGTGAGGAATGCTGTGAACATCCTACAGTGCACAGGACAGTCCCCAACAACAGAGAATTCTCTGGCCCAAAAGGGGACTAGGTCTGCAGTTGCCCTGGACCATGTGCTTTATGACACAACAGACCCTGGTGATCTTGTTCATCCCTTCATTTCCAGCGCCCAGCAGGATGCCTGGCACAGAGAAGTCACTCAATCTTTGTGGGACGGATGGCAGGAAAAGTGGGGATAATGAGGGCTGGTGACACAGGATTGTTTCTCAGAAGTCACACCATACCTCCTTCCTAGCTCCTCCCACCCTCTGCAAACCTAAGGCACCAAGCAGGAGGAAAGCGGAGAAAGGTGGCCTGGAACCTAGACTAGCCTTGCTCATTCTAACAACAGGGACCTGATGGCCACAGAGTATCTAGGCCCAAGGAGTGGGTACAGGGAGAGGGTGCAGTTGACAGGCAGAGCATACCACGCAGAAACGAGTACGCAGCGTGTAGCCTTCCAACACTCCATGAACTAGACCTTGTGACTGACCAAGAACAGTCATGACCAAAAGCACCGCCAGCACTAGGCCAAAGGGCTCCCCACTCACAGGCACCACAGTTATCCCTGGGTCTTGGCCACCTTCTTCTTCTTGTCCCTCTAGATACTGATGTCCAAGGAATAACGGTTTGGGGAGTTCATGGTGGATGGAAAATGGATAGGGCCGGGCTCACTGGCACTGAGAAAGAGCTGAAGCAACACACAGCAGCAAGTTCTTCCACTGTCCCCACCCCAACACCACACCCACACAGGACATGACCCATCCATCACCCACACTCCCCACGGGCTATCCTTCTGCACCTTCTTTCCCCCAGGAAGGCTGTGCACAAAAGGGAGAGGGCACAAAGTACCCTTGAAGGAGGAGCAGGAATTATGTCCTGGGCCCAGATCTACACTGGGGTAAGGCAGGATCACAAACAGATCCTACCAAGACCCAGGATGCAGTGTCTGCCTAAGAACCAGGCTGAATCAAAACAGACTGGCCCTTATTAGTTGACTTATCCATGAAGAACGCACCCAAACCTTCTGCTACCTCACTCCTAAGGGCCTGTCTGGAGAGGAGAACCCATGTAACCTGCCCCCCTCCATACTCCGATTCAAGCATCAAAGGGCATTTACAGTGCCTAAGAGAAAAGGTCTGATCAGACACCATGTAGGTCTGTTTCCTTACCTTGGACTTTTCTTCATCAGCATCAAAGATGGAGCTCTTGGGCCAGGGAGATGGTGGGGGTAAGATTTTATCCACTGGTAGTTTAGGGTCTTGTTTTATAATTCCTAAAAATGCAATTTACAAAGTTAAGACACCGATATGGTACCCAGAAACTTCAGTCAGAATCCAGTATAAAGTCTGGAAACCCCTGGTTCCTAATACCATGCTAGCAAAGCACTGTCAACAGCCTTCAAAGACAACACCCAGTGTATGAACGAAGTTTTGCATCATCTCTTAGGAGAATCCAAGGGACCATGGTGGCCGGGACAGCAGAGCCAACTATGTCAGAGAAGAGCCAGTCCTGAAGGCCTGCAGTCTGTGGGCCTTATGCTGTAAAAGCATGGATCAGTTTATCCAGCTACATAACCTCCCAGGGATCAAAAGTTTCTGGAGGGTCCCTGATGAAGCTCCTGAAAATGCTGAGTGTATGTGACAGGGAACAACAGTCCATCCTGAACCTGAGTTCCTTCTTTTAAGAGCCCAACATAAAAAGGAATTCAGATTCCCATCTTCCAAACAGGACACACAAAGGTGGGAACTATCACCCCCATCGTGACAACAACAAAACACTGGAAAGTGTGCAAATTCACAATATTTTTGTTGTTTTTGAGACAGATTCTTGCTCTGTCTCCCAGGCTAGAATGCAGTGGTGTGATCATGGCTCGCTGCAGCCTCAAACTCCTAAGGTCAAGCAGTCCTCTCACCTTGGCCTCCCAAGTAGCTGGGACTACAGGTGGGCACCACCACACCCAGGTAATTTTTTTAAAAAATTTTTTGTAGAGATGGGGGTCTCGCTATGTTGCCCAGGCTGGTCTCAAACTCCTGGCCTCAAGTGATTCCTCACCTCAAACTCCCAAAGTGCTGGGATCACAGGCGTGAGCCACCATGCCCAGCCTACAGCTTCCCTGAATACATCAGAGAGCCCAGATCACAGGGCAACAACCAAGTAACCTGAAATCTAAGGAAAAAAACAACCTCCAAGGATTGACAAAAGGCAATACCAATAGTAACAACTAAGCTAGAATTATTTAAAAATTGTCTACAGGCCAGTGTGAGCTACCAAGAGAATACAGAATTTCTGGAGGCTGCAACAAAAAGAAAATAAGCTCTTCTCCAGAGGCTCACGAAAACAGCGGGAAGGCCTGAAGGCGGGATTAGGGGGAGAAGAGTAACAAACCCTGCAGCCTTAGAGCACCGGTGGAACCCACTGCAGCTAGAGAAAAAACAGGGGAGAAAAAACAAAAACAAACCCTAGTACCCTTGGAGGAGGAGCAGGAATTATGTCCTGGGCCCAGATCTACACTGGGGTGAGGCAGGATCACAAACAGATCCTACCAAGACCCAGGATGCAGTGCCTGCCTAAGAACCAGGCTGAATCAGAACAGAGACTGGCCCTGCCCGCCACCCTATCCCTCTGACAAGGGATGGCTGTCTACTGCTACGAGTGGCAAGAACAAGGAGAAAGGCTCTCTCTGAGGTGCAGAGGAAAGTGAAGACCTACAGCTGAGAGAACAGATACTGAAGAAAACTAACAAACTAGCTAGCCCCCAACCTAAACATCAGCTAACACTAGAGGAATCTGAAGTCTGATATAGTAACTACAGCAACAACAAATCTCACACCCAGCTCAAATCCTGTCTACCAAAAGGAAAGCTCTACCCAATTCCAGGGATTAAAAACTCCTTACCTCACTGATGGATATGCCAATTACCCTGATTTGATCACTACACATTGTATGCATGTACCAAAATATCACATTGTACTCCAATAAATGTGTATAAGTATGTGTCAATTAAAAATAAATCCACAGCCGGGAGCGGTGGCTCACGCCTGTAATTCCAGCACTTTGGGAGGCTGAGGCAGGCGGATCATTTGAGGTTGGGAGTTTGAGACCAGCCTGAGCAATGTGGTGAAACCCCATCTCTACTAAAAATACAAAAATTAGCCAGGCATGGTGGCAGGTGCCTGTAATCCCAGCTACTCGAGAAGCTGAGGCACAAGAATTACTTGAACCCAGGAGGCGGAGGTTGCAGTGAACAGAGATCGCCCCACTGCACTCCAGCCTGGGCAACAGAGTGAGACTCTGTCTCAAAAGAAAAAAAAAAAAAAGAAGTAAATAAAAATAAATCCACTAAATGATTACTGAAAGATCTTTTGTAACTATAAAATATTTTATGTCTGCACGTTGTTACTTTTATCACAATAGTATTTTTCAAACTCTAGCTCATAGGTAGCATTTATCTGTACTTCATAGTAAGGTTCCACTATTTCAGGAAAAGAGGTTAAAGATGGGCATGGTGGCTCACGCCTGGGAGGCTGTGGGAGGATCATTTGAGCCCAGTAGTTTGAGACCAGCGTGGGTAACATTGCAAGACCCTGTCTCTACAAAAAATACAAATATTTGGTGTAAGTGAGACAGCAAGTGAGACAGAGACAGAGAGAGAGGAAGAGAGTGTGTGTGTTTGTGTGTGTGTGTTGGGGTGTGGGTGGGAGAATAATAATAAATGAAAAAATTAGTTGGGTATGGTGGCACACGCCTGTAGTCCCAGCTGCTTGGGAGACTGAGGCAGGAAAATGGCTGGAGTCCAGAAGGTCGAGGCTACAGTGAGCCATGACTGCACCACTGTGCTCCAGCCTAGGTAACAGGGCAACACCTTGTCTCAAAAAAAAAAAAAAAAAAAAAAACCAAAAGGTTAGTTTTTAGGCAAACAAGTCTTTTAAAAGATAAATAAGTGCTTTAGTGACATAGGTAGCTTGTATTTTGACCTTTTTCATGCTGTGGTTTCCTATGATTTCCAGGCAACAGGGAAAAAAGCAAACCCTACATCATCTTTCCAGGTTTGCACTATGGCTTTTAAAGGTAAGTAGATAAAAGATTTATTGCGTAAAAAAAAAAAAAAAAAACTCTACCTCAGTGTCTATGGTCCTACATAAGAAGTACAGCTTTCAACAAAAAATTATAAGGCAGATGAAAAAGCAAGAAGATACAGGCCTAGTCAAGAGGAAATAAGACACAGTAAGGCAAGTCAGACCTTGTTTCTTCAGCATCTGATAAGCGTCTCGAATCTTGATGTCTTCCGGAAACCAGACTGTCCAACTGAAGAGTATTTCAATGACTCTTCCTTTAACTTTTCCTGTGGCCCAGGACCCCAGGTACTGAAAGTAAAAAGGAAAGAGAATTCTAGAGCTGGAAGGGACTTGGGAGACCGACACTTTAACTAAAGAGGTAGCTGCTGAGGCCCAGAGACACAAGCTCCCAGGCGCGGTATGAGTGTGAGGAGAGACTAGAGGCCACACCATCTGGCGCCCAGCCCCGGAGCCCTTCCTGGGATTCAAGGAATTCATCTCGGCAATACTCACACTAAACCCCACCATGCAAGAGCCTGGGTCAGAGCCTGTTCTACACCACTGGGGACAGTCATTTTTTGCCTTGGACAAGAATATAATAATAAAATTTGGTCTTTGTTTCCGTTCCTGGCACAGAACTTCAAAAATCCTTGGAATTTCCTGAGTCACAAGAGTGTCTTGTTATTCAAGAGACACACTCGCAGGGTGCACCTGAGTTTTCACTAATGACTTACAGTGAGTGCCTAGAGAGCTTCAAGGGCTGGCCACTCCAAAGAGATCAACCTTGTGATCAGAGGGCTGAAACTTTCAGCCCCATCCCCTGACCGGTGCCCCCACATCCCCCCACCTGTGGAGGTGGTGGGGCGGGCAGGGGGGTGTGAACTAGAGATTGAGTTCAACTATGTGGCCAATGATTTGACCGATCATGCCTAGGTAATAAAACCTAGTGCTAGTTCAAGCCAGCAATGATGTGTAAAAAAACAAAACAAAACAAAAAAACCTCAGATGAAAACACTGAAACAAGGAAGCTCAGAGAGCCTCTCAGTTGAACCTACGTTGGGAGGATGGCAAGCTCAGAGTCCAGGGGAGGGCACAGCAGCTCTGTCCCCTCTTGCCCCACCAAGACCTTGCCTATGTATCGCTTCCATTTGTATCCTTTACAATAAAACAGGGATAGAAAGTATAGTGCTTTCCTGTGTACGTGAATCATTCTAGGGAATTATGGAATATGGGGCGGTGGGGGTCATAGGAACCCCTGAATCTGCAGCTGGGGATGCAGAAGTGCAGCAGCTTGAGGACACATGAGACTCACGGCTGGCAGCTGAAACACAGGAAGCCTAAGCAGCACTGAGCCCTCACTGCGTGGGGTCCGGGTAGCATGCAACTCAGGGGAGTGTCAGAACTGAAATGAACTGTAGGACCCATGGCCAGCATCGGCACTGTTGTGGGAACACAACAAGGCAGGGCTCAATGTTGGTTACCTGAGACTGGCTGAGCTAAGACAGGTGCCAGGAGGACAGGTACAGAGGACAAGGCAGGAGGTGATAGGAAACTTTCACGCCACCCCTGGGATCTCTCACTGTCTCTATCAGGAACCTGTGCCTCCAAGCTGGAGTTCCTCATCTCCTCTAGGCCACACGTTCCCCAGGCCTTCTTAAAAGGGAAATGTGAAAATGCTAACAGTGAGGGGCAGGGGTCAGCTAATGAGCAGAGCCTCTTCCTAGAGCTTGGAGAGGAGAGCGCTTCTTTCACAGGCAGGAGCAGGTTTTGTCCATGCGTGGGCCTGCCTCTGGCCTGAGGAGGGAGCCAGGAGTTTGACAGTGGGCGTAGGTGCGACACAGTCAGCAGAGCCAAGCCCAGGTACTCACCTTTGGGGACAACACTTTGATCAGTTCGTTCAGGAAACGAAATTTGGCCACCTCGCTGTGGAACTTCTCCCCACAGTGGTTCATGCACATCTCCAGCACCTGCACAGACACAGGACCCCCAGGAGAAGGTGGAAAGCCAGTGGTCCCAGGCTCCCCTCCAGGCTGGTAATCACTTGCTGGAGACTGCGCTGGAACCAAGGCTAACCCTGCCTCAAGCCTATGAGGACACTGAAGTTTTGATGAAGAGGACGTTTTCAGATCAAGAAAAAAATGTCCCCTGTTCAATCTTGCTATAACTGCCTGAGGTTTATGCCCAGGAAATAGCTTAGTGAGGTATGTCAAACCCTGAGGTCACCCCACCTTTTAAGGAGACCCTTTGAGAGGAGAAAGTGGCTAAAGAACCAACCCCTCCCCAGAGGCAGAGATCTGGTATCCAGTGCCCAAGACCAGCCGGATGTCACCCACTGGCACTCAAGAGGCAAGCTGAGCCTGCAGACCCCTCCTCTCGTCCATACTGTGGCTTTCAACACTGCAAATTAGTCACCAACATCTAAACACTCAAACATATACAAAGACCTAAACTAGCAACCCTGAGCCCATACTCATACCTGCCAACAGCTAGTGGGCCCTGTGCTAGAACTGCCCTCTCTAGAAAAGGCACATGAACTTGCCAGCCCTGGTCTAAGAAGGGCAAATGAAATAAAACCTTCCTTTCCTTCTCCCACAGTAGACTCAATGCTGCCCTGAAGAAACAGACGAGAAACAGGAGGAAGAAGGGTGGGGACCCTGGCCCAGATCTCCCTCCTCCAACCTGCTGTGAAGGTAAACCTCTCAGGGGACCTCCCTTCTCCAGTGAAAAGGATCTGTGTGGAAGCAAAGCGCCTCTCGGCTCTCTATAGCACAAGGACAGGAAAGGTTAGGCTACAAGGCAAGCCAAACTCACCGTTAAGGCATAAAGAGCTTCCTTCTCTTGCGGAGACTGGATCTTGTGGGCCAGTAGCCAGGGCGCATGTGTGGGGCTACAGGGAAACAAAAAGACCTAGACTCTGGGCGGGCAAAAAGAAACTAACCCGAGTGGCTGAGCATGCTCAGTAAAATCACTTTTCTTCCAGGGGCTGGTGTCCAAAAGCAGAGGTGGAGCGTGCCTGACAAACAGGCCACGCGGGGGCCCTGGAGAGGGCCACCTCGCACCCACCCTGGTTGCACCTACAGCACCCAAGGTCCTCCTCCTGCCCAGGGCACACTGCCCTCCCCTCAGCCAACCCCCAGCCCCCAAACTCCAAGCTGCCAGTCCCAGCCCAGTCCCATGAGTAGCCACAGCAGCACAGGCCCTGTATGGCTGTGATAAATACCTAGGAAATGCTAGAGCAGAAAGTGCGATCAAACTCTGGGTTCAAACTGGCCAAATATGCGACACCACACAGATTAAACATCTGGATGGGCCAGGCACAGTGGCTCACGCCTGTAATCCCAGCACTTTGGGAGGTCAGGGCAGGTGGATCACCTGAGGTCAGGAGTTCGAGACCAGCCTGGCCAACATGGTGAAGCCCCATCTCTACTAAAAAAATACAAAAAATTAGCCAGGCATGGAGGCACGCGCCTGTAATCCCAGCTACTTGGGAGGCTGAGGCAGGAGAACCACTTGAACCCGGGAGGTGGAGGTTGCAGTGAGCTGAGATCGTGCCCTTGCACTCCAGTCTTGAGACACTCTGTCTCAGGAAAAAAAAAAAAAGAAAAGAAAAGAAAACAAAACAAAAACAAAACATCTGGATGACTCACTTGATTCTGATTCTTCAGGTCCTATCCAGATGCTGTGGAAACAGAATTCAATAAAACCTTCCCCTTTTCCTTTTTCTTAAAATTACATTTAAATGGTGGAGAATACACAGATCTCTTTTAATTAGGTAACGTGTCTATAGTCTATCAGTAACATTCAGAGTTCTCCTCAGCATTAGTGTTTTATAACAGTATTTAAAATTAATAACTGCCAGTTGCAAGTGAGCTATCCTGTGTTTTTTTTCCCCCACATGAATTTGCTAATTTTAGAAAAATAATGTTCTCAGGATTATAGGGGAAAATGAGAGAATGAATGCCAGCCTGACTGCATTTCTATTTTTTTGAGACAGAGTCTCTCACTCTGTCACCCAGGCAGGTCTCAAACTCCTGGGCTCAAGCAATCCTCCTGCCTTGGTCTCCCAAACTGTTGGGATTATAGGCATGAGCCACCGATCCTTGCCTAGAGAGCTTAACCCTAAAACAGTCTTGAGAGACAAAGGCCTACACTCAGTGTGGGGTGCCCCCAGAGTCAACTATGTGTGTGAGAAGTTACCTTACCCATTGGGGTCAGTGTTCACCTGCTCACAGAAATTCTGGATAGCTGACCAATCCTGTTCCGACATGCTTGGGTCTGTGGCTTTGTCTGTCAAATAAATAATAAAGTTAGAGAGTACATAATAGGAAGAAATTTACACCCCTCCCCATACACATGGTGGCCAAGAGCTGTCTTATCACAGATCTACAGGATCAGACCAGTGGGCAGACAGCTGGAAGGAGAGGAATTGTGCCTGCGCTGCCTACCACCACCCAGCACAGCATTGGGCACATGGTATGCCCTTACTGAATATTTGCTGATTGAATGAACCAGCAAATTAACAAGCTGGCTGGGCACAGTGGCTCATGCCTGTAATCCCGGCATTTTGGGAGGCCGAGGTGGGGGGAATCATTTGAGGTCAGAAGTTTGAGACTAGCCTGACCAACATGATGAAACCCCATCTCTACTAAAAATACAAAAAAATTAGCCAGGCATGGTGATCCATGCCTGTAATCCCAGCTACTTGGGAGGCTGAGGCAGGAGAATCGCTTGAACTTGGGAGGTGGAGGTTGCAGTGAGCCAAGATTGCGCCACTGCACTCCAGCCCAGGAGACAGAGGGAGACTCTGTCTCAAAAAAAAAAAAAAAAAAAAAAAAATTAACTGACAAGTTATTCCCCTGAAAGCGGCTCCACTTTTAGTGCAGAGGTTGGCCCGGGTGTTGGCTTCACACTCGAGTTGGGATGCCCCCACCTGGCCTGTGACAAGCGGAGACAGAAGAGAGGCCACCTGGAAGTGTCTCAGCTGTGTGACAGGAAGACAAGAACACACCACCAGAAGGAATACCATCTTGACCGTTCATAAAACTTCCAGTGGCAGCATGGTGGCTCACACCTGTAATCCCAGCACTTCATGGGGCTGAGGTGCATCGCTTGAGCCCAGGAGTTTGAGACCAGCATGGGCAACATGGGGAAATCACATGCCTACTAAAATTTTAAAAAATTAAGACCAGGCGCGATGGCTCACGCCTGTAATCCCAGCACTTTGGGAAGCCGAGGCAGGTAGATCACTTGAGTTCAGGAGTTTGAGACCAGCCTTGCCAACATGGTGAAACCCTGTGTCTACTAAAAATACAAAAAATTAGCTGGGCGTGGTGGAGTGTTCCTGTAATCCCAGCTACTCAGGTGGCTAAGGCAGGAAAATTGCCTGAACCCAGGAGGTGGAGGTTGCAGTGAGCTGAGATGGCACCACTGTACTCAGCCTGGGCAACAGAGCGAGACTCCATCTAAAAAAAAAAAAAAAAAATTAGCTGGGCGTGGTGGCATGTGACTGTAGTCACAGCTACTCAGGAAGCTGAAGTGGAAAGACTGCGGCTGCAGTGAGCCAAGATCATGCCACTGCACTCCAACCTGGGTGGGAGAGCAAGATCCTGCCTCAAAAACAAAAAAAAAAAACAACCACCCTTCCAACTCCCCTCTGGCCATCTGGTCCTGGCCTGCCCAGCCTCTCTGATGAGAAACCGTACTGGTTCTGACAGAGCAGCTCTTTTAGGCTCTGGAAATGAGGCGTTGCTTCTCGGGGCAGTACTTCTGACATTATTATCCTCCTGGCCCGAGTGTCCACTCTGTTCCTCTCAGTGCCCTATCCATATTCTTCCAGACCCATCTGAATTTCCAGCTCCTGCAGAAAACTTCCTCCCGCTGCGCCAACCCCACTGCTTCTCCCTCTGATTACTCAACACAGCACAGTCCGAGTTGAATTTTTCCTGACTGCAGTCACATTTATGTCACGTGGAAGTCATGTGTCTAGATAGGGAGGGTCAACGGACAGGTAATCACCATCTTCCTGCCCACTGACTCCATTCTAAGTGAAGAGAGAACACAAGGGCGAGGGAAGGATCAGTGATTGATTCCTATATTCTCCTCCCCACCCCCGCAAAGCTCTCTCCCATGTTCCGTATCTTAAAATCCTATCTACCCTTGAGTCCCAAGTCACATTCCACCCTAAAGACTTCTCTGACCTTTTTATCTCCCGTCCCCATAAAACAAAAGCTGTCTCCTCCTCCTCTGAACAGATATTTTATCTGCCCCTTCTCCGATAGGGATCTCCAGCTACACCCATTAGTCACATGTACTTGGACTCGCTGAGCCTCAGTTTCCTCAACTATAAAATAAAGAAAATAGGGCCAGGTGCTGCAGCTCATGCCTATGATCCCAGCACTCTGGGAAGCCAAGGCAGGAGGACCGCTTGAGCCTAGGAGGTTGAGACCAGCCTGAGCAACATAACGAGACCCAATCTCCACAGAAATTTTTAAAAAAAATTAGTCAGAAGGCTGGGCGCAGTGGCTCATGCCTTAATCCTAGCACTTTGGGAGGCCGAGGAGGGTGGATTGCCTGAACTCAGGAGTTGGAGGCCAGCCTGGGCAACACGGTGAAATCCCGTCTCTACCAAAATACAAATAATTAGCTGGGCGTGGCAGCGTGCATCTATAATCCCAGCTACTCAGTAGGGTGAGGCAGGAGAATCGCTTGAACCCGGGAGGCAGAGGTTGCAGTGAGCTGAGATCGTGACACTGCACTCCAGCCTGGGTGACAAGGTGAGACTCTGTCTCCAAAAAAAAAAAAAGCCAGGCATGGTGGCACACACCTGCAGTCCTAGCTACTCAGGAGCATCACTTGAGCCCAGGAGGTGGAGGCTACAGTGAGCTATGATTGTGCAACTGCACTCCAGCCTGGGGGGACAAAATGAGACCCCGTCTCAAAAATAATAATAAAAACAGTCTGGGCACAGTGTCTCATGCCTGTAATCCCAGCACTTTGGAGGCCAAGGTAGGAGGATCGCCTGAACCCAGGACTTCGTGACAAGCCTGGGCAACATAGTGAGGCCCCATCTCTACAAATATGTTTACAAAAAATAAAACAAGGAAAATAGTACCTTCCTCATGGGACTGTCATGTGATTTAAAGGGGAAGGGTCTAAAATGCTTAGTACAGCAGCATGCAGTAAGAGGTCTACAAAGGATAATTGTTTATTATTACGTACAGTCTCTGGCTTTTACTGTAATATGTAGACATGTCTTGTCCTACCTAAAGAGAATGAAACCTTAAGGGCAGAAGCCATATCTTCCCTACAGTGCCTTACCCATACGTACAACATAGAAACTCATCAAATAAATTATTTAAAGCAGTGATTCTCAGCGATTATGTGTCTGAATCACCTAAAGTCTACACCATTTAAGCTTCTGTTTCAGTTCACTACAAGGTCAAGGTTGACACCTCAAAAGAATTCTGACTTCAGCATGTGACTGGACCTGGAGGGAGAGAAGAGCAGAGGCAGGAAGAGAACAGGGGGAGGCAGGGAGAGAACAGGAGAGGCAGAGAACAGGAGGCATGGCCCAAGCTCCCCTCACAGAATCCAGAGCCTTCTCACTCCTCCCTGGCTGCCAAGTGAAAGAGACACAGCACTGACGGGCACCACCTTTTTTTTTTTTTTTTTGATATGGAGTCTCGCTCTGTCACCCGGGCTGGTGTGCAGCGGCACAATCTCGGCTCGCTGCAACCTCCGCCTCCCGGGTTCAAGCGATTCTCCGGCCTCAGCCTCTAGAGTAGCTAGGATCACAGGTGCCCACCAACATGACTGGCTAATTTTTTGTATTTTCAGTAGAGATGGGGTTTCACTATATTGGCCAGGCTAGTCTCGAACTACTGACCTCGTGATCCGTCCACCTCAGCCTCCCAAAGTAGTGGGATTACAGGTGTGAGCTACCACACCCGGCCGGCACCAGCTTTCTTTAAGAAAGAAAAAACCTCTCTGAGGTTAAATTACGTTCCAAACCCTTAACCAAGGCCAAGCAGCAATACAATCCACAAAATGTAAGGAGGTTTCTTTCTTATTTGCTAGAGCTTGTATCATGAGGACTCAATCAAGATTTATTGGTAATCCCAGAACTTTGAGAGGCCGAGGCGGGAAGATCCCGAGTAGGGACGGGGTTTCACCATGTTAGCCAGGATGGTCTCGATCTCCTGACCTCGTGATCCGCCCGCCTCGGCCCCCCAAAGTGTTAGGATTACAGATGTGAGCCACTGTGCCCGGCTCAGTTTTCTTTTACATAAGCCTCTTCATTTGTTGAAACCATAAGACCTTCCTCACAGTGTAGAAACCTGAAAGCTCCCAGCAGCCAGCAATGAATGAAAGGTAGGGGTGGGGCCGCTGGCAGGGCGGGGCCTGGTGAACCACGTGCCTAGGCTCCCGCATCACGATGGGAACAGGGCATGTGGAGGGGACTCTGGGCCAGATTGGTTCCTGGGAACCAGGAGAGAGCTCTGGTGGTTGGCAGGGCAACCTCCTTCAGTTGGTGGGAAGCAGTGGAAGGAAGAGGAGCTCCCTCTGTGCTCTCTTCTCCGCAATCACAGCTCTCAGGCTTGTTGTATCTAGACCCATTCTAAGGAAACCAAACAGGTTCCCAAGGGACCCTTGTAGACAAGGCAGCTCAGGGGAGGCAGCTGAGGTGGGGTGCGGGCTGCTAGTGGGGAGCAGCCCCACAGCCAAGGGCTGGCCCTGCCAGCGTGCCTTTGCTGGGAAGAGGTATAAGTGCTGAGCTCTGCAGACTTGGAAGCAAGGGAAGGCCCAAGCTACCGGAGAGGAGCCAGGAGCCGAGCTGCCTCACGGGGAACATGCTGAGCTGTTGCTTGAGCACCAATGCCAGCCCCAGGTAGGGTCGGCCCAGGGGGGTCTGCGGAGCTGTACTGTGGCTCTGACATCTATGAGGCGGTGGCAAGCAGAGGTGCAGGCCAAGGCAGAGAGGAGTGGAGGCACAGCAGATGGAACACGCTGTTGCCCAATGCCAGCCCCAAGCGGGGCAGTGTGCGGGGCCTGGGGAGCTGTCCTGCAGTGCTGACATCTATGAGGCAGCGTCAAGCAAAGGTGCAGGCCAAGGCAGAGAGGAGCAGAGGCGTCGCAGATGGAACATACTGCTCCCCAATGCCAGCCCCAAGCAAAGCCAGTGCAGGGTGTGGCGGGTGGAACCGCCCTGCAGCTATAACATCACGCAGGCGGAGGTGGCAGTAGCGCCACACCCCACTGCTGTGGAGCCTGCCCAGTCGGATTTAGGAGCCCGCAAGGGCCATGACCTGCAGCACATCAGTGACCAGGAGATGCCCAAATATTTTGCTTCTGACCATCCAAGGGAAAGTACGCTTTTTTTGAGAAAATATCAAATGAGTGTGCAAGAAAAGAGGAGCTCTCACCTATATTATATATACCATGGCATCTTGATAGAAAATACACCTCGTGTTACACCATATTGCTAGATAACAGAACAGTCAGCCAGCCTGATCTTTGACACACATTAGAAAGTGTGACTTGGGCAATATATTACAACATAAAGCACAGATACGCAAATAGATCTCTGGCTATTTTTGACAAGCCAATACACCCACTTTCACAAGAGAAGGTTCCAGGGAAATCCTTCGAGCATGATCCCAAACACAACTGTACTTTCAGACATTTCTGTACTCTTTTTCAAGTCATAAAACTACAGCTCCATGTGCAATCGTAGCTTTGGTGTACATCGAACGACTTTTAACTAATGGTAGCATCGCTCTGTGTCCTACTAATTGGAAAAAGATTGTCCTTGGAGCCATGCTTCTTGCCTCCAAGGTTTGGAGAAATCATGGTCTGTGGAGTGTGGATGACAGCCAGAATCCCAAGGACATTGCAGTTGAGAACATGAGCAAGATGGAGAAGTGTTTTTTGGAGCTACTTGAGTTTAATATTCATGTGTCTGCCAGTGTTTATGCAAGATATTACTTCGACCTGTGTGCCTTGGCAAATGACCGTGACCTGTATTTTCTATTTAGTTTTCCTCACAAAGATAAAGCACAGAAACTGGAGGCTGTGTCATGGCCGTGTGAATACAAAGACTTGCATCAACATGCCGCTGCTATAAAGGGCTGTCAGCATGAATTTCATTGGTATTCGGTGCACTAATGCCATCTTAAAGAGAGAAATTAACATTATAAGATCCTAAACTTCTCAACTGTAAAGACTAGAAAATATCACTTCTGCTGAAAGAAACAACAAAATTAGGATTTTCTTTTTTTGTTGTTTAGGATTTTCATCGAGAGGAAACATCTTCAAGTTAGCCACTTGAAGGAACTGGGTGATGGTGGTATGAACAGTGGGTGCCAGGTGCTTTCTGCCCTTCTTGTTCCACTGGGTCCAGATGGCATTCCTAGGGCACCACCTTCTTGAACAACTCTTGGGGAGAAGGAGTGTCACATGGACACAGCACATCCCTGCTCAGAGTCCACAATCACCCACAGTCTCAAGCAGGTGCCAGTGATGTCCACAGTCACCCACAGTCCCTAGCATGTGACAGTGGTCTGAGCTGAGCTGGAGTCCAAAAAACTTTAGAATTGGCTCCAGATTTGTGAGAGCACCTGGGTATGGTTCTCTGCCCACTGAGGCACTGAATGCATGATGGCCCAAAACTCAACAATGGTGGGAAGAGAGAGTGGCATCGGGGCAAGGCTGTCATTACTCCAAGCACCAGGGTGGCCCAGGCCTGCTCATCTACTCTTTGGAGGGAATCTGTGCATGTGAAATGAGGCCCCTACGTCATGATTATAAAGGAAGAGATGAAATCAGTTCATCTTACCCCAGGCCGATAATGGTCATGCCACCTAGGGAAGCAGTAAAAGACCTGGTCTTGGGATTGTTAGGGGAGCTACCGAAGTGAAAACTGAATTTACCCACTTCCAGGAAAACAACAAAAGAGGAACATCTGGGTTCAAACCTTTATCAGAAGATCATTTACCCAGCTAATCTTGCTGTGGTGCATTGTATGGTCTCAGCAATTGTCAACAAAAGCCTCTTAATAATTCTAACACAGGGACACACTGCAACTCACATTTTCCAGTGCACCTCAGTGGTTAAAGAGATTGCTGGTGCTGCCTGCATCTGTCAGTCTGTTCACATATGGAGAGGAGCAGCGGTTCTCACGGGAGCAGCTTCTGCATCCTGAGGAAGTTTGCCCAGACATTTCTGGTTGTAATAGCTGGTGGCTCCCACTGACATGCAGTCAACAATGGGAATCCTATGGTGCACAGGACTGCACCCCTTCTCAGTCAAAAAGGAATTTTCTGGCTTCCAAAATAGAAAGTGCTGAGGATCAACTGCCCCAGAGTCTACAAGGGAAACACTTTCTGAGACTTTCTTTTTTTCTTACAAGAACACCAGATCCCCACCAATGTGAGATGTCAGATTAAGTTTTTGTGGAAGGGTGGATATTGGGGGCAGAATCCTAAGACGCCCCATGATCTCTGCTGTCTTTTGTTACACCCTGAATCCTCATCTTTCCTTGGGTATGGCCAGACCTGTGCCTTGTTCAGAACATTTGAATATGGCAAAGTGAGGGAGTGGCTCTCTGGGAGTTACCTTTCCTTTCCTTTTATCGGGAACAATAGGAATCCCTATTTTCTTTCTTGTGTTTGCTTTCACAATACAGTGGTTTGGAATATCCCACTGTCGATTTGCGATTTCCTCCTCCAACCATAGTCTATAGCCCTTTATACGTAATTGAATATTTTCATGTATTGATTTTTTGTGTCTGAAGATGAAATATTAGATGAAACATGTTAAAACATTTCATGCAAAGCCTTCAGTGGTTGTAGAGTCTACTCTTTGGTGAATACACAAATTGATCTATTTTATATATTAAAAATTGTATTAGTTGTAATAATGATATTTTCTTTTTTATCTTTACTTGTAAGATATAGTTACTTAAATGTTTCCAAAATTAATGATATTATATCTTATATTTGATTTAAAACACTACTAGGATATTTGGATTGATAGTTGAAAATAAATGGCAAAATAAGAATTGCTGAAACCTAGTGATAATGTACTTACGATGAGTTTATTATCTATTATCCCATCATTGTTAAATTTTTAAATTTCCATGAAAACCTATACACAAGAACTTAAAATGTTGTGTAAAATACTTCGTGCCCTGCACTTTAGCTCCACTGCATACTGAATAAAAGGAAAACGGATTTTCCTATGGGGGGAAAAAAGATTTATCATGGCTCAAAAGTAACAGTAACCGTCATTTTTAAAAGTACCTAATATGGGGCCGGGTGTAGTGGCTCATGCCTGTAATCCCAGCATTTTGGGAGGCCAAGGTGGGCGGATCACCTGAGGTTGGGAGTTCAAGACCAGCCTGACCAACATGGAGAAACCCCGTCTCTACTAAAAATACAAAATTAGCCAGGTATGGTGCTGCATGCCTGCAGTCCCAGCTACTTGAGAGGCTAAAGCAGGAGAATTGCTTGAACCCGGGAGACGGAGGTTGCGGTGAGCCAAGATCGTGCCATTGCACTCCAGCCTGGGTAATAAGAGTGAAACTCCGTCTCAAAAAAAAAAAAAAAAGTACCTACTATGGGTCAGATACCATGCCAGATGTCCTCAGAACAATCCAGGTTGGCACGATCATCTACACCATTTTACAGATGAAGAAACCTACCCAACCACAAAGCAAGGGAGTGGCAGAAACAAAAATTAAGTCATAGGCTGGCCCAGCTCCACAGCCTGGATGTGTTTCTAACCACTCTTGCGGTGAGGTCTTCAGTTCCTTGACAAAGTTAGGGCCTCTCTTGGAAGCCAGCTTGATCTTCGTGCTCATAAACTCCTTGAAGGCAAAAAGCAGGCCTGTCTCATTCACTCTCACAGGCTCTAGTACCTAGAAGAGTTGCTGGCAGGTATCTACTGAATGAACGATTCCTCTTTTGCTAGACAGTGTTTGGCCAGCTGGCTGGACATACTGATAACACGGAGAGATGGCTATCTCAGTTCTGAAATAACTGGGCCCCTAAACACATAATCCCAGCCTGCACAAACTATTTCAGAAGACTTGAGCAGCTCCAAAAAATGACCCCCAGGGGGCCAGCAGCTGGGTCTGACCAGGCCACAGCAACCGCCGTAGGTCTGTTTGACACCAATCTGCTCCAAGGACTAGCTAGGGGCCAGACAGGGCACGGCCAGGGAGAAATTCAAAGGATGCCTTCTCTGTTTTGGGCTATCCCAGACTCCAAGGTGGTTTATTTATAGCTGGCACTTGAGCAGGACAGAGGGGTGCTGAGAAATAGCACTGCTGCCATGTATTTCCTCACTAAAAGCAGTGTTTGTATGATTCATTTCAAGCGTGCTACAGGGCCAGAGGTGTTAAGAAAACAGCTGAGACCTCCGGCTGTGAGTGAAATGGCTCATCCAAGAGTGACTAATTCAGAAGCCAAACCATCCCACGTCAGCTGCCAACCAACCACCGGGGTCATGACCCTGGCACCAGCAGCCGCCTGTGCTAGCAAGGGGAGCCCCAAGACTGTGAGGAAGTGGTCACCCCGAGGAGCAGAATGCAATCCTTCAGCAGTCCACGCTGCAGGGGGACTCCTTCCCTGGGAGGGACACGTGGACCCCAAGAGTCCGGCAATCATACAATTCAGCACATGTGAAAACCTCCAAGACTCAGCATGGGAATGTCCTACTCATCACCTGGGAGTAGGACCAAGTGGAAGGAAGAAACAGATTTACTGAGCACCCAACTTTTACTAAGCCATGGCCTCCCTGGTAGCGCTACCAGAGCTAGAATTCTAGAGCCCAAGAGGACTGAGTGCTGTTTTTAATAGCGCAAGGCTAGCAACACCTAAGATGTCTACCAACAGGGACCCGGTTAAATGGATCCTAGGACACCCATACAACGGGGCGTCTAAGGCTTTTCATTTAAAAGAACAAGGCGGCTACATCTGCAGTCATGTGGAATAATGACCAAAATACATGAAGTGGAAAAAAACACCACAGAACTGAATGACAGAATGCACAGGCGCTGCCGTTTGTACTTTTAAGGCATGAGATTCTGGTAACGGCTTCCTGATACTCCTCTGGGAACAACCCCTCTCCTCAATTCCAGGTCCCCCATTCACCCTCCCCACCTTTGGCTCTGGGTTGGGTACTGTCCCCCACCCCACCCCACCCCAGGTCTGGCCATCTTCATATTTCATGACCCCAGGTCATGCTGACTCCAAGGTGGACATAAAACCCAAGCCAACAGGCGGAAGAACAATAACTCTTGCAAATCAATGGGGAAAAGAAATTCTGCTGAGATTGCAGTAGGGAGAAGAGCAAAGCAGAGAAAATTCAATCAAAGAAGTGAACCGTGGAGCTCCTGGACTGAGCCTACCCCTACTCTGGGACTTTCTTTACTTTCCTTTTTTTGGTAAGCGGGTATGGGTATGAGTTAGTTTCAATTACTTGCAGCTATAAAAGCCTAATGATAATAATAGCTAGCGCTTCTTGGGCACTTACTACAAGCATAGTAAGGCACTATTTTAAGTGCTTTCTGTGTATTAAAGCCTTTGATTCTCTCAACAACCCTAAGAAGAGGTTTTATTACTCTCTTCCCATCTTAAAGATACAGCTGCCTTGTTTGCAGGGACCTGATCTTGGCCAGTCCTCAGACACCACCCCCTGGTGACTTCATGTAGCTCAGACCCATGAGCTTTTGCCTTCAACTACACCCATGTCTTGGCCATACTATCAATCCCACGACCCCCTTATCCCTCCATTGCAGCACCAATGGCCCACCATCCCCAACAAATCTGACTTAACCCATCGTTCACTTCATCTTCTCTGCTCCTACTCCCAGAAGAAAACAACAACAAATACAGCCATGAAGACTGCAACCCACATTCCTGATGTCCAGTCAGCATTCTGCAGTCCTCACTCAGGAACTCAGCGGGGAGATGGGTAGGAGTGATCCCATCCCACTCAACCCTGGGGAAACATGGCAGTATCTGGTGACATTTTTGGCTGTTATGACTGGGAGGAAGGGTGTGAGCTTTGGTATCCAGTGGATTTAGCCCAGGGATGCCACTAAACATCCTACAGTGCACAGGTCAGCCCCCACAACACAGAATTATCGGGCCCAAGATGTCACTCGTGCAAAGGTTGAGAAACCCAGCTCTCCGTCCGGGTGGGCCCACTTCGGTTTGCCTCACCAGCCACTCCCCAACGCTTCCCCACCTTCCTCAAGTCCCCTGTTCCACTTGAGCACCCAATACTCAGGTGGCAATGGTGGCACTGACGAACTTGTTTGCATGTGCAATCATCTTGATCTCCTTCGCCAGACAGTCAGAAAAACAAAAGGTGTCCTTCCTCTCTGTGAGGCCAGGTCCCCCTTTTTGCTCTGGCTCTGAGCTCCTTCAGCACCTTCAGGCCCCTCTGCAATGGATGGGACACTGGACCCAGAATGGGGGAGGGGCAGTTCCCCAATGGAACATCAACATGAAGAGGGGCTCACATGTCCCCCTCTCCTTCTAATAATCTCCTTTACTCCTAAATTCCCTCTCGCTATTCTCTCCCCCTCCTTCTACATTCAAGACTCATGAAAAACAGCTGAGGAGGCCACTGGCTGCACCCTCCCCACACATTTATTCTGCCTGGCCTTCCCCAAATTATGGGCCAAAGTAGGCACCAACTTCTGAAAACCCACGATATTTCACTTAAGAATATAGGTTCTAGCCGTTCCTGAAAAACAGGAAGATCTAGCAACTTTGGGACACTGCCCCCAAAAGCTGGAGCTTAATACAATGTATATGCCATGAAAAAAACCATAATAATAAAACACAAATTAGGCCAGGCTCATGCCTATAATCCCAGCACTTCGGGAGGCCAAGACTGGCAGATAACTTGAGGTCAGGAGTTTGAGACCAGCCTGACAAACATGGTGAAACCCTATCGCTACTAAAAATACAAAAATTAGCCAGACATGGTGGCTAATGCCTGTAATCCCAGCTACTTGGGAGGCTGAGGCAGGAGAATTGCTTGAACCTGGGAGGCGGACGTTGCAGTGAGCTGAGATCGTGCCACTGTACTCCAGCCTGGACAAGAATGAAACTCCATCTCTCTCTCTCTCTCTCACACACACAAATTAGCCGGTTGTGGTGGCGTGTGCCCGTAATCCCAGCTACTTGGGAGGCTGAGGCAGGAGAATTGCTTGAACCAAGGAGGCAGAGGTTGCAGAGAGCCGAGATGGCACCACTGCACTCCAGCCTGGGCAACAGAGCAAGACTCCATCTCAAAAATAAATAAATAAATAAATAAAAATACATTTAAAAAAAGCTAGAACTGGGGAGGCTGATGTGGGAAAAATGCTTGAGCCCAGGAGAGGGGTAAGCTGCAGTGAGCTGAGATCATGCCGCTGCACTCCAGCCTGGGTGACACAGTGAGACTCTGTTTCAAAAAAAGCTGGAGTTGAAGAACTGTGTCCTTGGGCAGCCTCAGTTCCAGGCACTCCTTTTATCTCCTCCACCTGAGGCAGCTACTTTCTCTTACTCCGGCTACTTTTTTTTTTTTTTTTTGAGACAGAATCTCGCCTTGTCACCTAGGCTGGAGTGCAGCGGTGCAATCTTGGCTCCACCTCCACAACCTCTGCCCCAAGGGTTCAAGTGATCCTCCCACCTCGGCCTCCCAAGTAGCTGGAATTACAGGTGTGCGCCACCACACATGGCTATTTTTTGTATTTTAGTAGAGACGGGGTTTCACCATGTTGGCCAGGCTGGTCTTAAACTCCTGGCCTCAAAGGATTGGCCCACCTCAGCCTCCCAAAGTGCTGCGATTACAGGCATGAACAGCCTTTTTTTCTAATTTTTGCAACTCCAGTCTAAGCCTTCTGTTCTCCATTGCCTCCTAAAACTACTACCTTCTGTCTCTACTGTTTAACTCAAGGATGTCTCATTAAATAACTGGTTGGTTACCAAATTCAAAGTTCTCTCTTCTCCTTCCTCATTCTCCTCCATCTTTAAGGAGCAAAACTACGTTACAACCACATCCCTCCTTTGCTATCAGTGGGTGCCCCTGCAGGTCTCCCCCTGCCTGTTTCTGCTCAGCCTTCAGTCTTCTCTTCCCATCTGCCTCTTCAATGCTGGGGCTCCCCACGCTCTCTTTCCAAACCTCTGCTCTTAATATACGCAAGCTTCTCCCGCAAGCTCACTGCCAATGAACCAGACTCCCAAACCGTACGTCCCACACTTGCCCTCTCCAGTGCCAACCAGCTGCCTAGAGGGCATCTCTTTTTTGACTATGCCACAAGCACCTCAAACTCCACATCTCAACCTTCTCTGCCTAAACCAGCTCCTCCTCACAGGGGAGGCATCTGTAACCCACCAGTTCCTCGAGCCTGAAACCCGCGATCTAGCCTAGATTTCTCCTTGTCCCCTGTCTGCATTCCAAGGCACCGAGGCTGCTGACTACGCCTGCTCATTGCTTCTCCCTCTCCCCACTGCCTTAGTCCTCCTGCGGCCCCCAACCACCACCAAAAGAGCTTTTTAGCCGCTCTCCCTGCCTGAAGTCTCACCCTCTCCGCCCAATTTAGCACCATATGGCTGCAAGTGACGCCTTTAACAGGCTTCCTTGATCAGATTCTCCGGCTGAAAACTCCCAAACAGCAACCCCGCCCTCGGATAAAACATAAACTCCTTTCTGCAGCACACAAGGCTCTTGAAGATCTCGCCCCAATTAGCCGTGCAGCCCCTTTCCCGGATTCCTGAGCTTTAGGCTTGCACTCCAGCGGACTGACCTACTTGTTCCCGGAGTGCTCCACATTCTCTTGTCCCCAGCTTTTGCACACGCAGTTTCTTCTGCCTGGAATGCGGTCGGCTGTGACGACCCCCAGGTAAACCAACTCCTACCACCACAGGTGAAACGAACGCCCTCCTCCTCCTCGCCAATCCCGTTAGTAAGGTGATGTGACTGCCGGCTTGTACCCACTAAAAAATGTTTTGGTGAGCAAGGACCCTGTGTTATGCATCTCAGTGTTCCTGGCACCTAGCAGAGCTGGGTACAAGGGGAATATTCTTTATCCCCTTTGAACCTCAATCCCTCATTGGTAAAACGGAGATAATAATAACCCCTAAGATGACTGTGAAGCTTACAGGAGACATGCAGAAGAATTCTGGCCAAAGGGTTTGAGCCCAACCAGGGTAACATAATGAGACCCCGTCTCTTAAAGGAAAAAAAAAACACACATATATATATATACGCACACACACACACACGTGTGTGTGTGTTTAAAAAAAAAAGTCTGGCCAAAGTAAACACAAAAGGTAAAAAATTTCTTTTTGACGCGGTAGCCAGATAGAGATCTTTCTCAGCCCCAAACAGACTGCATGTCTTGCACGACTGCGTCTCCTTAAGCCTCAAGGTCCCCGCTTCCGTAGTGGGGTTAATAATAGAAGCCAGCTCGGGGTGGGAATGAGGATTAAGCAGGACTAAGCCGCTGTGAGCACAGTGCCTGGCGCAGGGGAAAGCGCAGGTCACGTAGCCATTGGGGTGGGGGTCGGGGTCCTGTGCTGCTGCTAAGTTGGGGGGTGGGCGGAGGGGGAGGGGCAGAGCTCAGAAGGGGGCCGCTGCCCCGGCGGATGCTTGGGGCTCCTCTCGGGGGACCCCTGGGCGATCTTCCCCACCGCGCCGGGCCCAGGCCCCCTACCCGGCCGCCGGCCTCCCCTGCGGCCGCCCGCCCCGAAGCAAGGCCCCGGGAGGCGGGAAGCGAGGCCTCACGTGCGGCGCAGCGGCTGCGCCGAAGGCCTGCCAGGCTACTCACTGAGCCACAGCTCCAGCGACGCTGCCGGGCCCGGGGGACCCTGGGCCGACTCGGTTCCCGCCACAGCCGCCGCCACCGCGGTCGCCGCCATCGCTCCAGCCCCGACGCTGCGGCCGCGGGCGCCACTGCCTCTTCAGCCGCTGTAGCGTCCTGGCGCTCTCCTCTGCTGACTGCGCGGCAGGAGCGGTGGACACGTGACGGGGCGGGGCCGCTGGCGCCACGCCCACCCCAGGCCCCCCCTCCACGCGGGACCGGCCGGAACATTTCTTAGTCCAGATCCCTCCACCCAGCGCTGGTCTTCTAAGACCACTCACCGTACGGTTGCCAGATAAAATACAAGACGCCCAGTTAAATTTGATTTTCAGAAGAACACGAATAATTCTTTTAGCATTTTTATTTTTTAAGAGACGGGGTCTTGCTCTGTCACTCAGGCTGGAGTCCAATGGCGCGATCACGGCTCACTGCAGCCTCCACCTCCTAGGCTCAAGCGATCCTCCCGCTTCAGTCTCCGGAGGAGCTGGGACTAGGGGAGGGCACCACCACGCCTGGCGTGTGTGTGTGTGTGTGTTAGAGACTGGGTTTCACCGTGTGTGTGTGTGTGTGTGTGTGTGTGTGTGTGTGTGTGTGTTAGAGACTGGGTTTCACCATGTTGCCCGGGTGGTCTCGAACTCCTGGTGTTAGAGACTGGGTTTCACCGTGTGTGTGTGTGTGTGTGTGTGTGTGTGTGTGTTAGAGACTGGGTTTCACCATGTTGCCCGGGTGGTCTCGAACTCCTGGGCTACAAGATCCTCTTACCTCGACTTCCCAAAGTGCTTGCATTTATTTTTTATTTTTCTTTTTTTCTTTTTTTGAGACGGAGTCTCACTCTGTCGCCTAGGCTGGAGTGCAGGGGTGCCATCTCGGCTCACTGCAACCTCCACTTCCTGGGTTCAAGCGATTCTCCTGCCTCAGCGTCCCGAGTAGCTGGGACTACAGGTGCATGCCACCACACCCAGCTATTTTTTTTTTTTTTGTATTTTTAGTAGAAACGAGGGTTCACTATGTTGGCCAGGCTGGTCTCGAACTCCTGACCTCGTGATCTGCCCGCTTCGCCCTCCCAAAGTGCTGGGATTACAGGGGTGAGCCACCACGCCCGGCCTATGTGCTTGCATTTTTATTCACAGAAGGGTTTTCCTGGAACACTTTTTTTTTTTTTCAGATGGAGTCTCGCTCTGTCGCCCAGGCTGGAGTGCAGTGGTGCTATCTCGGCTCATTGCAACCTCCACCTCCCTGGTTTCCTGGAACACTTCTAAACTAACATGTCCTGCATTCCTCAATACTCTGCTTTATTTTCTGCATCACACAGTACACCATCGATGTATTATTTACTTGCTTATTCTGTTAAAAGATAATTTTCCCAAAAAAGTATGTCATGATTATCATAATTATGAAATGAATACGTGTTAAATATTTTATTTAATTACATGAGGGAACCAAGCAGATGTTATAATCAATCCAAAAGTGAAGTCAAAGAAGGGCAAATTTATCTGGAAAAAAAGGAAGATAAGACGAATGTGCAAATGGAGGCAAAACTGGCTTTTCGACCGGGGTGAGAGCTGTCCCTCCAGTGAGCGGAATTTACCTATTTATAGGCAAGAATTATTTTGCATTGGTATCAACTTAACAGAGTTATGAGACTTCTCAAAGACAAAGAAAGGCTAGAACCTGGAAGGTTGTGCTGTCTAGACAACACATAATTTTCCATTGAAGCTGTTGTGCCGTACCCCTATTAACTTCAGTAGGGATGGCACCATGTTTGAAAGGCGGAAGAAGAGACCCAGAGCCACTGAATGAGGCAGGTTTACTGAGGGGACTTACGGGGTGGTCTAGTGGCAGTGGGCTGGACAGGAGGACCACTACCATTTGTAAAGAGCATCAGTTTATATAGTATTTTCAACTAGCACCCTTCCCCTAGCAACCTCCATCTGGCAACCTCAATTTAACCCCAAAGGGCCTTGATCCCCCGTATGGCCTGCGTTCCACAGGATGGGGCCAAGGGTTCAGATGTTCCTCTTAGATAAAGAGTGAACCTCTGGGCTGGCCACTCTGTGATTCTGTAGCTTGGAACTCAGAACACACATTCTTCTTAGACCATAGGTACGTATGCCATACAGAAGCACAAATTCTTCCTTGTAGATAACTGAATAGCAATGGGTGATGATTCTTGTCCACACACAAGCAAATGAATACTGTTCTGGGAACACACAGACTTCTTGTGGAAAAACCAGTTCTGCCCCCACTTGCACATCCATTTCAACATTCCTGATCTATACATGATGTCCATTCTTTGGACTGGTTTGAACATCTCACCAGTTTCCTCATTAAGGAGTTAAAGAAAATCTTTTTTTTTTTTTTTTTTTTTTTTTTTTGAGTCTCGCTCTGTTGCCCAGGCTGGAGTGCAATGGTGCAATCTCAGTTCACTGCAACCTCTGCCTCCTGGGTTCAAGTGATTCCCCTGCCTCAGCCTCCTGAGCAGCTGGGAATACAGGCGCCCACCACCACACCCGGCTAATTTTGGTATCTTTAGTAGAGACAGCGTTTCACCAGGTTGGCCAGGCTGCTCTCGAACTCCTAACCTCAGGTGATCCGCCCACCTCGGCCTCCCAAAGTGTCGGAATTACAGGCGTGAACCACTGCACCTGGCCTAAATAAAATCTTTAATACATATTTATCTCTTGAAGATTCTGAACATCTGGCAACACTGGACCCGGCTTTCCACATTTCAACAAAACCTGGACGTGACTAGAGTCTCCACATGCTACAGGGGGCATGAGCTCTACAGTTTGCCAAGGACCATCCTTCAACTCCTGAAACTTTACTTATTTTAAGCACCTGCAATCCTTTAACATTTTTACATTGTTGGAGCTCAGAAAACCATATCCCAGAGCATGGTGTTTTGGCATAGCGAGTACTTTGAACTCAAAGACAGTGGAAACCCTCAGAAGCAGCCTCAGAGCAAAGGTTCTCTGACCTCCTGCCCGTCTTTCTTCTCCCAAGGCAAGCCACAGAAACTCAATTCCTCTTTCCCAAGATGGGTCAGGGAAACTCAAACCCCTCTCCCCTAAAGCCAGCCACAAAACCTAGACATATTACTCCAGCCTTCCTTTATTTCTGCTTAAGAGTTGGCCATAAAGAAATTCTCAGTCGGGCATGGTGGCTCACACCTGTAATCCCAGCACTTTGGGAGGCTGAGGCGTGCAGATCACTTGGGTCCAGGTGTTCAAGACTAGCCTGGGCAACATGGTGAAACCGCGTGTCTACAAAAAAATACAAAAATTAGCTGGGTGTGCTGGTGTGTACTTGTAGTCCCAGCTACTCAGGAGGCTGAGGCAGGAGGACCACTTGAGCCTGGGAGGCGGAGGTTGCAGTGAGCCGAGATCACACCACTGCACTCCAGCCTGGGCACGGAATGAGACTCTGTCTCAAAAAAAAAAAAAAAAAGAAAGAAAAAAAGAAAAGAAAAGAAAAGAAAAAAAAAGCAATTATCTGAGCTACTTTGTCTGATAACAGGTGGTCATGCCCCCTTATTCCTGCCCTATACCTAGGAAGAAGGAGTGATATACAGGTAAGCCAAGAAGAATTTGGACAGGCCTTGCTGGATCCCCCCACCTAAGTCTAATAGATCACTCATACCATTTTGTTCAATCCTATTTCTACCTGGCTGTTGGTCATCAAACCTAAATATAAAAGTAGACAGCCTTCCCTCGGTCTTTATTTCTGAAAGCTCCCATGTCAACATAAAACTTTTTTTTTTTTGATGAAACTTTTTTTGATGAAGTCCTGTCGCCCAGGCTGGAGTGCAGTGGCTCGATCTTGGCTCACTGCAACCTCTGCCTCCCAGGTTCAATTGATTCTCTTGCCTCAGTCTCCCGAGTAGCTGGGAATACAGGCACCCCGCCACCATGCCTGGCTAATTTTGGAATTTTTTTGTAGACACGGGATTTCACCATGTTGGCCAAGCTGGTCTTGAACTGCTGACCTCAAATGATCCGCCCACCTCAGCCTTCCAAAATGCTGGGATTACAAGAGTAAGCCACTGTGCCCGGCCTGTAAAACTTTAATTAAATAAATCTGTTATGCTTTTCTCTTGTTAGCCTTTTTTTTTTGAGACAGGGTCTTGCTCTGTCAACCAGGCTGGAGTTCCGTGGCACCACCAGAGCTCACTGCAGCCTTGACCTCCCAGGCTCAAATGATCTTCGCAACCTCAGTCCTCAGAGAGTAGCTGGGATAACAGGCACACACACCACCGCTCCCAGCTAATTTATTTAGTTTTGTAGAGATAAGGTCTCACCATGTTGCCCAGGCTGGTCTCAAACTCCTGGGCTCAAGCAATCCTCCCAAAGTGCTGGGACTACAGGCATAAGCCACCATACCTGGTCTTAACCCGTCTTTTTGTTATAGGAGTGTTGGCCATGACCCTTTGGAGAGGTGAGGAAAGATGTAAGGTATAGATGTCCCACAACATCTAGATCAATGGTTTTCAAACTAGCATGTGTCAGAATCAGGTTTGTTGCAAATTGCAGGGCCCCGCCACACAGTTTCAGATCTAGTACGTCTGGAATGAGGCCCCAGAATTTGTCTTTGTAATAGATCTCCATCTGACATTGATGCTGATGGTCTGGAGACCACAACAGAAAGGATAAAGGCTAAGTGGGTAGGAAGTGGTTGAGGAGTTTAATGTAGTGGTTGGGTGTGCAGGCATTGTGATTAGAACTATGTTGTTTTCATCTAAGAAATAAGATAAGTGCCTATTTCATGGGGTTTTTTTTTTCCTTAATCTAAAAGAGATAATATATATATATATAAATATGTATCAGCTGGGTGTGGTGGTGCAAGTCCCTGTAGTCTCAGCTACTTGGGAGGCTCAGATAGGAAGATTGCTTGAGCCCAGGGGTTCAAGATCAGCCTGGGCAACATAATGACAACCATCTCTACAAAACCAAAAAATATTAAAAGGCCAGGCATGGTGGCTCACGCCTGTAATCCCAGCACTTTGGGAGGCCAAGGCAGATGGATTATATGAGGTCAGGAGTTCAAGATCAGCCTGGCCAACATGACAAAACCCCTTCTCTACTAAAAATACAAAAATTAGCTGGGCATGGTGGTGTGTGCCTGTAATCCCAGCTACTCAGGAGGCTGAGACCGGAGAATCGTGTGAACCCAGGAGGTGGAGGCTTCAGTGAGCTGAGATTGCACCACTGCACTCCAGCCTGCAAAAAAAAAAAAAAAAAAAATTAAAATTAAAAATAAATTACCCAGCCTCCGATATTTCTTTACAGCAACACAATGACAGACTAACACACAGCTTAAGCTGAAATACCAATCTTCTGTCCTTGGTACTCCTGGATTTCAGGCATTCAGGTTTGGATTGGAATCTACACTACTGGCTCTCCAGCTTTCAGGCCCTTCAACTACACCACTGGCTTTCCTGGGTCTCCAGCTTACACAAGCAGATCAGATGACTTTTCAGCTTATCTATCAATTTTTATTTTTTCTACAGACAGAGTCTAGCTCTGTTGCCCAGGCTGGAGTGCAGTGGCACAATCATAGGTCACTTGCAGCCTCCAACTCCTGGGTTCAAGTATCCTTCCACCTCAGCCTCCCACAGTGCTGGGATTACAATTACAGGCATAAGCCATCACCTCTGACCTATTTTTTTTTTTTTTGAGACAGGGTCTTGCTCTGTTGCCCAGGCTGGAGAGCAGTGGTACAATCACAGCCCACTGCAGCCTCAACTGCCTGGGCTCAAGTGATCCTCCCGCCTCAGCCTCCCTAATAGGTGGGACTACAGGCACACGCCACCATGCCCGGCCAATTTTTTTTTCTATTTTTTGTAAAGATGGGGTCTTACTATGTTGCCCAGACTGGTCTCGAACTCCTGGGTTCAAGCAATCCTCTTGCCTCGGCTTCCCAAAGTGCTGGGATTACAGGCATGAGCCACCACACTCGGCCTTTTCAGCTTCTATAATTTGGTGAGGCACTATCTAATAATAAATCTCTCTTCCTAGATATATATCCTGTTGGGTCTGTTTCTCTGGAGAACCCTAACCTAGGCCCTTAGAGGCTGTGATGAGAGAACATGGCTTTATCGTGAAAATAGCCCTTTTCTGTGCCTCATTTTCCAATCTTCTCCTACTGGGGCTCCTTCCTTCCATCTGCTCCTGCTTAAGTCTCTCCTTGGCATAGTTGCCAGAGTGACCTTTCAAAAACCACAATCTGCTCATGTCATTTCCCTGCCTAAAACATTTCACTGGCTCTGCACCTCCCTCCTTATGAAGACCCAACTCCTTGCCTTCATTAATTGAACCCTAACTTTGCTGAGGTGCCTGCCACTCCCCACCTGGCCATGCACCTCAGGGACACGCAGACTCCCTTCATCTCCAGCTCTGGATCTGACTGATTTATGGAGACCCTCACTTCCCCAGCAGGGATGGCTAAAAATTTGGAAGTTGAGTAGAGGGAGGGTACTTAGGAGTTTCCTTGCTGTTGGGAGACAGCCATAGAAAGCCACCCTCTCCCCAGCTGACATGAAGGAGGAAGTGCAGAGGCCTGACTGCTGCAGGCAGCCAACTGTGGCTGCTGCAGATGCTGTGGCCAGGAGGGTGGAGAGAGAGAAGGACCCTGGGTCCTCACTGATGTCACCACACGTGTAATTAACCAACCCTGCAGCCCACCTTACCAATGAACTTCCTGCTAAGTACGATAATAAATCTTATTTAAGATTTATTGCTCTCTTGCCTAGGCTGGAGTGCAGTGGTGCAATCACAGCTCACTGCAGCCTTGACTTCCTGGGCTCAAGTGATCCTCCTGCCTCAGCCTCCCTAGTAGGTGGGACTATAGGCACATGCCACCATGCCCAGCTAATTTTTTTCTTTTTTTTTTTTTTTTGAGACGGAGTCTCGCTCTGTCGCCCAGGCTGGAGTGCAGTGGCGGGATCTCGGCTCACTGCAAGCTCCGCCTCCCGGGTTCACGCCATTCTCCTGCCTCAGCCTCCCAAGTAGCTGGGACTACAGGCGCCTGCCACTACGCCCGGCTAATTTTTTGTATTTTTAGTAGAGACGGGGTTTCACCGTTTTAGCCGGGATGGTCTCGATCTCCTGACCTCGTGATCCGCCCGCCTCGGCCTCCCAAAGTGCTGGGATTACAGGCGTGAGCCACCGCGCCCGGCCCCAGCTAATTTTTTTCTATTGAATCTGGGTTTTATTATTTGGATCTCACATCTGCCTGGTTTCTCAGCAGCCACTTCTACCTCTCCCCTGACTCCTACTCTTGGTCCAGTCCTGAACAACTTTGTGAAGCTTTATTTTTCATCCCTCTCCTTGGAATAGCCTTCCAACACCCATCTACCTGGGAAACTCCTACTCATCCCTCAGAACCCCTGAGGTGCATGCCACCACACCTAGCTAATTTTTTGTGTTTTTAGTAGAGACAGGGTTTCACTGTGTTAGCCAGGATGGTCTCGATTTCCTAACCTCGTGATCTGCCTGCCTCGGCCTCCCAAAATGCTGGGATTACAGGCATGAGCCACCGCGCCTGGCCTATTTATTTATTTATTTACTTATTTATTTTTATTTTTTGAGATGGAGTCTGTCACCCAGGCTGGAGTGCAGTGTTGTGATCTCGGCTCACTGCAACCTCTGCCTCCCGGATTCAAGCGATTCTCCTGCCTCAGCCTCCTAAGTAGCTGGGATTACAGGTGCGCACCACCATGCCTGGCTAATTTTTGTATTTTTAGTAGAGACGGCATTTCACCATGTTGGTCAGGCTGGTCCCAAACTCCTGACCTCATGATCCACCTGACTTCACCTCCCAAAGTGCTAGGATTACAGGCATGAGCCACCACGCCTGGCTGACATTTATATTTTTTGAGACAGAATCTCACTCTGTCACCAGGGATGGAGTACAGTGACACAGACACAGCTCACTGCTGCCTCGACTTCCTGGGCTCCAGCTATCCTCCCACCTCAGCCTCTCAAGTAGCTGGGACCACAAGTGCTCACCACAATGCTCAGCTAATTTCTGTATTTTTTTGTAAAGATGGGGGGGTTTCACCATGTTGCCCAGGCTGGTCTTAAACGCCTGTGCTCAAGCAATCCTCCCCCATTGGCCTCCCAAAGTGCTGGGACTACAGGAGTAAGCCACCACACCCAGCCAACAACTTCTAATTTTAGTCCCCACTAAACACATGTCAGTCATCTGTCCCCAGCCTTCACTTCCAAGCTTTGTCAAAGGTAGTTTCTCCCAGACAGCTGGATTCAATGCAAATTACAAGCAACAGACTGGACTGCTAATTATACTGGCAAATCTTGCAAAAGAGGAAAGACTTCCCCGCTTAAATGGAAGTGATACTGGTAACTGTTAAGAGTCTGGCAGTTAGACCAGCTGATGAGTGCCATTTCTGAAGAAACTGATCTTACTAACATAGTCCTCAAACACTTTTTCATCATGAGATCTTGACCCTTACTATGTATCTGGCAACGTGCCAGGTGCTATGGTTATACAAAAAGACAGACTTCCTGCCATAATCTCATATTCTTTTGAGTAAGAGAGTAAATATGTACAAATATATAATTTCATATAGTAAAAAGTACTATGAAGGCAAAAATAAAGTAGGATAAAGGCAGTATGAATGGGATTCCAAATTTGGCTATAAAAATGTAATTTTCTAGAACGGATACTGTCTTTTTTTTTTTTTTTTTTTTGAGACAGTCTTGCTCTGTCACCCTGGCTGGAGTACAGTGGCACTATCCTGGCTCACTGCAGCCTCCACCTCCCTGGGCTCAGGTGATCCTCCCACCTCAGCCACGCCAGTAGCTGGGATTACAGGTGTGCATCACTACACACCACTAATCTTTGCATTTTTTGTAGAAACAGGGTTTCACCATGTTTTCTAGGTTGGTCTCGAACTCCTAGGCTCAAGTGATCCACTGGCCTTGGCCTCCCAATGTGCTGGGATTACATGCATGAGCCGCCGTGCCCAGCCCTGGAAAAGATACTCTCTAAACAACACCGAAAAAGAACACGCTCAGGGGAAGGAACTGGTTTCCCACACACTAAAGTGAGCCACCTGCAGCCATGATCATAGAATATGACTCCCATTGACCACAGCTGATTGGACCAGGGGTAGACACCTGACCCAGGCTAGGCCAATCAGATTCTCCCCTGCGAGTTTGTATGTGGAATATTGGTTATTTAATTGGTGATGTAGGAGAAGAGAGATGATTTACCTTCAGGGCTAGGGCAGCTGTTGGCCAACTGCAGAGATAAAGAGAAAGGCAGCCTGCAGAGGGAAAACAAGGGGAGCAGACACACAGAGGGGTGAATGTTAGAAACTGTGCCATCTCAGAGGGCCGAGTGGCTGCCTTTGGTCCCAACAGGTTTCTAGGTACAGATTCCATTCTTTTGTGAGGTCCAGTTGGAAGTCCTGCCCTTTAGATCTGTGAGAGTCCTAATTCTTCCAATAAATTCCTTTCATGGTTTCAGTTAGTCTGAGTGTGTTTCTATGCATTGCCACCAAGATCACTGTTTCTAAGGATGAAAATAATGGTGATAGTTACCTAACATTTATTAAATGCCATGTAATGTTCTAAGAACTTCATATATGTTGCCAGGCGTGGTGGCTCATGCCTGTAATCCCAGCCCTTTGGGAGGCCGAGGCAGGCGGATCACCTGAGGTCGGCAGTTTGAGACCAGCCTGATCCACATGGAGAAACCCCGTCTCTACTAAAAATACAAAATTAGCTGGCTATGGCGGCACATGGCACATGCCTGTAATCCCAGCTACTTGGGAGGCTGAGGCAGGAAAACCACTTGAACCCGGGAAGTGGAGGTTTCAGTGAGCCAAGATCACGCCATTGCATGCCAGCCTGGGCAACAAGAGTGAAACTACGTCTCAAAAAAAAAAAAAAAAAAGAACTTCGTATATGTTATCTATTCCAATCCTTACAACTCTTTGAGATGGGTACAATTCTTATTCCTATTTTACAAACAAGAAAATTGAGGTACAGAAAGTCACATGTGAATAAGGGGCAGAATGTTTCTGAATCTAGACAGCCTCTGTGCCCTTCACTGCTGCACTATACCCTCAAAACACTGGGGATGGGCTTGAGGTTATTTAAAATGTATGAAATTCCTTCAAACACTTTTACTTAGCCAGGTGTGGTGGCATGCACCTGTGATTCCAGCTACTCAAGAGGCTGAGATAGGAGGATCTCTTGAGCCCAGGAGTTAGAGCTACAGTGAAATATAATTGTGCCACTGCACTCCAGTCTGGGCAGGCAACAGAGCAACATCCTCTTAAAAAAAAAAAAAAAAGTCTTACTGATCCTGAGCAAAACCCTCAAACAGAAGACAGACGTCTGGAGCTGCTTTCAAGATAGCACAGCACACTTCACTTGAGGAAGTAGCAACAGCTTTATTAATTTCGCTTTTTTATTAATTTCTTGTTGAGACAGAGTGTCGCTCTGTTCCCCAGGCTGGAGTACAATGGTGTGATCTTGGCTCACTGCAACCTCCCGTTCTGTGGGGGTTCAAGTAATTCCTGTGCCTCAGCCACCCAAGTAGCTGGGATTATAGGTATGTACCACCACACCTGGCTAATTTTTGTACTTTTAGTAGAGATGGGGTTTCACCATGTTGGCCAGGCTGGTCTTGAACTCCCGGCCTCAAGTGATCTGCCTGCCTTGGCCTCCCAAAATGTTGGGATTCTAGGTGTGAGCCACCAGGCCCAGCTCTAATTTAGTATTTTTTAAAAACTGTGGTAAAATACAGAAAAATATAAAATTTACCATCTCAGTCATTTTTAAATATACAGTTCAGCGGCATTACGTATCTTTATAATGTTGTGCAATTATCACCACCATTGACCCCTGTAACTACATCTTGCAAAACTGAAACTCTATACCCTAAACAGTAACTTCCCATTTCTGCCTCCCCAAGTCTGACAACCACCATCTTATTTTCTGCCTGTATAATTTTGATTATTTTAAGTAATTCAAATAAGTAGAATCTTACAGTATCTATCCTTTTAACTTTATTTTATTCATTTTTTTTTTTTTAGACACAGGATCTTGCTCTGTTGCCCAGGTTAGAGTGCAGTAGTGCATTCATAGCTCACTGCAGCCTTAACGCCTCAGCTCAAGTGATCCTCCTACCTTAGTCTCCCAAGTAGCTGGGACTACAGGCATATGTCACCTCACCTGGCTAATTTTTAAATTTTTTGTAGAGACAGGATCTCACTATGTTGCCCAGGCTGGTCTCCAAACTCCTGGCCTTTGACAAGCCTACCACCTTTGCCTCACAAAGCATTAGGACGTATTTGTCCTTTTGTGACTGACATTTCATTTAGCATGAAGTCCTAGAGGTTCATCCATGTTGTAGATATACCAGAATCGACTTAGTATTTTGACCACTCACTTTGTTAAAAACACTCACTTGACCATGAGCCAAGAAGCTCCTTTTAACCATTCTTAATGTCTTAGAAACAGATGCTCTGACAACACTCAGTAGATCAGAGTTAAGCTTGGACTCTGGATCGGCACAGATCTGAGTTTAAATCTTGGTTTTGCCTCGTACTATAACCTCGGAAGTTTTAGTTAACTTTTCAGAACCTCGGTTTCCATATCTGTAACAGAAAAAAAAAATACTGCTTCTCTCATAGTGTTATAAAAAAAATTTACTGAGATGATGGACTAAGGCATTTACGAGCATTATCTGACACCTGGGAGAGGGTGAGGCTCATATAAGCGCACAATAAATTACAAGTATTATTATTGTCCCCTTCTGTGGTCAACCACCTGTTGTTTCTGCCATTACATCATCTTCTGGAGAAAGCTCCCTAGTTTTCCTTGAGAACAACTTTTCCTCCATTGCATATAATCCCTGTGAAACTACCTATTACTGGCCAAGGAATGGTAGCAGGACCTCAGATAGCCCAACAGATACTTGCTCCTCAGAATCTGAACCTTGAGCAGAGTCATCCAAAACTGAGGGGAAAACACGGAGAAATTAACAACAACAAAACGGCTGTAGTTCATGTGTCGCCATCAAAGAACTCAGACAAGATTGGCCATTAGCTCCTGTAGCTAGTTCCTGTCTTTTCCAAAACCTGTTTTTTTTTTGGCTTTTTGGTAGATGCTGTGGCTCTCTTATGGCCTCCAATAAACATAAGTGAGGCAGAGTTGGTTTCTATTGTTTGCAACCAACGAACTTAATGGATTCTGTATTAGAAAGAACTGGTATATTTCTTTAAGCAAAGACTAGGACTCTATGGGGCTCAACAAACTCTGTAATCGCCTTTCCACTCCCCTGGACAAAATAAATATATTGTCTACTGCTGAAACGCAAATTATCCCCAAACCAAGTAGCTTTAAACAATAAACGTTTACTATCTCACAGTTCATGTGTGTCTGACGTTCCGGAGCAGCTTCTCTGAGTGGTTCTGGCTTAGGGTCTCCCATAGAGGTCACAAGCGAGATCAGCTAGGATTGCGGTCATGTGAATGCTTGGCTGGAATTGAAGGACCAGCTTTCAAGATTGCACACTCCCATGGCTATTGGTGGGAGGCCTCGATCCCTTGTCATGTGGAGCACTCCATAAGGCTGCTTGAGTATTTTCATGACCTGGAAGCTGGCTTCCCCCAAAGTAAGCGATCAAAGAAAACAAGACAGAAGCCACGATGTATTTTATGACTTACCCTCAGAAGTCAAACTCTCATTTCTTCAATAGTGTAGTGGTTACACAAGTCAGGCCTATTCAATGTGGGAAGGAACCACACAAGGGTGTGAATAGAAGAAGGCAGGGATGGTTGGGGGCCAACTTAGAGGCTGGCTGCCATGCAGGGGAAGCCTAGAAGCCTGGTAGGGGTTCATGTACCCTGCCACCATCCTCCTTTCACTTGCTATTCCTCTTCACTGAAGACCCCAAGAAGCATATCTCATTTCAGAAACCAGCAGAGATGATGACTTATAAGTCATGGAGGAAGGACGAGGTGGATTTGAAGAGAAAGCCACAAAATAGGAAGGGTGAAGGTCTCCAGTCCAAGGACCAGGTCTGGAAGACTGGAAAAACGGAACAGATGACGTTTAGGGAAGGGAGACACAGGCTGCCCCAAGGTTCAAGAATAAAGGGTAGCATAAGACAAGAGTGCTTACCCTTGGCAGTGGAGTCACACTTCTCCTTTTACAACCCCAAAGAAAGTCTGGTGTCCAGTTCAGCCCTGCTTGTGTCACGTATCCTTTGCTGCTCTGAGTCCTTGGGGCCTGAGAACTGGGACCCATGAGTCCTGCTGCCCAGCTGCTACGGGCTGAATTCTGTCCCCCTAAATTCTTACGTTGAGAAACCCCTGGAACCTCAGAATGAGACTGTACTTGGAGATTGAGCATTTAAAGAGGTGATTAACTTAAATGAGGCTGGTTAAAGTTAAAATCCAGTCCAACTGGTGTTCTTAGAAGAGGAACGTTGGGCACATAATGAAACTTAGAGATGTGTGTGCATGGAGGGAAGACCGCACAAGGACACAGTGAGAAGACAGCTGTCTGCAAGCCAACAAAAGAGGCCTCTAGGAAAAACCAGGCCTGCTGACACCTTGATCTTGAACTTCTAGCCTCCAAATGTGAGAAAATAAATCTCTGTTGTTTAAACCACCTGGTTCTGTGGCATTTTGTTATGGGGGCCCTAGCAAACTGAAACCCAAGCCTTCTGCACTGTTCCGGGATGTTAACTTTTCTGTGAACTAACTCCAAACCTCTGCTGTGTAATGTGTGAGAAACCAGACCCGGAGAATGCCTTTCCAGAGTCCAGGAGGTTAGATGGGTTGGGCTTCCCCAGCCAATTGACAAAAACGTGCCTGTGGTGGATCACAAATGCACTTGTGTGCAGTCAGAGATTGTTTCCACTCTTAGTTCCTTCAGCAAACTTCCCGACGGGCCCCAGGCCTCCTTCTGGTCTCTGAAAGCTGTTTCTAAGCTCACAGGTTCTTAGGGCGATCTCCACTGCCCGAAACATCCTCTCCCTAGCTGGAAACCACCTTCTGGATCCGTTCCCGTACTTCCTTTGGTCCCAAGGCCAACATCATCTCAGCTACAGGAGGTCCTTGCTAAGAACAAAAAGAGCAAATATTGCCTTACTACCTTAAACAGCCTAAAGAACTGAAGCTCAGCCTTAGTCTGCAGAAATTATTCCCAGGCCAGCCCCCACACTGCTGCCTGTGTTCTGAGGATCAGTGCTTGTGTTATTTCCCTGGAAAAGGATGGGTCCTAAGAGCCTGTTTCTCCTCCAACCACCGCCCTTTTTTTTTTTTTTTTTTGAGATAGAGTCTCACTCTATCACCCAGGCTGGAATACAACGGTGCGATCTTGGCTCACTGCAACCTCTGCCTCCCAGGTTCAGGCAATTCTCGTGCCTCACCCTCCCAAGTAGCTGGGATTACAGGCGCACCACCACCCCCAGCTAATTTTTGTATTTTTAGTAGAGACAAGGTTTCACCATGTTGCCCAGGCTGGTCTCAAACTCCTGACCTCAGGTGATCCACCTGCCTAGGCCTCCCAAAGTGCTGGGAATACAGGTGTGAGCCACCGTGCCTGGCCTGATTTTCCCATATTAAGTAAGCTGTTGCTAGGTCTGTTATCCCCAATAAACTGCAAACCCCATGGAGGCAGAGATTATGTATGTGTGTTTAATTCTATATTGTATTCACTGTACCTAACACAATGCTTGCACATAGTAGGTACTCAATAGTGTCTGTTGATTGACTAAATGAGGGGAGTGATCATGTTTCATTCACCTTTGTATACTCAATATTGAGCTCAGTGCCTGCCAGGAAATGTAAGTTCAAAGGATCAATGAGGGGCTCCAGGGAACAATCCAACCCGTGTCCCTGCCTCACCTGCTGTCCACTGAGGGCCATCCGAAGGAGTTTCATCACATTACTGTACTTGGTGCCTTCCAGACCTTCTGATAGCTTCTTCAGTTCTCCATTCAGCATATCCTGAGTTAAGCTCATACTAGATCTTTCTAGAAGCCTAGAAGAAGAGGGCCAGTTTACAGGGCCTGCATGGGCCAATGGCAAGTGGGTGGGAGGAAGGGCTTCAGAAGGTTATTGATCAGCTACAGTACGAGCAGCACAACCAATGTTCAAGCCTGTTTTGAGGGAGGTGAGGAAGATATTGACCACTTTCTCCCTTATCCAGGTCGGGAAGGAAAAACCACCAAGGGACCACACACAGAGAAGCCAGTGGTCACAATGCAGGGAGGTAAGAGGTGCCATAAGAGGCTTTACTCATTGCTACCTCTGTGTCATGCAATCTTTATGCCTCAGTTTTCTCATTTGTAAAGTGGGGAGAATAATAGTATCTGAGGCTGGCGCAGTGGCTCACACCTGTAATCCCAGCACTTTGGGAGGCCAAGGCAGGCAGATCACTTGAGGTCAGGTGTTCGAGACCAACCTGGCCAACATGGTAAAACCCCATCTCTACTAAAAATACAAAAATATTAGCCAGGGATGGTGGCGGGTGCCTGTAGTCCCAGCTACTCAGGAGGCTGAGGCAGAAGAATTGCTTGAACCTGGGAGGAGGAGGTTGCAGTGAGCCGAGATTGCACCATTGCACTCCAGCCTGGGTGACAGAGCGAGACTTTGTTTCAAAATAAAAAAAAAAAAATAATAGTATCTGTCCTGCACAAGGCTATCGTAGAGAGTTAAAACTTATAAAGCACCAAGTGCCTGAACACATGATAAATACTCAGAAATATTACCTTTTTTTTTTTTTTTTTTTGGAGATGGAGTCTCGCTCTGTTGCCCAGGCTGGAGTGCAATGGCACGATCTCAGCTCACTGCAACCTCCACGTTCCAGGTTCAAGCGATTCTCCTGCCTTAGCCTCCTGAGTAGCTGGGATTACAGGCACGTGCCACCACGCCCAGCTAATTTTGTATTTTTAGTAGAGACAGGGTTTTACCATGTTGATCAGGCCGGTCTCAAACACCTGACCTCAGGTGATCCACTCACCTTGGCCTCCCAAAGTGCTGGGATTATAGGCAGGATTATAGGCGTGAGCCACCATGCCCGGCCAAGTATTACATTTCGTATTTGAATTTAAAATTTTTAAAAATTAGTTAAGTACAATCAAGAGCTTTGAGACATTACAAAAGGATCTAAAAAGAAACAGTTCTGCTTGCAGGCACAACAAAAAAGAAACTTAGGAATAGATTTGACATAGAATGGATAATTTCTGGGAAATTATCTGAAATACAGCTTTAAGATTGGTAGAGAGAGACTTCTTTGGAGACGTAGCCAAGAAGAGAAGAAATCAGAAGACCCCACCCAGCTCCAGCAATGGCTCTGCCACCAACTTGCTATGGCCATTCTTCCACAAATTGAAGCCTCTAGGATTCCAGCGGGCCAGCAACCAACCCCCACATCCTGGCAGTCCAGCTGAGCAAGATGCTCTGCCCAAAAGCTTTTGTTTCAGGAGAAATTCTCCATTCAGTTAGAGGTGGACTTAACAAAAATTTGCCTCGGCCCTGATTGAGTTAGTCAAGAGATGGGAATAGGCTGGGGATGAGTATATTTCACTGCAACTTTCCAGTTCCTCTCAGTTTTTAAAAATAATTAATTATTTTTTTTTTAAGACAGGATCTTGCTCTGTCACCTAGGCTGGAATGCAGTGGTGCAATCACAGCTCACTGCAGCCTCAAACTCCTGGGCTCAAACGATCCTCCCACCTCAGCTGCCTGAGCAGCTTGGACCACAGGCACCCACCACGATGCCTGGCTAATTTTATTTTTACCTTTTGTAGAGATGGGGTCAAGCTATGTTGCCCAGGCTGGTCTCAAACTCCTGGCTTCAAGTGATCCTCCCCATTCACCCTCCCAGAATACTGGGATTACAGGTACAAGCCACAGTGTCCAGCCTCCCTTCAGTTATTACTGGAGATTCCAACATGGAAACACTGAAGAGGAACTGGGGCTGGACATCTTTCTGGTGCAGATGGTCTGTGATGTCAGTTCTGACCCTGCCTGCTCAAACATGGTCCAGGCAACTGCATTCCAAAGTCAACTCAGTATGGACCACTACTGTCTCAGGGAACTGGGTTCATAAGTGATTTGAAGAAGCAGCCTTTCAGTGCAGACAGATCTCCTTACTAACTGTCAGCACTGAAGCAGATGAGTTTCAATTTCAGACAAGAGTGATCGTTCTTTTTTTTTTTTTTTTTTTTTGAGACAGAGTCTTGCTCTGTCGCCCAGGCTGGAGTCCAGTGGTGCAACCTCAGCTCACTGCAAGCTCCGCCTCCCGGATTCACGCCATTCTCCTGCCTCAGCCTTCCGAGTAGCTGGGACTACAGGCGCCCACCACCACACCCGGCTAAATTTTTGTATTTTTAGTAGAGACGGGGTTTCACCGTGTTAGCCAGGATGGTCTTGATCTCCTGACCTCGTGATCGGCCCGCCTGGGCCTCACAAAGTGCTGGGATTACAGGCGTGAGTCACCGCGCCCAGCAAAGGATGATCGTTCTTACTGCATCATCTCTATGTTCGGAATGTTTGTGTTCCCCTAAATTCATATGTTGAAATTTTAACCCCCAAGGGGACAGTATTCACAGGTGTGGGCTTTGGGAGGTGAACAGGTCATGCAGGCCGAGCCCTTATGCACAGATGAGTGCCTTTATAAAAGACACCCCAGAGAGTCCCTCGTCCCTCCACCACGTGAGGATGCAGCGAAGGGCTGGAAAAGGGAAGGGCCCAGGAACAAGGCTCTCACCAGACACTGAATCGGCGGCACCTTGACCCTGGAGTTCTAGCCTCTAGATCTGTGAGAAATAAATGTCTGTTGTTGAAGCCACCAGTCTATGTTATTTTGCTATAGCAACCCCATGGACTGAGACAATTATTAACTGGGTCACATGAGTACTGCTATTTACAAAAATCAGGAGATGAAATACTGAAGACAAAAAATATAATGTGGGAAAAAAGCAGACACTCTCCCCAATGGCACTGCAGGGAAGCAGGCTGCCGAGGAGCTGATGAAACAATGACAGGCCCCAGGCCGGGAACAATGGCAGTTCCAGACCTGCTAGAGCTGGCCCAGAGTTAAGAACCATGGCATAGGCACAGAAAGGATTTCTAGTGATCTGGCAGCTCCTGAACATTTGGGTATCAGCTTTCCTGACTCGAGAGGGAGTCCCAGAGCAAATCTAAAACCCAACCTCATGGTGGAGACAGGCAGTTACGACACTGAATCCTGGTGAATTAGAACTAATAGGCCCTGGCCAGGCACTATGGCTCACGCCTGTAATCCCAGCACTCTGTGAGGCTGAGGTGTGAAGATTGCTTGAGCCTAGGAGTTTGAGACCAGCCTGGGCAACATGGCAAGACCTTGTCTCTACAAAAAATAAAAAAATTAGTTGGGCGTGGTGGCTTGTGCCTGTAGTCCCAGTTTCTAAAGAGGCTGAGGTGGGAGGATGAGCCCTGAGCTGCTTCCTGCAGATTGCTACATAATGGAGAAATGTACTTCCACAAAGGACATGCGCTGTCATTTCTTTTGTCTGGTAGAGAGTCTTGCCCTCTAGTTACCTGATACACAGCCTCTGCAGGAAAAGTGGTCAGCATCGGCGAGTAGGGGCAGAAGGGGAAAGGCAGAGAGCGAAAGCGAATCTTGGTAATGGAGTACCGACTCCTGCATTAAGCTGTGCCTCAAGCAGCCCTTCTTCTAGCATCTACAGTTACATAAGCAATTATTCCCCTCTTGCCTAAGCCAGCTTTGGTTGCGTTTGTAATTGAAAGTTATTACTGTTACAGTAAGAATTAGCATCATCTCTCTCTCACTGAGAAGGAAAAGGAAGCTCAAATAGGTACAGTAACTTGGCCAAAGTGAAGCCGCCTGAGCAAGGTGACATAATCTGGTGAGTACACGGCAGAGCTGGGATGCAACCAGGTTGGTGCAAGCAGTGAACACATGCCTATGTCCAGAGAAAGCCCGGGTTCTCCGGGTAAGCCCTCCTCACCAGCGAAAGCCAGTGAAGGGTCACTTCTTCACTGGCCATGGAGTTGTGCTGGGGCCCCAACAGCCCAGCCCTGAAGGAAAGAGAGCCATGGGACAGAGAGAGGGAAGGAGGGTGTGGAACCCTGAGCTCAGCCTGCGGGTACTCACCCCAGCACACGCTTGGCAATCACATCCACCTTCTCCGAGATGGCGTCCAGCTGTGCTCGACCTACTGCAGGGCGAGTCCACAGGTAAGAGTATACTGGGGACACCAAGTCCTGCAGGCGGCAAATGTGACCCTGGGGAAGGAGGCAGTCATTGAATGCACTAGGGACAGGGCTCTGGAAGGCAGGAGGAATTGAGGCACCCAGTAACCCCTCCCTCAGCTTCCCAGAATCCTGACACCACACCTGTCTCAGCAGGAGGATCCTCTCCACGTAGACTGGGTTGAGGACATCCCTGTTTTGCAGCTGGCAACCAAAGGCCTCCTCCACAAGGACCTGCAGCTTCCCCACCAGCTGGCGCCTCTGGCTCTCATTGCTCACCAGCCGCTGGAGGTGCAGTCTGCGGAAGAAATCAAGGGGCTGCCCTGCTGTCAACACCCCAACCCACCCAAACCGTCTCTCCCCCAGGGAAAGGGTGAAGTTGGAAGAATGACATATCAGGTCCCATGAGCCCTCCCTTTCGCAAGCTAGAAGAATCTCTTCACGTTTATAAAAAGAAAGGGATGTGACTAAGGTCACAAACAGCCTGAAAGTCCCAAGCAACTCGGAGACGTGCTTTCTTTTCAGGGGTTTGGTTTTTGTTTTTGTTTGAGAGTCTTGCTCTGTTGCCCAGGTTGGAGTGCAGTACCACGATCATGGCTCACTACAGCCTAGACCTCCTAGGCTCAAGCGATCCTCCCATCTCACCCTCCCAAGTAGCTGGGCCCACAGACACACATCACCATGCCCAGCTAATTTTTTAGTTTTTTGTAGAGACAGGGTCTTGCTATGTTGTCCAGGCTAGGCAACAACAAGCAATCCACCCAGCTGGGCTCCCAAAGTGCCAGGATTACAGGTGTGGGCCACCATGCCCAGCCACGCTTTCAGTGTTTTCAAAATAGTAGCTGACCTTTTATTTTTATTTATTTATTTTTGAGACGGAGCCTCACTGTGTCACCCAGGCTGGAGTGCAGTGGTGCGACCTCCGCTCACTGCAACCTCCGCTTCCCAGGTCACCTGCCACTCAGTCCTGCTGGACCTGGAGAAGCTTTTGGCCAGGTGCAGTGGCTCACTTAATCCCAGAACTTTAGGAGGCCAAGAAGGGAGGATCACTTGAGGCCAGGAGTTTAAGACCAACCTAGCAACATGGTAAGATGCCATCTCTACAAAAAAAATTTAAAGTAACAAAATTAGCCTGGCATGGTGGTACACACCTATAGACTCAGCTGGTCTGGAGGCTGAGGGGGAAGGATCACTTCAGCCTGGGAGTCTGAGGCTGCAGTGAACCGAGATGTCACCACTGCACTCCAGCCTGGGTGACAGGGCGAGACCCAGCCACTAAAATATATAGAAAGAGGCATTTTTTTTTTTTGAGATGGAGTTTCACTCTTGTTGCCCAGGCTGGAGTGCAATGGTGTGATTTCGGCTCACTGCAACCTCCACCTCCCAGGTTTAAGTGATTCTCCTGTCTCAGCCTCCTGAGTAGCTGAGACTACAGGCGCCCGCCACGTCGGGCTGATTTTTTTTTTTTTTTCTATTTTTAGTAGAAATGTGGTTTCACCATGTTGGCCAGGCTGATCTCGACTCCTGACTCAGGAGATCCACCTGCCTCAGCCTCCCAAAATGCTGCGACTACAGGCATGAGCCACCGCGCCCAGCCTACATCCACTCTTGAATGCCCCATTCAAAAGATGCCCACTGTTTACTGTGTGAACTTTGGCTAGTTTCTTTCTTTTTTTTTTGAGACGGAGTCTTGTTCTGTCACCCAGGCTGGAGTGCAGTGGAGCGATCTCGGCTCACTGCAAGCTCCGCCTCCTGGGTTCACACCATTCTTCTGCCTCAGCCTCCTGAGTAGCTGGGACTACAGGTGCCCGCCACCACACCCGGCTAAGTTTTTTGTATTTTTAGTAGAGACGGGGTTTCACTGTGTTCGCCAGGATGGTCTCGATCTCCTGACCTTGTGATCTGCCTGCCTCGGCCTCCTAAAGTGCTGGGATTACAGGTGTGAGCCACCATGCCTGGCCACTTTGGCTAGTTTCTTAACCTCTCTATGTCCTGGGTTCCTCATACGTGAAACAGGGCAAAATCATACAACTGACCTCATAGGTCTGATGGGAGAAGTAAATAAAGTAATAGCCCTAAAATATCTGCAACTGATGTTAATTCTCTGGGCTCATGCAAGTAAATGCACTGATACTGTGTCCCCAAACCAGTGCTCTAGGCAAAGTATCAGGAAGACCCTCACCCCAGGTGCACACCTGGCTGATGGTCTTGCAAACCACTAATAACTTTTTTTAAAGACAGAGTATCACTTTGTTGCCCAGGTTGGAGTGCAGTGGTGTGATCCTGTCTCACTGCAACCTCTGCCTCCCAGGTTCAAGTGATCCTCGTGCCTCAGCCTCCCAAGTAGCCGGGACTACAAGCATGTGCCATGTCCAGCTAATTTTTGTATTTTTAGTAGAGACAGGGTTTCACCATGTTGGCCAGGCTGGTCTCGAACTCCTGACCTCAGGTGATCTGCCAACCTTGGCCTCTCAAAGTGCTAGAATTAAAGGTGTGAGCCGCCACACCCAGCCGACACTAATACCCTTTGACTCAGACATGTTAACTATGATCTGAGTTGGAACGATATTTGGAGGTTTCCAAGTGAAGAGCTACTTGCAATATCAAATACATGAAATATAAAGTAGATGCCATGAGACAGTGCTCACTCACTGTGTTGGCTGGATGTAAGGCTGAGGGTGGGGAGGGAGTCTAAAATGAAGATACACCTCTCCAGGCTTTGGTTGTTAACAGAGTCCATGCAAGGGGTGGCTAGGAACATAATGTTAATGATAAAAATATACGTACCATTTACTGAGCACTTTGTATGTGCCAGGGCTATACAAGATATTTTCATGCAACACTTAATACAAGATACTTTCATAGAACAAGGATATAAGATCAGTACTGTTATTAATCCCATTTTAGAGAAGAGAAAACAGAGGCTCAAAGAGGCTAGGTGATTTAGCCATGGTCACACAGAATTAGGTACCAGAGCCCATTATACCCTCTGCTGTAGGGATCATCATAAGCAAGAAAGCCCTTTGCCACCAGGGGATCTCCATGCTCCCCACTCACCTGTTGAATTCTGGGAGCTTCTCCAGGTCCAGCAGGGCTGAGTGACAGGTGACCTGTGTCAGGTTGAACTGTGTGATCAGCTCCGGCAGGGTCCTGCCCATTTGGTTCTCTGCAAAGAAGAGAGGCCCAGCCACTCAGCTTCCTCTCTCCCTTCCTCCTTCCACTTTATCTCTTTTTTTTAAGAGACAGGATCTTGCTCTGCTGCCCAGGTTGGAGTGCAATGGTACAATCCTAGCTCACTGTAACCTCAAACTCCCAGGCTCAAGCAATCCTCCAGCCTGTCTTCCAAGTAGCTGGGACTACAGGCACATACTACCGCACCTGGCTAATTTTTAAATTTTTCTGTAGAGCCAGGCATGGTGGCTTACACCTGTAATACCAGCATTTTGGGAGGCAGAGGTCGGCAGATCATGAGGTCAGGAGTTCGAGACTGGCCTGGCAAACATGGTGAAACCCATCTCTACTAAAAATACAAAAATTAGCCAGGTGTGGTGGCGCATGCCTGTAATCCCAGCTACTCAGGAAGCTGAGGCAGGAAAATCACTTGAACCTGAGAGGCGGAGATTGTAGTGAGCTAAGATTGTGCCGTTGCACTCCAGCCTGGGCAACAGAGCGAGACTCTATCAAATAAATACATCATACACACATACATACATACATTTTTCTGTAGACATGGAGTTTCACTATATTGCCCAGGTTGGTCTCAAACTCCCAGGCTTAAATGATCCTCCTGCACTGGCCTCCCAAAGTGCTGGGATTACAGACATGAGCCACTGTGCCCGCCCTCCTTCTACTTTCAAACATAAGGGAGGCTGAGTGAGCAAGCCCTGGGCCCCCCATTCCACTTTGCCCAAAGGGATTTAACTTCTAGCTATTTATATATCAAGAGCCTGAATGAGCTTTCATTTTCAGAAAGGGTTCCATCATTAAAGAAAAAAAGGTCTGAAAACAATCAGGCTAAACCCATCTCCATTACTCTCAAGACACGAGCTGCAGAACAGTACGCCCATTGCCTGGCTGTACCAGAGACTCTGAGTCAACTGGGTTTGGTTGGGGTCTGAGCATATTTTAGAAGCTTCCTAGCTGATTCCAAAGCACGATCAAGAGTTAAGAACCAGGCCAGGCACGGTGGCTCACGCCTGTAATCCCAGTACTTTGGGAGGCCAAGGCGGGTGGATCACCTGAGGTCAGGAGTTCGAGAACAGCCTGGACAACATGGTGAAACCCCATCTCTACTAAAAATACAAAAATTAGCCAAGCGTGGTGGCGGGTGCCTGTAATCCCAGGTACTCGGGAGGCTGAGGCAGGACAATCGCTTGAACCCAGGAGACGGAGGTTGCGGTGAGCCGAGATCGCGCCATTGCACTCCAGAATGGGGGACAAGAAGTTCTGTCTCAAAAAAAAAAAAAAAAAGTTAAGAACCGTAGTGCTGGGAGCTGCTTCTTGTGAGCAGCAGCTCAGTCCCATACGGTCAGCAGGCATCGTGATCAGGCATAGGCCTAAAGCGCTATATCCCTCACTAGGTGTGTGACTTTGGCAAGTTACTCAGCTTCTCTGAGCTTCACAATCCTCTTACAAACAGTGGAGATATGTATCTACCCCTTAATAGTATGTTGTGTTAAATGAAATGAGACCAGCAGGCAGGCTATTCTGGACACATTTTCAGAAATCCTTCAGGTCATCCTATTTGATGCTTGCTTCTTCAAGGTTTGGGTCTAAGTCTTGGACCATGGGTAAGTGCTCAGCTTGAAATAAACTAGATTCATCTGGCAGTAAAATGAAGAAGGAAAAAAAGAAACTAAATCCATATTAATTCTAGTCATACTGTTAGCATACATGCTTGTAATAATTGTCACAATCATAGGGTCTGTCATTTTTTGTGCTTACAGTGTGACAGGTGCTGGGCTGGGTACCTTACACTCCTGAGCTCAGTGAATCCTAACCCAATGAGGTAGACACTTATCCCCATTTTCCAGATATGCAACTGAGGCTCAGAGACTATAAGTCCCTTGAGGGCAGGGATCATGTCTATCTCACCCACTACTGTAGCCCCAGCACTTAATGTGGTGTCTGGCAAAATAAACATTTATTGAATAAAAGAATAAACTTGTCCAAGGTCACCTGGCTGGTAGGTGGCAAAGCTGGGACCAAAGAGCAGGACTGTCTGAGCCAAAGCCCTGCTCCTCCTGGCCATGCTCTCTGCTGCCAGGACTATTCAGGTGGGCACGTACCTGCAAAACCTGAGCCACAGTTGGTGATGATGTCCAACAAGGAATCGGGCAGGAAGCCATCAGCAGCAAAGTGCTCCAGGAAAACGTCCCCTTGCCTCTTGGAGAGCTTGCTGCCATCCCTGTTGAGGAGCAGGGGCAGGTGGGCGAAGTGGGGTGGCTGCCAGCCCAGGGCCTGGTAGAGGAGCAGGTGCTTGGCAGTGGAGACGAGCCACTCAGAGCCTCGCAGCACGTGGCTGATGCCCATGTGGTGGTCGTCCACCACGCAGGCCAGGTGGTATGTGGGGAAGCCGTCGCTCTTCATGATGACTGGGTCTCCCTCCACGCTGGCCACTTCATGCCTATTCCAGCCATAGACCAGGTCCTGGAAGGCTGGCACCACCTGCTCCAGGCGGAAGCGGATCGCAGGCTTGGGGTCCTTGGCCAGCTTCTGGGCCACCTGCTCCTGGCTCATGTTCCTGCACCGATTGTCATACCTGATGGGGAGCAGAGCAGCATGAGTACTGTTGATGGAAAGGTTGATGGACAGGAGTCCTACCTCTGTCATAGCTGTGTGACCTTAAGCAAGTCAGTTACTGCTGCAAGCTGCTTCCTCAGTCTATAACAGGGATGATGGTACAGTTGTGTGGAAAACTGAGATAACATGGTGTAGCAGACACTAATGTCTGCCTATCTACCAGCCATTCCACGCTTCTTCCTTGCTAACAAGAAAATAGCAAAATGCTTAGTCCGAGGGGTTGAATCCTGATTGGTATAGCCAATCTTGCAATCCTATTGCTCCATGCCAGTGACCAGTCCAGGCAGGAATGTAACCCCATCCTAGTCACTGGGATGCAAAGAAAAGCATGCCTGGGGAGTAAGAAAGGTTTAAGGTTCCGGGAAAGGTTTTTCTCTCCAAAGGACAAGAAGAGAAAGCCACAGGAGGAAAATCCCTTCTTAAAATTTCCCACTGCCCCACTTCTGTCCTCTTTGGATGTTGTCCTGTAAGGGGAGCATGCTTGGACCTGCGGCAGCTACTTGCAACTGCAGGAGGGAAGGCAATGAAGTCAGAGAGAAGCCAAAATAGAGCCCTGGTGTCTCTACACTGCTAGTCTCATCCTGGAGTCACCCACCTCCAGCCTTGTGCAGAATCAAAAGACAAATGTCTATGATTGATGCCCTGGCTACTGAAAGTGTGGTCTGTGGGCCCCTAGCATCAGCCTCTTGGGAGTCTGCCAGAAATGCAGACTCTTAGGCTCCACCCCAGACCTACTGAGTCAGAATCTGAACATTAACTAGGTCCCCAGGTGATCCATCTGTGAGTTAAAGTATCGTTTGTCCCTTCTAACAGGGTATTCCACTAACTGCACCCAAAAGCGTTCTGAGACACAGATGGAATGCTTGTAAGGTTAGTCTTTGCCACAGCTAAGTGTTCAATCAATCAATAAATGGTGCACAGGGCTGGACACAGTTGCTCACGTCTGTAATCCCAGTGTTTTGGGAGGTCAAGGTAGAAGGACAGCCTGACCTCAAGGGTTCAAGACCAGCGTGGGTAACATAGCAAAATCCTGTCTCTTATTTAAAAATTTAAAATACCAGCCTGGGCAACATAGTGAGACTCTGTCTCTACAAAACAAAACAAAACAAAATCAGCCAGGTGTGGTGGTGCATTCCTGTAGTCCCAGCTCTGTGGGAGGCCAAGGTGGAAGAATCACTGGAGCCCAGGAGGTTGAGGCTGCAGTAAACTATGATGGCACCACTGCACTCTAGCCTGGGTGACACAGCGAGACCCTGTCTCAAAAAAAAAACTTTTTTTTTCTTTTTTTTTTTTTTTTTTGAGATAGAGTCTCGCTGTGTCACCCAGGCTGGAGTGCAGTGTCGTGACCTTGACTCACTGCAACCTCCACCTCCAGGGTTCAAGCAATTCTCCTGCCTCAGCCTCCTGAGTAGCTAGGATTACAGGTGCCTGCCACCACAACCGGCTAATTTTTATATTTTTAGTAGAAATGGGGTTTCACCACGTTGGTCAGGCTGGTCTCGAACTCCTGATCTCGTGATCTACCCGCCTCGGCCTCCCATAGTGCTGGGATTACAGGTGTGAGCCACCGTGCCCGGCCAAAAAAGAAATTTTTACAAATGAGTCAGTTGCACATGAGTGAACAGGAGGGTGTTCAGCTGCAGAAGCAGGGCAGCATTATGTCTGAATCAAAGGAACTTGTTTCTTCAAGCTCTTCTGGCAGGAATTCTGACAGTGAGTTTGACAAAAAGTTAAAGAAGAAAAAGTAAGTTGCTCCAGAAAAACTTGTAAAGGAACAAAAGACTGGCAAAACTTTGGGAGCTCTGTCATCTTCCAAACAGAGCAGCGGCAGTAAACATAATAACATGTTTATTTTCTTTTTTAAATTTCATATAGAGATGGGGTTTCACCATGTTGCCCAGGCTGGTCTCGAACTCCTAGTCTCAAGTGATCCACCCTCCTCAGCCTCCCAAAGTGCTGTGATTAGATTACAGGCCACTGTACTCAGCTGATAACATGTTTCAGATTGGGAAAATGAGGTACCTTAGTGTTTGGGATGTTAAAGGGGAAGTGCTAATTGATGGTATTAGAGATTATTGGATGGATCTCAAAGGTTAAATAAAACCAGGAAGAAAAGGTATTTCTTTAAATCCACAGCAATGGGGCCAGCTGAAGAAACATTCATTCATTCATTCATTTACTGAGACAGGGGACAAGGTCTCACTCTCGTTGATCAGGCTGGAATGCAGTGGTGCAATCATGGCTCACTGCAGTCTTGACTTCCTGGGCTCATGTGATTCTCTCATCTCAGCCTCCCGAGCAGCTAGGACTACAGGTATGCACGACTATACCCAGCTAATTTTTTGTATTTTTAGTAGAGACAGGGTTTCTTTCTTTTCTTTTCTTTTTCTTTCTTTTTTTTTTTTTTTGAGTCAGGGTCTCACTCTGTCACCCAGGCTGGAGTACAGTAGAGTGATCACAGCTCACTGCAGCCTAGACATTCCCAAGGGTAAAGTGATTCTCCCACCTCAGCCTCCCAAGTAGCTGGGACTACAGGCGTGCACCACCATGCCTGGCTAATTTTTGTATTTTTTTTAGTAGAAATGGGGGCTCACCATGTTGCGAAGGCTGGGCTCTAGCAATCTGCCCACCTTGGCCTCCCAAAGTGCTGGGATTACAGGCATGAGCCACCGCACCTAGCTGGAACAGATATTCTAATCGATACATTGATGATGCAGTAAGAAAACTGTAAAGTCTGAGCCATACAAAACCTACACTATCCTAGTTGGGTTTTTTTGTTTTTTGTTTTGAGATGGAGTCTCGCTCTGTCACCCAGGCTGGAGTGCAGCGGCGTGATCTTGGCTCACTGTAGCCTCTGCCTCCCAGGCTCCCAAGTAGCTGGGATTACAGGTGCACGCCACCATGCCCAGCTAATTTCAGCAGAGATGGGGTTTCACCACGTTGGCCAAGCTGGTCTCGAATTCCTGACCTCAGGTGATCTGCCTACCTCAGCCTCCCAAAGTGCTGGGATTACAGGCGTGAGCCACCGTGCCTGGCTTCTAGTTGTATTAATCTGTCTTTTTACATTGGCTTCTGTTTTCTAAATGTTGTTCTCCAAGCTGTCATATGTTTGGATTACAGAACAACTTGTAAGATGAATACTTGTTTTAAATGTGCATTATTGAATATGTTCTGTCCAAGTGCGGTGGCTCACTCCTGTAATCCCAGCATTTCGGGAGGACAAGGCAGGAGAACTGCTTGAGCCCAGGAGTTCAAAACCAACCTGGGTAACGAGACCTTGTCTCTACTAGAAATTTAAGAAAAAAAAAGAATTAGCCGGGCATGGTGGGTACATGTGTGTAGTTCCACCCACTTGGGAGACTGAAGCAGGATTGCTTGAGCCCAGGAAGTCAAGGCTGTGGTGAGTCATGATTGCATCGCTCCAGCCTGGGTGACACAGCAAGACCCTGTCTGGAAAAAAAAGTCCTAAGGGAAGCTAACTGTCAGCTTTATTAAGAAGGATTGCTTTGTACCTACCACCTAATGTAAAATAAAACCAAGTAATACATTCTCAACAGTTATGGCCCCCCTCCTTTTTTTTTTTTTTTTTTTTTTGAGACAGGGTCTCATTCTGTCTCCCAGGCTGGAGTGCAGTGGCACAATCTCAGCTCACTGCAACCTCCATCTCCCTAGTTCAGCTGATTCTCCTGCCTCAGCCTCCTAAGTAGCTGAGATTATGGGCACACACCACCAAGCCCAGCTAATTTTTGTACTTTAATATAGATAGGGTTTCACCACGTTGCCCAGGCTGCAGTTGTGTCCTTTTTTTGCTCATAAGAGCTAGTACTGTTTAAGGCCCAAAGTAATAGTTTTTACAGATCTTTTAGTTTCAACTAAGCTTTTACAATAGAAAGGACTTGTATTGCATTGAGTTTATAAACTTTTGGTTTGTGAAATCCATACTTGATCTGTTCTTTTCCAACCAAATGTCTAGGCTTGACTTTTCCACCCCAATGACATTTCACTTTATTAAATATTAGCAGATATACTTTGATAACCAACACAGCTTGTATGAAAACTGAGCAAGTGTCCATCATGACCCATAGGGTTCTGGGTAGTTGTTACCTTACTGTTTAGTCCACAAAAAATAACGACTTAGATAAGCTGTCTGATTTGCTTTCGCTTATTAAACACGTTCACCATGAGATGATGTGTGTAACATCAGATACCGTTAAATTAGACTAGGATTTAATACAAATCCTGAAAGCTTAAAATAAATAAATAAATAAATGGCTGCAAGGATTCCACAACAGGGCATGACTATAATTTAACAAAAAAAAAAAATCTGTTGGCCAGGCATGGTGGCTCATGCCTATAATCCCAGCACTTTGGGAAGCTGAGGTGGGAAGATCGCTTGAGTTTCATACCAGCCTGGGCAAAATAGGGGAATTCCATCTCTACAAAAATTTAAAAACTAGCTGTGTGCCAGCCGGGCATGATGGCTCACACCTATAATCCCAGCACTTTGGGAGGCTGAGGTGGGTGGATCTCCTATGCTCAGGAGTTTGAGACCAGCCTAGGCAACACGGAGAAACCCCGTCTCTACCAAAAAATACAAAAAAAATTTGCCGGGCATGGCGGCACACACCTGTGGTTCCAGCTGTTTGGGAGGCTGAGATGAGAGGACTGCTTGAGCCCAGGAGGCAGAAGTTGCCTTGAGCCAATATCACACCACTGCACTCCAATCTGGGTGACAGAGTGAGACCCCATCTCAAAACAAAACAAAACATAACACTCTGTGTGTGGTGGTACATGGCTGTGGTCACAGCTACTTGAGAGGCTGAGGATGTAGGATTGCTTGAACCCAGGAGATTCAAGGCTGCAATGAGCTGTGATCATGCTACTGCACTCCAGCCTGGGTCACAGAATGAGATGAGAAAAAAAATATTCTGTCAAGAGACAAATACATTGTTTATAATAAAAAGGCAATGTCACCGTAAACGTCATGACCTTGGCCAAACAGCTGAGCCCTTGACCAAATAGTTCACTGGAACTGCAATGTAAATGTTACAATGCTATTGCAGATGGGAGTGTAAACAAGTAAAGGGCCAGCCACTTGGCAGTATCCATCAAAGCTACAACTCGACTCTGCAATTCCACCTCTAGGAAGGTATTCAGCAAACATACTGCACAAGTGCAAAATGACATATGTCAACATTAGTCATCACAGCTCTCTTCTTTTATAACCAAATATTAGAAATAACATAAAGGTTTGGGCTGAGCGCAGTGGCTCATGCCAGTAGTCCTAGCACTTTGGGAGGCCGAGGCAGGTGGATTGCCTGAGCTCGTCCTAGCACTTTGGGAGGCCGAGGCAGGTGGATTGCCTGAGCTCAAGAGTTCAAGACCAGCCTGGGTAACACGGTGAAACCCCGTCTCTACTAAAATATAAAAGAAAATTAAATTAGCCAAGTGTGGTGGCATGCACCTCTAGTCCCAGCTCCTCAGGAGGCTGAGACAGGAGAATTGCTTGTATCCAGGAAGTGGAGGTTGCAGTGAGCCAAGATCACACCACTGCACACCAGCCTGGGCAACAGAGCAAGACTCCGTCTCCAAAAAATAAATAAATAAATAAATAACATAAAGGTTTATTAAGGCCGAGTGTCGTAGCTCATGCCTGTAATCCCAGCACTTTGGGAGGCCACTTGAGGATCACTTGGGCAGATCACTTGAGGTCAGGAGTTTGAGACCAGCCTGACCAACATGGTGAAACCCCATCTCTACCAAAAAAATACAAAAATTAGCAGGGTGTGGTGGCGGGCACCTGTAATCCCAGCTACTCGGGAGGCTGAGGCCAGAGAATCACTTGAACCTGGGAGATGGAGATTGCAGTGAGCCAAGATCTTGCCACTGCACTCCAGCCTGGGGAATAGAGCAAGACTCCATTTCTAAAATAACACAACATAACATAAAACAAAACAAAACAAAACAAAAATAAATGTTTGTTAAGACGAAACTGATTAAGTAAATGAAGTTATATCCACAAATGGAATATTATGCATTATTATGGACTGATATCTGATCCTCAAGATGGTAAGCGGACATGGTAAATTGCACCACATAGCATGTACATAGTACATTGCATGCTACCATGTGAATAAGGAAAAAGAGAAAATAATATGTACTTATAGGTATATGTACTGAATGTCTCTGGAGGAGACATAAGAAAATTTTAACACTGGTTATCTCTGGAGAGCAGAATTGAGTGGCCAGAGTCAAGATTGGAAGAGAGTTCTTTCAATATATATCTTTGTGGATCTTCTTTTTTTTTTTTTTGAGACAGTCTCCCTCTGTCACCCAGGCTGGAGTACAATGGCACAATCTCAGCTCACTGCAACCTCCACCTTCTGGGTTCATGCGATTCTAGTGCCTCAACCTCCCAGGTAGCTAGGATTACAGGCGTGCACCACCAAGCTCAGCTAATTTTTTTTTTTTTTTGGAGATGGAGTCTTGCTCTGTTGCCCAGGCTGGAGTACAATGGCATGATCTCAGCTCACTGCAACCTTCGCCTCCCAGGTTCAAATTATTCTCCCGCCTCAGCCTCCCAAGTAGCTGGGATTATAGGCACCCGCCATCATGCCCAGCTAATTTTTGTATTTTTGTAGAGATGGGGTTTCACCATATTGGCCAGGCTGGTCTTGAACTCCTGACCTCAGGTGATCTGCCCACCTCGGCTTCCCAACGTACGGGGATTACAGGCATGAGCCACCACTCCAGGCCTAATTTTTGTATTTTTAGTAAAGATGGGGTTTCACCATGTTGGCCAGGCTGGTCTCGAACTTCTGACCTCAAGTGATCTGCCCACCTCCGCCCTCCCAAAGTGCTGGAATTACAGACGTGAGCCACCATACTTGGCCCTTTGTGGACCTTTCATTTTTCTTTTTTTTTTTTTTTTTTTTTGAGACAGTGTCGCTCTATCGCCCAGGCTGGAGTGCAGTGGTGCAGTCTTGGCTCACTGCAACCTCCACTTCCTGGGTTCAAATGATTCTCCTGCCTCAGCCTCCCGAGCAGCTGGGACTACATGCGCACCACCACGCCCAGCTAATTTTTGTATTTTTAGCAGAGACGGGGTTTCACCACATTGGCCAGGCTGGTCCTGAACTCTTGACCTCGTGATCCACCCACCTCAGCCTCCCAAAGTGCTGGGATTACAGGCGTGAGCCACCACGTCCGGCCTGTGGACCTTGCTCATTAAAAATAACAAATAATTAAAATTACTTTACACATTACTTTCTGAGACCAAATCTTGGCTTCTAACATAGCCCCAGTCATTCTCGCCTTCTGGTGTTTCTGTCCTTGTGTAGTCCCCTCCCCTTGAGTGTGGGCTGGGCCTAGTGACTTTTGTCTAATGAACAAAAATAATGCCAAATATGCCTAATCTGAAATGCTCCAATGGTCCAGGTGCAGTGGTTCACGCCTGTAATCCCAGCACTTTGGGAGGCTGAGGTGGGAAGATTGTTCGAGTTCAGGAGTTTGAGAACAGCCTGGGCAACATGGCGAAACCCTCTCTCTATTAAAAACACAAAAATTAGCCAGGTGTGGTGGCATGTGCCTGTAGTCCCAGCTACACAGGAGGCTGAGGCACGAGAATCCCTTGAACCCGGGAGGTGGAGACTGCAGTAAGCTGAGATTGCACCACTGCACTCTAGCCTGGGTAGCAGAGCAAGACTCTGTCTCACCAAAAAAAAAAAAAAAAAAAAGTCAGGTGCAGTGGCTCACATCTATAATCCCAGCACTTTAGGAGGCCAAGGTGGGAGGATTGCTTGAGGCCAGGAGTTCAAGACCAGCCTGGGCAACATAGTGAGATCCCCATCTTTATGAAAAGTTTAAAAAAAAAAATTAGCCAGGAGTACAGTCCTAGTTACTTGGGAGGCTGAGATGGGGGCACTGCGTGAGTCCAGGAGTTGGAGGCTGCAGTGAGCCAACATCACACCATTGCACTCCAGCCTGGGTGACAAAGTAAGACCCTGACTCTATGAAAAAAAACAACAACAACAACAACAAAAAAAAAACCAAAAAACCTGATCTGGCTGGGCACGGTGGTTTACGCCTATAATCCTAACACTTTGGGAATCTGAGAAAGGTGGATCACCTGAGGTTGGCCTGGCCAACACAGTGACACCCGTCTCTACTAAAAATACAAAAATTAAATGGGTGTGGTGGCGGGCACCTGTAGTCCCAGCTACCCAGGAGGCTGAGGCAGGATAACTGCTTGAACCCAGGAGGCAGAGGTTGCAGTGAGCCAAGATTGCACCACTGCGCTCCAGCCTGGGCGACAGAGTGAGACTGTCTCAAAAAAAAAAAAAAAAAGCCACAACTGATCTGACATTTGAAACCTTTTGAGTGCTGACATGATGCCATAAGTGGAAAATACAACACCCAAACACATGTGACAGGCTACAGTCAAAATAGTCAAAACTTTGTTTCGTGCACAAAATTATTTAAAATATTGCATAAAATCACCTCCAGCCTATGTGTATAAGGCGTACATGAAACATAAATGAATCTCATGTTTAGACTTGGGTCCCACCCCCAAGATATCTCATTATATATATGCAGATATTTCAATATGCAAAAAATCTGAAATCCAAAACACTTCTGGTCCCAAGCGTTCCAGAGAAGGAATACATAGCCTATAAAACAAAAGTGGTGAGAAGTTGCTTCCACAACTAGGTAGACTCCAGCTCGTACGTGCTCACTCTCTCCTTGGCTGGCTTTGAGAAATGCTGGCTGCCACGCTGTAAGCTGCTCTATGGAGAGGCTCGCATGGCAAAGAACTGATGTCTCCAGGCAACAGCTAGCAAGGACCTGAGGTTGGCCAATAGCCTTCTGAGAGGAGATGGAAGTAGATCTTCCCCAAGCTAAGCTTTAAGAGAACTCCAGGACTGGCTAGGACCTGTAGTTGCTTGTGGCTTTGAGAGAATCCCTGAGCCAAAGAAACAGGTGAGGCCACGCTCAGATGCCTGACCCACAGAAACTGAGAGGTAATACATGTTTAGGGGAATTTCTTACGCAGCACAAGGTAACAAACACACCCAATGTTGATGAGGCATCTGCAACAAGCTGAGGTTCTTACCGGGGCGTCTGGTGGTTCCGCAAGGCCTCCTTCTTCAGGAGCTCCAGCCGCTGGGGTGAGCAGAAACAGGGGTAAGCAGCTCCGGTCTTCAGCAGCGCTTCTGTGGCCTGGGCATACAGCTCCAACCGCTGAGATTGCTGGTAGGGCCCAGCAGGACCGCCCCGGCGGGGGCTCTCATCAGGCGGGATGCCTGGAACACAGGGAATAATGACAGCTAAGGTGCACACAGCGCTCGTTCTCAGGCATTGCTCTAAGCACTTTATGCACATATTAAAGCTTTAATCCTCATAACAATCCATGAGGTTGGCATTAGTACAATGTCCTCCCCGCCGCCTTTTTTTTTGAGGCAGAGTCTTGCTCTGATGTCGCCAAGGCTGGAGTGCAGTGGTGCAATCTTAGCTCACTGCAACCTCCACCTCCCAAGTTCAAGCGGTTCTCCTGCCTCAGCCTCCCGAATAGCTGGGATTACAAGCATGTGCCACCTCACCCAGCTAATTTTTGTATTTTTAGTAGAGACAGCGTTTCACCATGTTGGCCAGGCTGGTCTTGAACTCCCGACCTCAGGTGATCCACCTGCCTCGGCCTCTCAAAGTGCTGGGATTACAGGCGTGAGCCACTGCACCCGGCCCAATGTCCCTTTTAGAGATGAAAAGTTAAAACACAGAGAGGTGAAGCACTCAAAGTCGCATGGGCTCATGGACTAAGGAGCAAACGGAGGTGTACGGGCTCCAAAGTCCACATCCCTAATTGTATGTCCTCTCAATCCCTGATGGGATTCCCTGGAGAGGGAGAAACAAGCCCAGGCCTGGGAACAGCTGACTTAGGAGAAAAAAGCATGGTTCAGAGAACAGCCCATCAGGCCCTGGTGGGACTCATGGCTCTGCCACTTAGTAGCTGTGACAAGGGATCCTGAGGTGCTACCAACGTGTGAGCACCAGGGTGCTGAGTGCCATAAAAGACACTTTTCCCTGAAGCCTCAAACCCACCCTACCAGGTAGGTGCGGTTATTCCCCCACTCTGTGAGGACACTGAGGCACAGAGATGCTTTGTCACCTGGCCGAGTAGAAGGGGCACGATCAGCTTCAAACCCAGACTAATGGGCACCGGAGCCGATATTCTTAACCACTCATTACACTGCTGTTTGTGTTACTTAGCCTTTCTTTTTCTAAGAGATGGGGTCTCACTCTATCACCCAGCTGGAGTGCAGTGGTGTGATCATAGCACACTGCAGCCTCGAACTTCCGGGCTCAAGCCACCCTCCTGCCTCAACCTCCCGAGTAGCTAGAACTACAGGTGCACATCACCACATCTGGCTATTTTTTTAGTAGAGAGCGAGTCTTGCTGTGTCACTCAGGCTAGGGTGCAGTAGTGCAATCATAGCTCACTACAGTCTCCAATTTCTAGGCTCAAGTGATCCTCCCACCTCAGCCTCTCGAGTAGCTGGGATTATAGGAATGTGCCACCATGCCCAGCTAGACTTAATCTTTCTAAGCCTCAGTTTCCTCTTTTGAAAAGTGGAGCTAGCAGCCTCCTGTGCAGAGGGAATTGTGAGAACAAATGTGTCAGTGCTTATAAGCACTTAGCCCAGTGGTGTATATTTAGGACAGTTTCAATATATGCTATAGAATAGATTAAATATGATCTACTGTAAGCCAAACCCCAAACCCAAAGTCCAATTCCCTCCGATTACATAGGATAAATTTCATTATGAATGCTTTCAGGAGAGGGCACAGGGACACAAGAACTGGAAGATGGTGTTTCTGCCCTCAAAGAGCTTTCAAAGGAATTGGGAAGATAAGGACATTGTTCACCTTGCTACCCTCAATGCTAACACAAACTGAGCTGAGTGGGCCTGGGTTCAAACGTACCAGCCAGCTCAGAGATCTTGGGCAAGTCATCTTTCTGGGCTCTGGGTTCTCATCTGTCAAAGAAGGAAACAAGTAGTAACTTTCTCATGAGGATCATCATGAGACTAGAGTAAGATGATCTAAGTAAAGTACTCATCAAGTGGCCTGTGACCGGTGCTCTCTATGCTTTGGTATTTATGTATTTATTTATTTGAGACAGGGTCTCACTCTGTTGCCCAGGTTGGAGTGCAGTGGCACGTTCTCGGCTAATTGAAGCCTCAACCTCTCAGGCTCAAGTGATCCTCCCACCTCAGCCTCCCAAGTAGCTGAGACTACAGGTACATGCCACCAGGCCTGGCTAACTTTTTTTAAGTTTTCTATAGAGACAAGGTCTGCCTATGTTGCCCAGGCTGGTCTCAAACTCCTGGGCTCAAGTGATCCTCTTGCCTCGGCTTCCCAGTGTTGGGATTATAGGCGTGAGCCATGGCACCCAGCCATCTGTGATTATCAGTGTTACTTGGCTCCCTCTCATGGGACCTCCATTTCTTCATTTGTCAGAAAGGAGGGCTAAATCGGGTAAATTTGGGGGGATCCCTTCCTGATCTAATGCTAAACAAGTCTCTTTAATGTGGTATCTTGGAATGCCCCAGGGTTTAAGAGGGACTCCCCTAGGAGAACTGAAAACATGTTAACTTAAACTCTGGCATGTAAATGTTCATAGAGTTTTATTGGACAGCCAAAAACCAGAGTAACTAAAATGCTCATTCACTAGTGATGAATAAACAAAATGTGGTATAACCATATGATGAATATTATTTGGCTATAAAAAGGAATGAAGCATGATAGCCCACAGATGCGCTTATGGTAAGTGAAGGAAGCCAGTCACAGAAGGCCATATATTATATGATCTCATTCATATGAAACGTCCAGAAGAGGCAAATCCATGGAGGCAGAAAGAGATCAGTAGTTGCCAGGTGGTAGGAGAGGGTAGAATGGAAAACAACTGCTAATAAGGAAGAGTTTCTTTTAGGGGTGATGGAAATGTTCTGGAATTAGTGGTGACGGTTGCGCAACACAGTAAATATATTGAAAACCACTGAATTGTACACTTTGATATGGTAAATTTCATATCATGTGAATTATATGTCATTTTTTTTTCCCCGAAGACAGAGTCTAGCTCTGTCACCCAGGCTGGAGTGCAGTGGCACGATCTCGGCTCACTGCAACCTCCACCTCCCGGTTCAAGCAATTCTCCTGCCTCAGCCTCCTGAGTAGCTGGGATTACAAGCATGTGCCACCACGCCCAACTAATTTTTGTATTTTTATTAGAGACAGGGTTTCAACATGTTGGCCAGGCTGGTCTGGAACTCCTGACTTTGTGATCCGCCTGCCCAGACAAGAGCCACCCCATGTGAGAGCCACCACGCCTTGCTTATATGTCATTATTTTTAAAAGGCTGGGCATGCTGGGTCATGCCTGTAATCCCAGCACTTTGGGAGGCCGAGGTAGGTGGATCATTTGAGCTCAGGAGTTCGAAACCAGCCTGGGCAACATGGTGAAACACCGCCTCTAAAAAAATAATAATAATAGCCAGGCGCGGTGGCTCACGTCTGTAATCCCAGCACTTTGGGAGGCTGAGGCGGGCAGATCACGAGGTCAGGAGATCAAGACCATCCTGGCTAACACAGTGAAACCCCGTCTCTACTAAAAATACAAAAACAAAATTAGCTGGGCTTGGTGGCAGACACTTGTAGTTCCAGCTACTCGGGAGGCTGAGGCGGGAGAATGGCATGAACCCGGGAGGTGGAGCTTGCAGTGAGCCGAGATCGCACCACTGCACTCCAGCCTGGGCGACAGAGCGAGACTCCATCTCAATAAATAAATAAATAAATAAATAAATAAATAAATAAATAAAATGAAAAAAATTAAAAAAGAAAGAATGACTCCCAAAGTAAGGTGCTCCAGAAGTCAGCCACCATGAGGTGCCTGAATACCTGCCCTCTGCCTCGCCAAAACACCAGGGTGGGGGACAAGCTCTGGGCTGCAAGCCTCATTCTCACAATGATGCTGCCCCAGGAATTCCACGAGGGTGGGACCCGCCACCATCACCGTTGTTCATCACTGTATCCCTCATGCCTGGCGTGGTACCTGATAAGTAGCAGATCCTCTGTGAAACTGAAGCCTTCATCTTGGTCTGTGAGGCACCATGTAATCTGGCTCCTGGAAAGCCTTTTTTTTTTGAGACAGGGTCTCACACTGTCGCTCCAGGCTGGAGTGTAATGGCATGACTGACAGGAGACAGACAAATTCCTAGGCAGTCAGGGACAGGTCCCTGGTGAAATCTGACTTCTAAGCCAAAGACAGCCTGAAAACCAAACTGTCAAGTCAGGATAGAGTCCATGACTGGAGTGAGAACTTGTTTCCCTGTCTCACCCACTCTCTCGATTGGTTCCTTCCGGATGATGTTTTAACCAACTGAATGGTCCTTTTTCCAAGACCACTCATGGACCAATCGGCAGGCATGCCCCCATTCTAAGCCCATAAAAATGATAGACTCAGCCTCACAGATGGCTACCACTTTCAGGGTCCCCTCTCGCAGTGGAGAGTTTCCCTTCTGTCATTCAATAAAATTCTTCTCTGCCTTACTCACTCTATGGTACCTGCACACCTCATTCCTCTTGGTTGCAGGACAAGAACCCAAAACTCGCCAAGCTGCGGGTGACGGGAATAAAAGAGCTGTAACACGCTCCCGCTCACCAGACTACAGGAGAAAGAGAGCTGTAACACGCTCCCACTCACCAAGCTACAGGAGTGAAGAGCTGAGACAGTGCTGGGGACTCAGATCTCAGGACTCCCCAAACAAGAGCTATAACACCCCTTGGAGCTCCACAACTGATGGTATTTCCCAAGTTTTTGGGTGCCACCATGTTCCCCTCATCTAGATGCCAGCACCCAACACAGAAGCCACTCGTGGCACACCCAGTCCAGCCATGGGCTGAGTGTGGAGCCATGGCAGGTGTGGGATCCAAGTGGGCATGAGCCAAGTGCAGCCTGCTGGGCCAAATGGGCCCAGAAGGCCCAAGCGAGGCCCCGACAGAGGTGAGGGCAGCTGCAGAGATTTCTGGCTGGCAAAGTGGCACTGAAGGAATTCTGTAACATGATCACAGCTCACTGCAGCCTCAACCTCAACTTCCCCAGGCTCAGGTGATGCTCCCACCTCAGCCTCCCAAGTAGCTGGGACTATAAGAGTGCACCACTACACCTGGGTAATTTTTTGTAGAGATGAGGTCTCACTATGTGGCCCAGGTTGGTCTTGGACTCCTGGGTCCAAGTGATCCTCTCTTCTTGGCCTCCCAAAGTGCTGGGATTCCAGGCGTGTACCCCTGTGCCCGACCTGGCAAGCCTTCTATCCTCACATCCCTGGTCATTCTGCTCACTATGGTTAGACCAAGCTGGTCTTTTTGATGCTCCTCAAATACATCTAGAACACTCCTGCTGTGGGGCCTCTGCATTGGCTATTCTTTTTGCTTTGAACATTCTTCCCCCAGGTCACCACGGGGCTGGCTCCTCACTTCATGCAGGTCTCTGCTCCAGCATCACCTCCTAAGAGAAAACTGCCCTATCTACAAGGGCATCCCTCGCCCTAGTTTCTAAGCCTGTTACTCTTTTCTCCATACTGGTTATTATCATTTAGTATCCTATGAAGAATGAATTAGGAGCCAGGAGCGATGGTTCATGACCGTGATGCCAGCACTTTGGGAGGCCGAGGCAGGAGAATTAACTTGAGGTCAGGGGTTCAACAGCAGCCTGGGCAACATAGCAAGACCCTACCTCTACAAAAACATAAGTTAATAAAATTAGCTGGGCATGGTGGCACACAGCTATGGTGCCAGCTACCCAGGAGGCTAAGGTGAGAGGATCCCTTGAGCTCAGGAATTTGAGATTACAGTGAGCTGTGTTTGAACCACTGCGCTCTAGCCTGGGCAACAGAGCAAGATTTTGTTTGTTAAAAAAAAAAAAAAAGAAATAATTAATCCACTCATCTGTCTTTTCCCTTGGCACTAAGCACATGGTCTTTTTTTTTTTTTTTTTTTTGAGACAGAGTCTCACTCTGTCACCCAGGCTGGAGTGCAGTGATGCAATCTCGGCTCACTGCAAGCTCCGCCTTCCGGGTTCACGCCATTCTCCTGCCTCAGCCTCCTGAGTAGCTGAGACTACAGGCACCCGCCACCACGCCTGGCTAATTTTTTGTATTTTTAGTAGAGATGGGGTTTCACTATGTTAGCCAGGATGGTCTCGATCTCCTGACCTCGTGATGCACCAGCCTCGGCCTCCCAAAGTTTTGGGATTACAGGCGTGAGCCACCACGCCCGGCCAACCATTTTATACTCTTTAGGAATCCAGAGTTTAGTGAGTAATTTACCTGAGATTAGAACACACATCTCAAAATAGTCTTGGGGTTTTTCTTTCTTTTTTTTTCAATCTCTAGACTAGCAGAGTCTTGGTATTTTTCCTTGGGAATCTCCCCTTTCCTAGTCACACCCGTCCATACAGGTAGACAACTGTCGACCCATGAAAAGGAAACACACTCCTCTTTGTTCTCCCTGACCTTAGCTGTCCTCAGGATAAAACTTCCCACAAGATCAACTTCAGAAGCTGTACGTGTTTTGTGTGGCTTATACAACATGGTTAAAAAAAATCTGAGCCCAGATTTAATAATGGTTAAGTATTCATCCAGAAAAACTGGATTTCTGGCTCCTCTTGCAACTCAGAGGATTGGACAAGCTGGGCCAGCATTCCCGCATGGGCACAAGGAGCTGGAGCTCAGAGGCACTCCCAACTCTGGATGAGGTGTGGTTTTCACAGCTCAGCACTGGCCCAGCTCCTCCAGTTCCCACTTGGCCCTGTGTTTCCTGCCTGGCCCCTGTAGGGAATGAACTTGAGATTCTGAGGTGAAAACAGGAATCTCAAAACAGCCTTGGCAGTGGCTCACACCTGTAATCCCAGCTCTTTGGGAGGCTGTAGCAGGAGGATTGCTTGAGCCCAGGAGTTTGAGAATAGCTTGGGCAACACAGTGAGATCTCATCTCTACAAAAAAATTAAAAATTAGCCAGGCGTGGTGGTGCGTGCCTGTAGTCCCAACTACTTGGGAGGCTAAGGTGGAGGATCACTTGAGCCCAGGTCGAGGCTACAGTAAGTTATGATTGTGCCATGGAACTCTAGCCTGGGTAACAAAATGAGACCCTGACTCTAAAAAATTAAAAAATAAAGAAACCAAGTTGGGCGCGGTGGCTCATGCCTATAATCCCAGCACTTTGGGAGGTCGAGGCAGGTGGATCACGAGGTCAGGAGGTCAAGATCATCCTTGCTAACACAGTGAAACCCCGTCTCTACTAAAAATACAAAAAAACTTAGCCGGGCGTGGTGGCGGGCGCCTGTAGTTCCAGCTACTTGGAGGCTGAGGCAGAAGAATGGCGTGAACCCGGAAGGCGGAGCTTGCAGTGAGCCGAGATCGCACCACTGCACTCCAGCCTGGGCAACAGAGCAAGACTCTGTCTCAAAAACAATAAATAAATAAAAATAAAGAAACCAGTCTTGGAGCTGTGTTTCAGAGAGCTTCGGCATTTTTTCAGGTGTCATCTGCCACCCCGGGCAGGGCAGTACAAATGTAGCCACTTCTCCAGGAACTCCCCATTTTCCACTCAGAACTCCATGAGAAGACCCACAGGCTCCTTTTCCTGCTTCCTGTTCCTTCCCTGCAGAAAGATCCTTTCTCTGCCAGGCTTACCTGCCCACTCCAGCATGTCCTCAATATTCTCCGCTGCCCCAGGCACAACGCGAGTCTGATCTGTGTCCTCTAGCCTCAGGATGAAGCTCCCCTGGTACTTCTTAGCAAAGATGTAGTTGTACAAGGCAGTGCGGAGGCCACCCAGGTGCAAGAAGCCTGGAGAAGAGAACAGCTCAGATAAGACAGGGAAGATAAGCTAATAGGCCTCAGCAAGGGGCAAGTAAGCACTACTGTGACAGAATGTTGCAATAAATTTAAAAGACCAGCAGGACACATTGGCTCACGCCTGTAATCCTACCACTTTGGGAGGCCAAGGCCGGGGGGATCACTTGAGCCCAGGAGGTTCCTGTAGGTTTTTTAAGACAAGAGTCTCACTCTGTCACCCAAGCTGGAGTGCAGTGGCACAGTCTTGGCTCACTGCAACCTCTGCCTCTTGTGTTTAAGCAATTCTCATGCCCAGCCTCCCGAGTAGCTGGGATTACAGGTGTGTGCCACCACGTCCAGCTACATGTTTGTATTTTTGGTAGAGACAGGCATTCGCCATGTTGGCAAGGCTGGTCTTGAACTCCTGGCCTCAAGTGATCCCCCCAGCCTCGGCCTCCCAAGTGCTGGGATCACAGGCAAGAGCCATCACACCTGGCCAATTTTTGTATTTTTAGTAAAGATAGGATTTTGCCATGGTGGTCAGGCTGATCTCGAACTCCTGACCTCAAGTGATCCATCTGCCTTGGCTTCCCAAAGTGCTGGGATTACAAGCGTGAGCCATTGTGCTTGGCCTGAGTTTGAGATCTGCCTGGGCAACATGGTGAGACCTTGTCTTAGCAAAAAATATAAAAATTTAGCTGGGCATGGTGGTACATGCCTGTGGTTTCAGTTACTGAGGTGGGAGGATCACCTGAGCCTGGGGACGCTGAGGCTGCAGCGAGCCATGATCACGCCTCTGCACTCCAGCCTGGGCAGCAGTAGAGTGAGACTCTGTCTCAAACAAAAAAAATTAAAAATTAAAAAATTTTTTTTCAAAGACTAAGAACTAGTTACCCCTGTGCCCTGTCTCCAGACACATTTAATCCCTCATCCTGAAAATGGAAACCACCCAGGATTTGGAGCATGTCATTTTATTAAAAGGCTCCAATTTTCCCCAACTGCATCCACCACTCTATTTTGATATTTGTCTCAAGGCCAAGTTTCGCCTGAAAGAGAAGCAGAGAGTTATTCATTGAGGCCATATCATGTACATTTAACTTACAGAAATTCAATGATGTGCGCTGGGAAAAAAATTAATTACAAACAAACTAGAAATTTAAAATACTGTACAATCATATTGTGGGCCAGGTGCAGTAGCTCACACCTCTAATCCCAGCACTTTTGGAGGCAGAGGCACGAGGATCACCTGGGTCTCTAAATTTGAGACCAGCCTGGGCAACATTGTGAGATCCTGTCTCTACAAAGAAAAAAAAAATCGGTGGGGCATGGTGGCTCACACCTTTAATCCCAGCACTTTGGGAGGCCGAGGCGGGTGGATCACAAAGTCAGGAGTTTGAGGCCAGCCTGGCCAACATGTTGAAACCCCGTCTCTACTAAAAATACCACAAAAAAAATTAGCTGGGCATGGTGGTGGGCGCCTGTAATCCCAGCTACTTGGGAGGTTGAGGCAGGAGAACTGCTTGAACCCAGGAGACAGAGGTTGCAGTGAGCCGAGATCGCACCATTGCACTCCAGCCTGGGCGACAGGGCGAGACTCCATCTCCAAAAAAAAAAAAAAAATCACATTTTGCATATGCAGTCTATGCAGTGTGCATGACTGTCCACGTCGTACATTTTAAATTTCATCTACTTGAGATTTTTACTTTTTTAAAGAAACAAAATTCATTTTTGAAATTTGAGATGGGGTCTCACTCTTGCCCAGGCTGAAGTCCAGTGGTACAGTCACGGCTCACTGCAGCCTCAACCACCCAGGCTCAATCAATCCTCCCACGTCAGCCTCCCAAGTAGCTGGAACTACAAGTGTACACCACCATGCCCGGCTAATATTTGTTTTTTGGTTTTTTTTTTGCAGAGGCAAGGTCTCACTATGTTGCCCAGGCTGGTCTCAAACTCCTGGGCTCAAGCAATCCTTACACTTCAGCCTCCCAAAGTGCTGGGATTACTGGCATGAGCCACCATGCCTTGCCAAGATTTTCACCCTAATTGCTGGCTTTAAACACTAACCAAAAGTAGTGTTTGATTCCACTGTATTTCTCTTCATCAGTTTAAACTCCTAAGATTTGCCTTTTTCATCATTCCTGTCTGAAAACTGAAAGTTAACAGCTTTTCCAGAGTTGTCATTACCTCTTACCGTACCTTCTTCGGACCAGCCCACAGCCCTAAGTCTCCACAATGAGCTCATCTACATTTACAAGTACAAGAGGCAGCAGAGGAGAGAAAAAGCTCTTCTGGGGCCAGGCCGACCCTGCTTCAACACTGATGTGTGTAACCTTCGGATAGTTACTGCAAGGACACCAGAAAACCAGTGGTATTCAGTGGCACTGAGTCCCACGAGTCCCCAAGACAAAAGAGGAACCCAGCTGCTGAAAACAAAGCCTCTTACATCAAGTACACCTGGATTCAAATTCTGCATCCACCATTTATTAGTTGCTACCCCTTGAGAAGGAACTCTACTTAACTTTTATGAGCTTCTATTTCCTCATCTGTCAGAGGGATTAAGAGCAAAAAAATAAGAACCTTCTTTATTATAGGGTTGCTCTGAGGTCTAAATGCTGACCAAAGTAAACCCTCAATTAATTTCAGCTACTGTAATGATCTGTGCCTGATAATTCTTTTATCTGTTTATAGTCAAAAGCCTTTCCCACATGGGCTTTCCCCGCAAATGAGCAAGGAAATGAGAAGTACAATCATCATAATAGAGGCTGTGTATTAAGTGCTTTCTGGGTGTACTAGACCTTACTAAGTGGTTCGGCTGCATGAGCTTAACCCCATAAGACAGATATTATTATTAGCCCCGTTTTGACAAATGGTGAAACTGAGGCTCAGATTCATTAAATAATTTGCACATCTAGGCCAGGTGTGATGGCTCACACCTATAATCCCAGCACTTTCGGAGGCCAAGGCAGGTGGATCACTTGAGCTCAGGAGTTCAAGATCCGCCCAGGCAACATGGCAAAACCCCATCTCTACAAGAAAATACAAAAATTAGCTGGGCGTAGTGGTCACACACTTGTAGTCCCAGCTACTCGGGAGGTTGAGGTGGGAGGATCACTTGAGCCCCGGAGGCTGAGGTTGCAGTGAGCCGAGATTGCACCACTGCACTCCAGCCTGGACGACAGACAGAGCCAAACCCTGTCTCAAAATAACAATAATAATTTGCACATCTAGTAAGTTACACATCTAATAAGTGGCCACGACAGAAATTTGGACCCAGGCAATCCCAGGCTTTGGCATTCTACATAAGTGCTCTTCAAAGCAAAGTGTGCAATCCAGTGCTGGTCTGAAAACAGTTGTCAGTTCACAATCAAGTACAGAAACTGAGAGTAAAGGTTTAGAAACTTTTGTTGTTGTTTTGAGATGGAGTCTCACTCTGTCACCCGGGCTGCAGTGCGGTGGCACGATCTCGGCTCACTGCAACCTCTTTCTCCTGGGTTCAAACGATTTTCAGCCTCCTGAGTAGCTGGGATTACAGGCCTGGGCCACATGCCCGGCTAATTTTTGTATTTTAGTAGAGACAAGGTTTTGCCATATTGGCCAGGCGAAACTTACATAGCAATCTGGCAGAATGATTTTACCTCTGCTAACCCAAATAAAATGAGATTGGTTTGTATTTTGGATGTTTTCAAAATTTTATTTTTCTGGTCATTATATTAATTTTGTGCAAATATTGATACACAATTGATTGGAAATTTAAAACCAGCACTTCCACAACAGATGGTTTGAAAGGCACTGCTCTAGGCTATACTGCCTGCCAGAAAGATCCTGTCATGTATAGCTGGGATTTTACTACAAAGATCTTTGTATGTTCATCCTGGGATTTGGGATGAGAGGCATACTCCGTGTAGAGAACGTAGAAGGTAGCCTTACTGGTGGGAACCAAAAGGCCCTGACGAGATCTCCAACAGGCTATACAATGGGCCTCTGTCACCCTCTAGCTTGCTAAGCTCCCAACAGCACTAGCACAGTGCCTTGGTACCTGCGATTTCCTCTACCCAGAAGGTTCCTTCTTTTTTGTTTTTGAGACACAGTTTCGCTCTTGTTGCCCAGGCTGGAGTGCAATGGCGCGATCTTGGCTCACCGCAATCTCCACCTCCTGCGTTCAAGCGATTCTCCTGCCTCAGCCTCCCAAGTAGCTGGGATTACAGGCATGCGCCACCATGCCCAGATAATTTTGTATTTTTAGTAGAGACAGGGCTTCACCATGTTGGTCAGACGGCTCTCAAGTGATCCACTTGACCTCAAGTGATGCACCCACCTCTGCCTCCCAAAGTGCTGGGATTACAAGCGTGAGCCACCGCGCCTGGCCTCCAGAAGGTTCCTTCTATAGGCTTCACATAGCGTGCTCCTTCTTGTCATTTGGATCTCAGCTCAAATGTTACCTGCTCAGTAAAGCCTTCTGGAGCGTCCTTCTTAATCCCCAGTCTCCTATCCTGTTTCACTTCCCGCATGGCACATGTGACTCTAAAATTACACTTATTTTTTATAAGTGTCTGCGGCAGCCACTAGAATGCAGACTTCCACAGAGCAAGGCCCCTACCTTTCTCAATGATCACTGTATCCCAGCGTCTACAACACCTGTTACACAGGTTGTCATCAATGCACATGTATGGAATGCATGAAAAAAAGATCGAAAGAGATGGGATGGCACAAAAAACACAAGAAACTCCTGGCAATTTGAATTATTTCCGCTCCTGCACCTCAGTTTCCGCCTCTGTAAAATGGGCTCGCGCTGCCTTAACCCTCCTCCGCCCGCCCACTCTGACACCACCGGAAAGGATTCATTCGGGAACATTCGTGGGGCGGAGACGGGACAGGGGGCCTCGGCCTGTAGCGTCACGTCCGCCAGGGTTACCTGTGGGGCTGGGAGCGAACCGCACTCGCACCGCAACCCCGGCATCAGTGCCCAGGTTGGCCTCGCGCCGTCCTACGGGGCGGCCAGAGGCCGCCGAAGGCCTCTCGCGCTGCAGCAGTCTCCTCAGGAGCGCCGCCATGTGGGATGGAATAGCACACGTGGGCTTCTCCCTGCGTCACTTCCGGGGACTGCTTCCAGCCAATCGGCCTCCGCCACAGCCAGCGCAGCCTTGCCCCTTAAAGTCACAGGCCCCCTAGCGCGAAATCCCACGCCCCCCTGGACGGCTGCGGCCGCACTCGCCACCAGGGGGCAGAGGCCAGAGAAAGGGCTATTTCCCGGACCCGCCCCCTTCAGCTTGGGAAAGCGAAAGCGTGGCAGGGGCCGGACCTGGGAGCGGAGGAGGCGGGTCTCCATAGAAACCTCCACCTGTTTCCGGCCGGGCTGTGAGAGATTAGGGGCTGCTGCGGGGGCCAATCTCAGCCAGCTCGCCTCTTCCCAGCGGCCTCTGCGGGAGCGGTGGGTGTTGTACACAATCATCATGGCGGCGGCCGGGGCCCCGGATGGTGAGTGCGGCGGGGGTGGCGGGCGCCGGGCCGGGGCTGAGGTTGCGGTCGCTCCTCTGGGGGATGCGGCCCGGCCCGGGAGGGAGAACCGCGGCTCGGGAACGGAGGTCCGGCGGCGCCCGGACAGCGTCCGTTCCCAAGCCCAGCCCGCGGCGAGCGCCCACCCCCTAACCCCCTTGCAGGCATGGAGGAACCTGGCATGGACACGGAGGCCGAGACTGTGGCTACTGAGGCTCCCGCGCGGCCCGTCAACTGCCTGGAGGCTGAAGCCGCGGCGGGGGCGGCGGCCGAGGACTCCGGCGCCGCACGAGGCAGCCTGCAGCCGGCCCCGGCCCAGCCCCCTGGGGACCCCGCAGCCCAGGCCTCGGTCAGCAACGGCGAAGACGCGGGCGGCGGCGCGGGCAGGGAGCTGGTGGACTTGAAGATCATCTGGAATAAGACCAAGCATGACGTGAAGTTCCCCCTGGACAGCACAGGCTCCGAGCTGAAACAGAAGATCCACTCGATTACAGGTAATTCCTGTGGCGCTGACAGCCAGTCTTCCCCACCCCGCCTCCTGATGGCCCTTGCACCCTACTAGGCACCTGGTGGCTTTCCTTGCATCAGGTCCCCCCATCCTTACAGCAGTCTTCTGAAGGATACTTGGATGCCCATTACTCAGCTGGGGAAAGAGACTCAAGTTTATAGAGCTAGTAAGTTGCAGAGCTGGGATTAAAGCCGAAGTCTGACGTTTAGGCCCCAGTTTCTCATTGATGTTGCTCTAACATCTCTAATTAAAAAATCACCTAAGGCGCTTGTTTTACAGCTTCTGGGCCCTTTCCCAGGAGATTCTGATTCAGTGGGTCTGGGATGTAGCCAGGAATTTATTTTTAGCAAATATCTTAGGTAATTCTTCTAAGTGAAGTTTAGGAAACGCTGCTATTGACTTTGATGCTGGTTCTTCACAGTCGATTCTGTTTCTTAATTTTACCTTGTTCATAGCTCTTTGCCATCTGAGATTTCTTTTCTTTTTCCTATTTTTTTTTTTTTTTGAGACGGAGTCTTGCTCTGTTGCCCAGGCTGGAGTGTACTGGCACCATCTTGGCTCACTGCAGCCTCCGCCTCCCAGGTTCAAGCGATTCTCCTGCCTCAGCCTCCCGAGTAGCTGGGATTACAGGTGCCCGCTACCCCGCCGGGCTAGTTTTTTTTATTTTATCCACCCACCTCGGCCTCCCGAAGTGCTGGGATTACAGGCATAAGCCATCACTCCTGGCCTTGAACTTTTTTTTTTTTTTAAAGCTTTCTACATGTAGCCTTGTAATCTCCATTAAGAACAGGAGTTTTGTCCCTATTGGCTTCTGTAGCTCTGATGCCTGTGGATTCTCACTTAATATGTGAATGATTTAGATGACTGAGGAACAACTTGGAAAGAATGAGAGCTAGTACTTACTGAACAATTATTCAATGCTAGCCACCGTACTAAATGCCCCGCATTGGTCTCTTAATCCTTGAAACAGGTCTGTACAGAAGGACTTACTCTAATAAATCTTCTACAGTTCTAGAAACTGAGGTTCAGAGGTTGTAAATCTCCCAAGTTCACAAAGCTAATAGGTGGTGGAGGCAGTATTCACTTTTTGGTCTGTTACCAAAGAGCTGTGTAGTATCCATACATTTTTCTGTCCTTCCTTCCTTTCACTGTCCACCTTCTACCTTTTCCCAAGGTCTCCCGCCTGCCATGCAGAAAGTCATGTATAAGGGACTCGTCCCCGAGGATAAAACATTGAGAGAAATAAAAGTGACCAGTGGGGCCAAGATCATGGTGGTTGGCTCCACCATCAATGATGTTTTAGCAGTAAACACACCCAAAGATGCTGCGCAGCAGGATGCAAAGGCCGAAGAGAACAAGAAGGAGCCTCTCTGCAGGCAGAAAGTGAGTCCATCTTGTGCTTCTTGGTCTTGAGAAATTTGAGGCTTTGTCCTCTTGAGCCGTGGCTGGTTATATTCTCCCTAGAATAAGCTCCTTTTTGGACAGGGCCCATGATGGAAATTTATGGCAGCAGTTGGGTGCCGCAGAGTGGAGGTGACAACTACCTGAGATTTGCAACTTTGTCTCATCTGGCGGGTCAGTGTGTCTCAAGTCTACCTACTTTAGGATAAGACCTTGGTAAAGGGAGGCTTCAGACCATGTGTTGAAAGGAATCAGACGTGGGTTTCTCTCTCTTATTTAGTGCCAGAGAAAACTACCAGTACTAGAAGTAAGCCCTCATTTTGTACAAGTGCTTACATTTGGCTTTTTGGTTTGTGGCTTTCCCCAAGTCAACAAGCCTGGCTAGGCATGGAAATCAACAACTCTCGGAGGTTCCCCTAAAGCTGACCGTTTCAGGAAGCTAAATGAAGCTGAGTAGGAAGACAACTACACTGATGGATTTGTTTATTTATTTTTTTGTCCTGATCTGTGAAATAGGAGCTTGGTTTTTTACGTTCTCTGTTCTTTTGGCTGCAAGAGATCCTGCCTTGTCTTGTGCTCATCATAGCCATTAACATTCTTTCACGTAACGAGGAAAAGTGAGATTATTTTACTATGGAAGGAACAGGTTGTAAGAATCATTACTTGTTATCTTTTTACCTGGCAAATTATACTGATTGCTGTGTAGCCTCCTGATCGTTCTTCCTAGTGTTCCAAGGAAGACAGGTATTCTCAACTGTGTCTGAAGTAGAGTAGATAAACTTCAATCAACATCATTTAGTGACCATAGACACTAAGATATATGACCAACAGTAAGAAAAGGACACAGTTTGTGTTACAGATCCATAATCCCCCATGTGTGCTTCCAAAACCCCAAAGGAGTATAAAAACGAGAAGTGTTTTTATAAATTTAACAGCAAAACCTGACCAGAATTAGTGTGAATTTTCCTCTTTGGTGACAAGGTACTGCCCCAGACCCCACAGAGAAGATTGTTATGTATTTGAAAGCAATATTATCTTTATAAAAATTCCAAAACCCTGAAAGTTCAAAACTCTAGGGTTTCAGATAAGGGGTTATAAACCTATATTAATTATCTAAAAGGTGTTGATTTGGAGACTTCACCCCCACATATGGGGTCTCAGTGTCTTGAAACCGATTGAGTTTCTTCTCATATTCCTGTTTTTCTTTGCCACATGTATGAAATAGTGAAATGTGAGCACGTCAGATAGGAGTGGTCGCAATGGTCACACCCTTGGAGCATAACATGCCTCCTAAATACAGGTTTTTAGTTACTAATGGTAGCTTAACAGGCTTAGAACTGTTCTCCACAGTACAGGAAATCTTGTTCAAAAGGTACTTGAAAGGTGTGACTCGAATTGTACTTCCAGCCCATGCTGCTGTGTTTCATTGAGGCCAATTATGATGCATCACATGACCTAATGAGAGGGATATAGTCCCTTGCCTTTTTACCAGCTTATTAAGGGGTCTGGGGGTGATGTCTGGAGTGACTTTTTGCTAGCAGTCTGGCAGTGCTGAGTTTATTCCTCCCAGAGGGATTCCACCATGCCAGTGAGGATTTGGGCTGGCTTGTGGCTGCCTAGTGCTTACATTTGATTAAATTGTTACCTTCTATCCATTCATTGTCCCCTAGTTCCAGCCTTCCAAGCAGTGGCTATGCCTATAAGGCCACAGATGGAGAAGAAAGAAGACTCAGGCATTTGGGCCAGGCAGGAGAACTGTTTAAGGGGCCCTGAACTTAGAATCCTTGAAGAGCTGCCTCAGAGTTCTTGGGGCAGGTGGTAGGGGTGGAGTTTAGAGGCTTCTTAATGTCAGGTTATAGAGTAATAAGCATTTCTTTCTGAAAGGTGGCTCTTCCAGGTTCCTGTTTAGCTGGAGTTAAGGGTAGGGCAGTGGGGAAAACTTCGGCGATGGGCTGGGTCTCCATTTGTTGAAGAACTGCTCCTCCTAGGCAGTTAGACGGATTACCAGCATCTTATAGTGTTCTCTGGAAGTTTAAGTTGAAAAAGGTGGGTGCCATTTTTTGTCTGCTAGGAGAGCAACACCCTTTGTCGCCCTCTTTAGTTTGATGGTTTAATCATTTCAGTGGTGATTTTTTTTTTTTTTTTTGAGGGGAGGAGGGCAATCTGGAAATCCCGTTTGCTGTAGAACTTTGATATCTAATATGGTAGCTATCCACATGTGGCTGGTTAAAATGAAATTAAGAATTCAGTTCCTCAGTCATAGTAGCTGCATTTCAAGTGTGTAATAGTCACAGCAGTAGGTAGTGGCTAGCACAGGTACGAACATATTCGCCCTCCCAGAAAGTTCTGCTGGACAGCACTGTGCTATAGTTTCAAAGGATCCATAGTCTGTCGTCATTAAAAGCTTTTGAGCCAAAACACTAAGGCTTTCTTCATCCTCTCTTTCAAGGGAATAGTAACACGACGAAATGTAGTCAGCTGTTTCATTTCATTCTCTCTTCTGACTTATAGCAACACAGGAAAGTGTTGGATAAAGGAAAACCTGAAGATGTGATGCCATCTGTTAAGGGGGCCCAGGTAAGGCGGATTTCTTTGTGAGCATTCTGAAAATGAGGCAGCCCCACCGTCTGACTTGAGGTTCCTCCAATCCTGTCCCTTCTCTTTTTTCCCTGTTTTTTTTTTTTTGAGACAGAGTCTTGCTCTGTCACCCAGGCTGGGGTGTGCCACCACACCTGGCTAATTTTTGTATTTTTAGTAGAGACGGGGTTTTACCATGTTGCCCAGGCTAGTCTCCAACTCCTGACCTCAGGTGATCTGACCGCTTTGGCCTCCCAGTGTGCTGGGATTACAGGCGTGAGCCACCGCGCTTGGCCCCCTTCTCTTTTTTTCTGACTGTCCCTCCATCTCTTACCATTCTCTCGTGCCTTCAGGAGCGCCTGCCAACGGTACCGCTGTCCGGCATGTACAATAAATCTGGAGGAAAAGTGAGACTCACCTTTAAACTAGAACAAGACCAGCTGTGGATTGGCACTAAAGGTATGTTCTTCCTCGCCTCCTTGCTGGCCCACTGCCTGCCTCTGGCACCCAGCAGCACTCACATTTTAGAGTGCGATTTCACCCCTCCTTCTGAAACCTCTCTCTCCACTGTGCTTTGCTTGCTTCTGGCTTTTAAATTTGCTTTTAGATGCTCGCCTTTTGTTTGGACCGTTTTCCCTCATTGTTTTCAGTCTGATCTTAGGGCTGATCCACCAAACAGTGGCTCTTCAGTTGCACACAGATTTGGGGGTCCCAAACACGTGGCCCAAGGGCCAAATCTGGTCCACAGAAAAATGTTTTGTGGGATGACACACAATCTGTAAAAATTGGGAGATTTCACTAATCTGATTTTTTTTTTTTTTTTGGCTTCTCTTGAAAACTCAAATGATCTGGCCCTTTGGGGCCTGCATTCTCACATGGCATCGATCCACTAGAGCCGAGTGGTGGTTTCCAGTGGGCCATACTACAGTCTTCATGGTCCCATTTATCTTAGAAGTAGCCAGCTTTGTTCATTTGTCACCTGCCTGGCCCCTGTAGGTCAGAGTTTGACCCTATAGTAGGTGAAGTTTTCCTAACCGCTGCCGAGGAATCTGCCTCTCCCTCCCCGCCTGGTTGCCCTCTGCCTGCCCCACCCCCGCCTGTGCACGGTGTCTGGATCAGCCTTGCTGTTTGCTGGGAAGTGTCTCTGACTGTCCTCCCTCTCCCTTCCCCCAGATGGTTACAAAGTCTTGTTAGTTACACTGCAGAACTGTCTGTCCCTTTCTTTGCCACACTGTTGTGCCAGTTAAAGTTCCCAAGCATCTTTAAACTTGGTCTGTTCAAAGCGAGTTACCCTGTTTCACTGCCCCATCTGTGTTTTCTTCTGTCCTGTCCATCTTACCTACTGCTTTTTATCCTGGGTACCCGTGCTCAAGGACCTTTGGCTGTTTAAGGACACATTCAAATGCCTAACCATAGCGTTCAGTGTTCTCAACACTGGGCCTTAGTTTAAATTTTGGTTCCAGCTTCTGGCCCGTTTGCCCTGTGGTCCCCTGTGTATTTTAGCCGCATCTCTCTGTGAAGCTCCCAGTGTGCTTTGCACAGCTCCTTGTCTTTGCTCATGCTGTGCCCTTACCTGGAATGCCTTTTTCCCATTCCTTGTTATTAATAAAATCTTCCAAGGCCCTACTTAAATGTCCTCTCTGAATGAAGCCTTCCTTGATTCTCCCCCCACCCTCCAAATGACTTGCTGCCGCTTCTGTTCATAGAGCGCTTCGTTTATATCCCCAGAGCACTCATTACTCTCTGACTTGTCTGTCCCCCTGTTAGATTCCTGGAGGGAACCGAACATGCCTAAATCACCTGTTTCTGACCAGCACTGTAGGTATTCAGTGTTCGAGGTAAATGCTAAAGAGAAGTATAGGGGGTCCCATCATCTGACGTTCACTGGTTTCAGGGACAGACCATTTAGTGAGACTCCACTTAAAATGGGACCAAGTTTTATGGAGAATAATTGGGGCAGGGGTGGTGGGAAGAGAGAGTTTTTAATCATCTAAAACACAAAAATCAGTGTTCAACCCTATACTGATTGTTAAAATGAACAAAAATTGAAATGCCAAAAATGCTTGAGTTTTCTATCAATTTTATGATAACTTGCTATTTTCTTCATTTCACATTCAACTCTAACTGCATGGTCAAAGCAAGTTTTGCAGAATATCTGAGGGTTCCCCCCAGTTTTTGCAAGGGCCTTTGAACCCTCTGCTAGATCATTCTCTTCTGTAGAGCCTGTCCATCTTCCCTTTATCAGTAGTAAGCTGCCCAGCCTCTGTCAACTTTGCAGGTGATTTTGCTTAGTTCTGTCTCATCACATTCACTTGCTGAAGTGCATAGACTTCCTGCCTCTTGCTGGACCTCTACTTTTGCTTGTGGGCAGCCTCATTGAAGGCAGTTGCTACGGCTGACCTGGAAAGACCCTGCCATGAAGATAGGTGCAGGCAGAGAAGTCTGGATGGGAACTAAGTCTGTAAGTGCTCATTGGTTCCTTGGGGAATATTTCTGTGTCAGGAAGTTGTATAGGGAACACATCATAACTGCAGGAACTGACAGAACAAGAACTTCCTGACCCTGTATTGGAAGTTTTCTTTTTGCTAGTAGGAGCAGCCGCCTTCCTGCTTTGGCCTAAAGGGAGAGCTGTAGAAGAAGCTCAATATGTTGGGGCTTCTGAGCCCTTGAAAGCCTCCTTACTCACCAGTCTTGTTGAGGAGCATGGCCATGGACTACTCATGTTTTCTAGGGTTGAACAAGGTTAAGATTTTCATTCCCACCCATAGCACTGTACCTCTGGAGCCCAAGGGGCAGGCAGTCTTGTCACTTGCCCAGTCCTGTTACCTAAGTGTCATAAGCACTCATAAGAGGACAGCTTGTTCTGGGAGTTGGCTGCTAGCCACTGGCTTCGTCTTTCTGCTGGCAAGAAGAAGCGGCTATGGAATGACCATCCCAGCAGCGAGTTGGCCTCTTCGTGGGGCGCTTTGCTGAGTAAGTGACCCTTAAGGGCTGCTACTCTTGACTAAACTCTGCTAGCTTGTGTAGGAGGAGGCAGTTCTAACAGCCTCAAAAGAATGAGAACAAGCTCCAGGCAGGAAACCGGAAGCCGCTGGAGGAGAGCATGTACCCTGCTCGTAGGAAAGTTGAATCTGGCTGAAGGTCTGATGTAGTGATCAGGAGTGTGGGTCCAGAATTGCCCAATTTTTGGAGTTTTCAAGAGAAGCCAGAAATCTGTTGTATATTTTTGTGAAATCTCCAGACATTTCAGGATGAAAGGTGTTTTAAAAGTTTCCATCTTAAAGACAGCTGCTGCCCAGGTCCTGCTTTAGGGCCGACTGTTGTAGAGCCACTAGAAGTCCAAACCTAAATAAACATCTTCAGGTCCCTTCTCCCCAGCCCCCATTTTTCAGATACTGAGGCCCACAGAACTGAAGTAAAATGTCTTAAGTCCCCAGCTAGACCAGAACGCTGGTCTCTAAATTCCTAGTCTGTTTGGCCAACTTATCTATTTTTAGACTCTATCTTTCCAGATTTTTCTTTCTGCAAAGGCTGCAAGTTTTTTTCCACTTGGTTTAGCTGTTTGCTGAGCCTCCCTGCCCCCCTCCCCCTGCGCCCCCGTCCCTGAGGTGTCTGCTGCTCCAGGATGGCCATGTCCCCTTGTGCAGGTGCACCTCGCCTCCCCTGACCTCACCCAGTCCCGCTTCACTTGGCTCACTCCCGGCAGTCTCATCTCACTCCAGGCATCCCTTGCTGCCCCCTTCTCTTACCTGCCATCCTCCTTAAACTCGCCTCAATGTCTTCTGACCCCATGTGATCAGTGGTATCTCAAGTGTTAATCACAAAAGGTTATAAATGTTTTAAGAGAACTTCATAAAAGTGTGTGAATATAGAGTGCGGAGGACTCGAGGAGGGAGGCCGGGGAAGGGAGCAGGGTCGTGGTATAGAATCTAGCCCTAAAATCCAGGCACTCCCCTTCCCTTGTGAGAGCCACAGGGGAACGTGTTGCCTCTTTGTTCGTAGGCCTCTTGACTCTCCCTACTGCCCAAGACCTTAGTCAATGCTGGGCTTGCATAAGGTTACAAAGGAATTTCTTGGGTATTTATTTATTTTATATTTTTTTTTGTTGAGATGGAGTTTCGCTCTTTGGCCCAGGCTGAAGTAAAGTGGCATGATCTCGGCTCACTGCAACTTCTGCCCCCCGGGTTCAAGCGATTCTCGTGCTTCAGCCTCCTGAGTAGCTGGGATTATAGGTGCCCACCACCACGCCTGGCTAATTTTTTGTATTTTTAGTAGAGACGGGGTTTCACCATGCTGGCCAGGCTGGTCTCGAACTCCTGATCTCAGGTGATCCACCCACCTTGGCCAAATCCTGACTCACAAGATGTTAGGATTACAGGCTTGAGCCACCGCGCCTGGCCTTTCTTGGATATTTATTAACCATCAGACTTTTAAAAAATAATCCCAGGGAAGATACAATTCTGCCCTCAGAGACCTTTACTATACCATTGCCAAACCCAGTTTCCCACTTGCTCCTACGGAGTTCCCAGCTCCCACACGAAGCCCTATGTGCACTGGTCAGAAGACCCTGTCGTGTTGTCCCCAGAGGGCATGGCGCCAGTCACTTGAGTTTACTGTAGATCCCGCAGCCACCAGCCCTGATGAGGGACTGCTGAGTCAGAGAAGTTAGAACAGGAGGGCCCTTTGAATAATCACTGTAATCCCTCTCAACTTAGAGCGGACTGAGAAATTGCCCATGGGCTCCATAAAAAATGTGGTCAGTGAACCTATCGAAGGACATGAAGACTACCACATGATGGTAAGTAGCGCTGGCTGAGTTCAGCCCCTCTCACTAGACTCCCACTTCACCTGGCAGGGAACAGTTTTAACTGAGCTTGTTTAACGGAAGAAAACTCAGTCTCCAGAAGATGCACTTTTTTAAGACCCTGATGTTTTCTTCATCTACTTAGAACTTAATCCATGGCCTCTATTCCTAGTTCTGTTTATTTTACACCCCCCCACACACACCTTCCATCAGTTTAAAGGGGATATGTTTTCTCTTACCTCTTTTAGAAAAGTCTCTCTTGCCTCCCTCTTGTCGTGTGTTGTTTCTAGACCAGGAAAATAAATATAAAGAGGAGGAATGGCTTGTGGATTTTCATTATAAGTTTTATCTTGCTTATAAAACAAAACTTGCCCTTAGCCTTGGTGTTGGTGAGGGCACCAGACAGCCTCTTTTCTGTAATAACGATGCCGCTCTTCCAGGCCCAGTGGCTGAGGGCCTCGTGGGGAAGACGGGCTCTGTGGAGCGTCTATTCTGCATAGAACCCACTCTGCAGAGAGCAGGCTACTCTTTCCCAAGACAGAATGTTTGGAGGTGTTGTGCAGGTCTGCAGAACAAAGCAAAAAATTCATTCATCTGGTAAAATGAGCAGCTTAGGCAGTTTCCAAAATTTTCCCAGTGCTCTTTGGAGGAGCCACATTGACCACGAAGTTGATTCTGCAGTTGCCCATCAGGGGCCTGGCCTGAGCAGCTGTAATGTGAGGGCGGGGCCTCCGGCCATTGTTCATCCAAGGAGGCAGGCCTTTCAGTGTCCATCCCACAGTGATGAAGCCACATCAGCCCATCCCAGGGAAAAGAAGGAACTAGTGGTTTGACCAGTAGATTGGGATAACAAGTCCCAGGCAGAGAGATGTGTTGGAAGATCCTCTTGCTATAGAAAAAAATCAAAGGGGCTTAAAATATGGTGGGCAAGGGAGGCAGCCCTGTTGGCATCCTGCCTAGTGTGGCTGTAGCAAGGCTGTAGCTGGGAGTGCAGTCCCTAGGCTGTGGGGCTCTTGGGGTTTTGTCTTCTGGAAGTGATGATGCCCCTTGGCAGCCCTTCCACCCCTACTCTCTCTGTAGTCTTTTTTTTTTTTTTTTTTTTTGAGACGGAATCTCGCTCTGTCACCAGGCTGAAGTGCAGTGGCGCTATCTCGGCTCACTGCAGCCTCTGCCTCCCAGGTTCAGGCGATTCTCCTGCCTCTGCCTCCTGAGTAGCAGGGATTACAGGCTCACGCCACCACACCCAGCTAATTTTTGTATTTTTAGTAGAGATGGGGTTTCACCATGTTGGCCAAGATGGTCTCAATCTCTTGACCTGGCGATCCGCCCACCTCAGCCTCCCAAAGTGCTGGGGTTACAGGCGTGAGCCTCCATGCCCAGCCCTCTCTCTGTAGTCTTTATTACAAGGATTGCAGACAAATTGGTTTGGCCTGGTCAGTTATTTTTTTCTGTTTTAACAGTTGGGCCAGGCGTGGTGGCTCATGCCTGTAATCCCAGCACTTTGGGAGGCTGAGGTGGGCGGATCATGAGGTCAGGAGTTTGAGACCAGCCTGACCAACATGGTGAAGCCCCGTCTCTACTAAAATTACAAAGATTAGCTGGGCGTGGTGGCGGGCACCTGTAATCCCAGCTACTCAGGAGGCTGAGGCAGGAGAACTGCTTGAATTGCTTGAACCTGGGAGGCGAAGGTTGTAGTGAGCAGAGATCGTGCCACTACACTCCAGCCTAGGTGACAGAGACTCTGTCTCAAAAAACAAACAAAAAAACAAAACAAAAAAAAACAGTTGGACTTGAATGTTTTTAACTGGGCCCCATCACTCCTTTTTGAATAGTTTGTGTTGCCAGTCACACCCTGTAGGGTTTGTAGCCTGACTTTTCAAGCAGTGTGGTGGTAGGGAGTCCAAGGAAGTTGAGTGGACTGTTTTGGACGTCTTTGGAGGAATTGGTGTGGATGGGTAATGACTTAGTATTTCATTGAAATGTTCATTTCTCTCGAGTTATTTCTGGCAGAGGATAGCTCTAGTAGTCCCCTTCTCTTTTCCAAACACCTTTACCTTTGTCCTAATGAAAGTACTTAGTTATCTCTTTGGGCAGATGCTATTTCTCTAGCTAAATTAACATGTCATCATTCACAGTTGGAAAACTGTGGCTGTGCTTTTTCATTTTTAGAGAAATGTTTTTAAAATACAGAAAAGAGGCTGGGCGCAGTGGCTCACACCTGTAATCCCAGCACTTTGGGAGGCCGAGGTGGGTGAGTCACTTGAGGTCAGGAGTTTAAGACCAGCCTGGCCAACATGGTGAAACCCTGTCTCTACTGAAAATACAAATATTTAGCTGGGCATGGTGGCGCGCACCTGTAATCCCAGCTACTTGGGAGGCTAAGGGAGGAGAATCGCTTGAAAGTGGGAGGCGGAGGTTGCAGTGAGCTGAGATTGCACCGCTGCACTCCAGCCTGGGCAACAGAGAGAGACTCCAGCTCAGAAAAAATAAAAATAAAATACAGAAAAGAAAGAGAATAACTGTCACAAACCCATATATCCATCACTGAGAAGTGGCAATTGTAAATATTTTGTAATTTGCTTTAATTTTTTTAAATAAAAGAAATAAAGTTTATTCACAGCAATGATGGCCCCACTGTCTTCCCCTCCCCCATTACCATCGTCATGTGTCACGTGCGTCCTTCCCATCTATCCATTCTTTGATTTACACGTGTATCCACGAACAAGATGGAGTGTTGTTTTGTGCTTCCAGTTTTCGTAAATGGTATTATGTATTGTTCTACAACTTGCTTTTCTTTGGTTCAACATAAGAATCTGTCAGTATTAACTGTAGATCCATATGGACCCAGTTGATACCTCTTTAAAAAGAGCTCCAGTATTGGTGTGACTAAGCCTTGTCACTTTGAATTCTGCATTCCCTTACTGATGGATATGTAGGTTGCCCCAGGTTTTTGTGGTTTCAGACAGTGCTGCAATGAACATTCATACCTGTTTTCTTGAGCATGTGTGACAGGTTTTCTAGGGCAGCGTTTCTCCAACTGTGGTCCCTGGATCAGTAGTGTTGCATCACCTGGGAGCTTGCTAGTTTCTCAGGCCCCACCCCAGACCTCCCCAAATTAGAAACTTCACAGGGTTGGAGCCTGCTGATCCATGTTCCAGCAAGCCCCCCGGATGGCTCTGATGACCACTCAGGTTTGAGAACTGCTGCTTTAGGGTTGGCTCAGCTTAACCCTCAGCCTGCCTGTTTTTGTTTTTGGTTGGGAGAATGCTCCCCACGTGCAAAGTTTTGTTTGGTTTTTCTTCCCTTTTTAATTAACTCACATCCCAACCCTCACCCATGTTTGTCCTGCCTGCTTGGTCTCCCGACCTCTGAAGTACCGCTTGGTTTTCCTTTTTCCCTTCCAGGCGTTTCAGTTGGGCCCCACGGAAGCCTCTTACTACTGGGTGTACTGGGTTCCAACTCAATATGTGGATGCAATCAAAGACACTGTGCTGGGGAAATGGCAGTATTTTTGAAAGCACTTTCACCTCTGGCCCAGGAGACTGACCCAAAGTGAAGGACATTGCCGGGAGAGGCCTGCAGCATCCCTGGATTTCAGAGTTCTGGAACTTTGTTCATAAAAAATCTATATTCAATCTGAGGTGATGTGGTGACTGAAGCCAGAGGTGATGTACTTTCACCATTAGCTTAATTTTAACTTAAAATTACCAGTTCCCTTTCTTGCAGTCAGCTTCATACCATTTTTAAAGTCAATACGATGGAAATCAATAAATCTGAATTCCGAACATGTTGTGTGGAATACTCTTAAGTGTGTTTGAGAGTAGATCTGCCAATTATGTTGACAAGGGAATGATCAAAAGCTTTGTTTTTTTTAAAAAAAAAAAAAGCAGTTTCAATTGAAATATTTTCATACATCTTTGGTTGCAAACATTTGGACTGCATTGCAATGAGTTGGGGTGTTTTTTTTTTCCTTTTTTGTATAAAATTGTATGCAAAATGGGGGTGGGTTAGTAAGCCACATATTTCTGTCCATTGATTCAGATTTAATTCTTTCCCTTTTTCATTCTCTCGCTTCCTCAATTTGAGTTTTTGTTTTAAGAACCCAAAGATGTCAGTTCTTCTTTTGGTACCTCATCAACGCTTCCTTTCCTGGGCTCCCTCCCGCCGTGCTGCTGCTGCCTGTGAACGCACGGTGGGAGAGGAAGAGCTGCTCAGTCTTGGGCAAGGAGCTCTCACACTTGCTGTGGTGTTCGTTGAGCAGCAGAGTATCTCCCAGTGACTCCTGTTTAAATGTCTTGCCCTTTGGGCCCCCATCTCCAAGGAGTTCCATTGCTGGTTGGATGATTGTCTGCACCCCTCACTGAGCTTGGCCTAGAGGCCCAGCCTGGCATGGTTGTGCCTGGGCTGTGCCGCTCAACAGCCCCAGCTCCCAAGCAGACAAAGACCTCTTCCAGGAGGAGCCAGGTAGAAGATAGTTATACAGCCATATAGCTGCAGATCCAGATAACCTTCTTTCTTTGGAAGTTTTCAAGAAATTCTTAAGCAGTCCAAGGATGATTTCAATTATGCTTCTCCATTGGGTCCTTCTGCTCATGCATTCAGTTCAAGTGTCCTTTATCCCAGGTTCAGAGATGCTGCCTTTCTGAAGAAGACATCTGACCCTAGCAGGTTGGCCAGTGTTATTGAACAACAAAAATGGGATAAATTGCTTTCATGATTAGCTCACCTTCTTCTGGTTTTAGCCCTTCTGTTCTCTGTACACGTGAACTTCTGTCATCTCCTTCTGGCTTGGTTGCCTCTGAAAGGAGGGAAAGTCTCTTGGTAAATTATCTCTTTTGTGCTGTTTGCTGTTTCTCTGCTGCCGTCTTTGCAGTTCTCCTCTCACTGGTTGCAGGCTTTCATAGTAAGGTTTGGCGAGAAATGTTCCAAACATCACATTTTGGATTCTAGGCTGTCACCCCTCATTCTGTGAAACGTATTAGCATGTGTTCGCCCAAGATGACTATTCCTTGTGAGCCAGTTAATGATGATATTCTACGCCCTTCCCTTCTAAGCTGTAGTTCAGGAATCCAGCCCACATAGACAGACTCTTGCTTTCCATGGTGTAGTCAATGCCAAGTGATGCATCTAGGCAGGAAAATCTACTCTTTGCTTTTTTGGGGGCAATTAGTACATTTGTGAAGTGCAGCATCCAAGAAACAGCCTGTTTTTTCATCCCTTGAGAAAGGAGCAGTCATTGCAGCTTTTCTGTCCTTGTCGGCCTGCAGTTCCTGGGGAAAAGAGTACATCTGAGCTACTTGTCCAAGCCTCTGTCTGCAGGTGACAGGTTTTGGGGGAAATGAGATGCATTAAGTAGAACATCATCTCGGGTCAGACATTGCCCCTTTTGTTTGCCAATGCCCCAGTCCTAGAGACTTGTCCTGACAGTGCCGCACACCTACTTTTGATCTCTCAGAGCAGGTGGCTCCATCCCCAGACTAGCCTGGCTGCTCTCCGAGGCCCCTCCACCTGCTCCCCTTATTGCCCCATTCTTGTGGCTTGCCGGGCCACTTGGCCTCCCTTCTTGCCGGTGACAGCGTTCCATCATCTCCCCGCTCCCCAAGGGCCAACTGCTTCTCACTCAGGCTGGTGTCATTTCAGGAGGACCAAAGCCTGCGTGAGCCTTTTTATTTTCAGTAAAATGGTGCTTTTTTCCTTACTTCGAGATACTATATATAAATAATAATGTAAATGACACCTTTTCGTACGGAGCTGTTTGAGTATTGCTTTACAGAGCTCACTAAATCAGCTTCAACAATCTTGAGCTCTGTGGCTCCTCACCCTGTCTGCATGGAAGACCTTGCTGGACGCTCTCGGGAGAGCAGACATAGCACCAGAAGCCACTGGGAGAAGTGTTTTCGATCCGTGTCTGGGCCACAGTAGTATTCACTGTTTAGTCTTTGAGTTCCGTAAGCAGTCTCTTCATACATTTCTTACAGTCTGGAGTGTACTGACTAAATCTGTGTAAGCAAATTGAAATACTCTTTCTTTTAGGTAGCGTCACAGTGGTTTTTTTTTTCCTCAGGATAATTTCTATACAATTTCCTTACTGTCAGAGGGACCAGATCTTTCCCTCACTGTGGCAGGGGCCGTGCAGGTGGATAAAGGAAGAGCTGGTTTCCGGAGAGTGACTGTAACAGCGTTGACTCGAAGCTAGAGATGGAGGGGGTGGCCGTCTCTTAGACATTGGACACCTCTCAGAGCCTCCTGAGGGCTTCTTTGTCTTCTAGAATCTCTACCGGTGGTCCTCCTGCAGGTTCTGGCTCACAGACATCATCATGCCTTTTTTTCCCTCCCTGAGGCGCCTTGGCAGAAGAGCGTGACCCTGTGAGCCAGGCCCCCCTTAGCTCTGCTTCAGATCACAGAACACAGACAGACTCGCGAGTTGCTGGACCTCTTTGGTATTAAGTGTTTGAATCCATGGTGGGCCTTTTGCAAGTAGCGTTAGCTCTTTTTAAATGTTGAACTGAGCTAAGGATGCACTTTCTTGTGGACATAGAAGGGGCCCACGTAAGGCCCTGAGTAGGCTCCTTAGTTGCTGCTTTACCTGATGAGGGCCAAAGAGATTAACTCTGCCTCGTTGCCATGTCTCAGAAAAGTTGCCATATTTCACCCAGAAGGGGCTTGTTTTCCTCTTACTCTTACTTTAACCATGTGCCTGGAGGAGCCATTCTGGGCTCTTGCACTTGCCCAGCCTTTCTTTGCCAGGGGCAGAGAAGGGAAAGGGGGTAGATTGAGTGTGCCAAGGGCCGTGCAAGGGCAGGCTTGCTTTCCACCCATCTGCTGAGGGAGCCCTCTCCTCTCGCTCCTTGCCTCTGTTCACACCTGTTGTCTTGGAAGAGGATGGTCCCTTTGTCTTAAGGCTTTGTGATAAAGTCATCTCCAGTTAGGATCTGCACCTGTTTCCTTCGTAATAGTGCCTGGCGGCCTTTCTGAAGTTACAGGTGGTTGGGAGCCCTCTCGCATGCAGAACATCTGGTAGATTGATCTGCCAGGCTGGGTGGTTCTACTGCTTTCTCAATTTCTAAGAACCTTTTTTTTTTCTTAAAGAGTTCTGCTGAATTATTTGACAATATTTGTAAGTACCATGTTTCCTTGTGGTGTATGCTCTGTTCTGGTTTCTGTTTTCAAATCAAATGCCTGTTTGGGAGGAGATGAACGTATTTAGTCTATTAGATTTGCACTGCTGGATTTTTTTTTTAAAGTGTAACCTTGAATAGCTGTCTTATTGTTTATCCTGTAAGATTAGTCAATCGATTAAAGTTTGATAATTAATTGCGTCTCTTTTTCCTTCCAATTCTTCATGCGCCTAATCCATACTGGGGATTAACCAACATTTGGAATTGGACCTGGAGCCATTTCTTTGCCAGTTGTGGTCTTATTTGGCTTTAAGTATATTCAAATGTATTCTCTGCTGAAACAGTTGACATTTACTCTGCAAAATGGTGAAAGTGACCGGTGTGACAGTGAGCCACACTCCTGTTGGAGCAGCATGGTCTGCTCCTTGGTGGGCCCTGGCTTCCACATGTTGGAAGAGAAGCTGCCTCCCTGTACTCACACCTCCTGACTAGTGCCTTGGGCAACCCCACCTAGCCATTTAGCCTTTGAGGACATGTTTTAGAAAACACTGAGATTGGAGCTACAGATTTAGCCACAAGCTATAAAGACCCAGGAGTCGGGAGGAAGAAAATCTGTTACCAAAAAATGGGCCAGGCTCACTGGCTCACACCGGTAATCCCAGCACTTTGGAAACCAAGGTGGGAGGATCACTTGAGCCCAGGAGTTTGAGACCAGCCTGGGCAACATAGCAAGAGCCCCATCTCTACAAAAAATACAGATATCGGCCAGGCACGGTGGCTCACGCCTGTAATCCTAGCACTTTGGGAGGCTGAGGTGGATGGATCACCTGAGGTCAGGAGTTCGAGACCAGACTGGCCAACATGGTGAAACCCTGCCTCTACTAGAAAATATAAAAATTAGCCAGATGTGGTGTCAGGTGCCTGTAGTCCCAGCTGCTTGGGAGGCTGAGGCACAAGAATCGCCTGAACCCCAGAGGCAGAAGCTGCAGTGAGCTGAGGTTGTGCCACTGCACTCCAGCCTGGGTGGCAGAGTGAGATCCTGTCCCCCCCGCCAAAAAAAAAGGCAGGGGACTAAAACAGAATCCTTGGTATATGAAGAGTGATGGAGTTTGTCCCTGCTGGTCTCACTTCTTCCTAGCAGGCGGAGGGGGTCAGCTCTTCACTTTTTCACAGTACCTCATAATCCTGAAACAATACGGCTGGATGCTTAGGGATCTGACTCCTACATGGGAGAGGGGGATCATTGGGATTGTATCCCATGCTATACGTTGGCTGATGCCCATCTGGAGAATCTGCTATCTGGTACTTCTAGGCTGAGTGTGATGGCTCATGCCTGTAATGCCAACACTTGGGAGGCTGAGGCGGGCAGATACCTAAGGTCGGGAGTTCGAGACCAGCTTGACCAACATGGAGAAACCCCATGTCTACTAAAAATACAAAATTAGGCGTGGTGGCGCATGCCTGTAATTCCAGCTACTAGGGAGGCTGACGCAGGAGGATCACTAGAACCTGGGAGGTGGAGGTTGCAGTGAGCTAAGATCGTGCCATTGCACTCCAGCCTGGGCAACAAGAGTGAAACTCCATCTCAAAAAAAAAAAGAGACCACCTAGCAGGGTGTTTTGACCTCTTGCTGTGTGCCAGGCAAATGCTGTTTCTCTAGGCCTCCAGCCCTGGAGGGAAGAATGGACATCACCTTTGGGCGCTCTTCCACTACGTACTTGCTCTAAACACTCTGCATTCAGGTCCTGTGACATCAGCTTCTTCCTTATGTCTTAACAGTGTGAAGGATGTTACTTGCATTATACAGTCAACACTGCACCACATCCCTCCTGTGACCCTCACTTCAGCCACTAGAGGAAATCTTAGGTTCAGAGAAGTTAGATGGCTTAGCCAACATCACATGCCTGTTACCGAGTGAAGCTACAATTCAGAGCCCAGCTTTGCCTGATGCTAAAGTCTGTGCTCTTAGATACTGGCCTGGTACTTGAGAAGTTAGGAAAGAACCCAGCTGCTTTATTTTGCTTTCAAATTTTTTTCTTTCCTTGGTTTTGCTGTGTGTCTTCAGGGCACTAAGTTGGGTGTGTGAGTTGCTTTTTTAAACTTTGAACCTTGGCATTTGTTTGTTGGCTTTATTAATTAGCTTTGCATATTAATAAAGTTAATTTGTCAGTTACATTTGTTTAATTGGCTTTATTTATTAGTTGGCTACCACTTTAAAAATTAAAACAGTAACACATGCACTTGATAAAGAATTTCAGGTGATAGGTAAGTCTTTCACTCAGTTCTCCTAGCTTCTCAACCCCAGCACCAAATCATCCCTGAAGAAGAATTCACATTACGCTCAAGTACTTAAGTGCGCATCCCAGGGGCAGAGGGCCAATCATTCCCACTTAAGCCACTTCCTAGAGTGGGGTGAGGGGACTCCTCAATGGGAACTTAGCAGGAGGGAGCCGGCACTGGGGAAGCACCTCACCAGCGCTCAGACTCCAAGCCTGACATTTTTCTTGAACTGTTGCTCATTATCTGTTGCCTGCTCAGGTATCCTACAAACACCTCAAATTCAATGCATCAAATCCAATCCTCTGGTACCTGCTTTAGACCGCAACTCACCCAGTACTGGTATGTTGGGAGATAGCTTAGACACAACTGATCAGATTCTGCCATTTATTTGTTTTATTTTATTTATTTTGAGATGGAGTTTCTGTTGCCCGGGCTGGAATGCAGTGGCATGATCTCGGCTCACTGCAACCTCTGCCTCCCGGGTTCAGGCGATTCTCCTGCCTCAGCCTCCCAAGTAGTTGGGATTACGTGCACCTGCCACCATGCCTGGCTAATGTTTGTATTTTTAGTAGAGACGAGGTTTCGCCATGTTGGCCAGGCTGGTCTCGGACTCCTGACTTCAGGTGATCCACCCACCTCAGCCTCCCAAAGTGCTGGGATTTCAGGTGTGAGCCACTGCACCCCGCCTATTTATTTTTCAATTCTTTTTTAGAGACAGAGTCTCCCTCTGTTGCCCAGGCTGGAGTGCCATGGTGCAGTCATAGCTCACCGTAGCCTCTAATTCCCTGGCTCAAGTGATCCTCCCAGGTTCTGCCATTTTATTCCCAGAATCTCTTGCCCATCCATCTCTCTTTATCCCAATCTCCACATCTGGGACTAACTGCTACTACAGGCAGGTGACACCACACTCAGCTAATTTTTAATATTTTTGAAGAGACAGGGTCTCACGATATTGCCCAGGCTGGTCTCAAACTCCTGGCCTCAAATCAAAGTGCTAGGATTAACAGAACAGGCATGAGCCACCATGCCGGGCCTCTCATGACACTTTTTAAAGTCCAGGCCTTATAAACTCCCACCTTCTGGATTTGTTTCCTCATAATCAGATTCAGGTTAGATGATTTTAGCAAGAGTGCCTCAGAGGTGACATGACCTCAGTGCCTCACATCAGGAGCAGCATAGGAGGTTGACTTGTTGTATCATTGGTGATGCTGAGTATGATACCTCCACCTAGGTTGTACCTACCTCCCTTACAAGGTGGTGAGCTCCTGGAGATGGGAGACAAACTATATGGTGTGAAACTGTGTACTCAGGCTCCAGGAGTGCTTAACACACAGTGGGTACTTCCTTGTGTGTGGAGCGAGTGAGTGAACTTGCTGTATGGAGAACACAGTGAGAAGACTGAAGCAGCTCCACTGGAGATATGGTGGGGATGGCTGGAGACAGGACTGGGACTGGGTCATGACAGGCTTCACAAACCGCCCTTTCCCAGTGGGAACGGTGTACAACAGAGGCACAGATCCTCTGAGGTGTTTTCAGCAGCTATTAAATACCATATGCATACAATTCCATTTATCCTGTTCTTGAATTCACACACACTTTGGAATGCTACATTTGGCCAGTTTGCTGCCTACCTATAGTGGCACAGAAGTCTCTCAAAAGAACATTCTGATAAGCTCTTAGAGCAGAAAGAACAGAAAGGCCTTTGCTATTGCTTGAACAACCAGACCCTAAATGGCCTTGGGGATGAATGATGTGTGTGTGTGAGATCCAGTAAATGTCTTCCCTCATTCTGGCTTCTTTGGGGCTTACACCAGCTACTGGATGATGTGAATGGGCTGTTTCACTGCAGGCGTCTGGTGAAGATAGTAGCAAAGCAGGCACTCAAGTGGCAGTACAGTCAGACTTTGTGATCTTAGGCAGACACAATCACAGACGCTTTTTTTTGGTAAAATGTACAGCTGCCATGGGATTTAAAATAGCCAGAACAACTTGGGGACTACCACCAAAATACCCCCAGTGTTAAACTACTAGACGTTCCAATCAAAGGAATAACACACAGCCTGTTTACTCCCTATTTGATCACCAGTGCTTAGTAAGTGCTCAAGCTATTGTTAAATAAATGCAGTTGTAAAAAAACAATGAGGAAGAGCCTTATCCTCCAATTTGGCAGTTTTCCAAGATATGTTGCTAAATATTGCAAAAAAATAAAAAAGGTCTAGTGTAACAATGTATGATTTTCATAACTGAGGATATGCTTTCTATTGCTAAAAAGGGGCCAGGTGCAGTGCCTCATGCCTGTAATTCCAGCACTTTGGGAAGTGGAGGCGGGAGCATCTTTTGAGCCCAGGAGTTCGAGACCAGCCGGGGTAACACAGTGAGACCCCATCTCTATAAATAACTTAAAAAATTAGCAGTGGTGTGCCTACTTGGGAGGCTGAGGCAGGAGGATGGCCTGAGCCTGGGAGGTTGAGGCTGCGGTGAGCCACAGTCGTGTCACTGCACTCAGACTGGGTGACAGTGAATGTCTCAAAGAACTCAAAGAAAACGAGGTTTGCATTCGACCCAGCAATCCCATTACTGGATATACATAAAGGAATATAAATCATTCTACCATAAAGACACACACATGCCTGTGTTCACTGCAACACTATTCACAATAACAAAGACATGGAATCAACCTAAATGCCCATCAACTGCAGACTGGGTAAAGAAAATGTGTAGGCTGGGTGCAGTGGCTCTCGCCTGTAGTCCTAGCACTCTGGGAGGCCAAGGCGGGCGGATCATTTGAGGTCAGGAGTTCGAAACCAATCTGGCCAACATGGTGAAACCCCATCTCTAATAAAAATACAAAGTATCCGGGCATGGTGGCGGATGCCTGTAATCCCAGCTATTCAGGAGGCCGAGGCAGGAGAATCACGTGAACTGGGGAAGCAGAGGTTGTAGTTAGCCAAGATAGCACCATACCACTCCAGCCTGGGCGACAGAGTGAGACTGTCTGAAAAAAAAAAAAAAAGAAAGTGTGTATACACACACACACACACACACACACCACACACACTCTCCATGGAATACTATGCAGCCATAAAAAATGAGATCATGTCCTTTATGGTAACATGGATGCAGCTGGAACCAGTATCCTAAGTGAACTATCACAGGATCAGAAAACCAAATACCACGTTCTCACTTTAAGTGGGAGCTAAACATTGAGTAAACATGGACAGAAGGGAACAACAGGCACTGGGGCCTACTGGAGGGTGGAGGGTGAGGCTCCAAAAAACACCCATCAGGGACTGGGCACAGTGGCTCACATCTGTAATCCCAGCACTTTGGGAGGCGGAGGTGGGCGGATCACCTAAGGTCAGGAGTTCAATACCAGGCTGGCCAACATGGTGAAACCCCGTCTCAACTAAAAATACAAAACATTAGCCAGGTGGTGGCGGGTGCATGGTGGCGGGTATAACGTCAGCTACTTGGGAGGCTGAGGCAGGAGAATCGCTTGAACCTGGGAGACGGAGGTTGCAGTGAGCCAAGATTGTGCCACTGCACTCCAGTCTGGGCGACAAGAGCGAAACTCCTTCTCAAATAAAAAAACCCATGGGGTATTATGCTTATTACCTGGGTGATGAAATAATCTGCACACCAAACCCCATGACACATAATTTACCTATATAACAAACATGTACATGTACCCCTGAACCTAAATAAAAGTTAAAAAAAAAAAAAAAAAAAAAAGGACTATGTCTGCCTAACATGCCTGGAATAACTCTAGAGCAACCCAGAAGGAACCAGCGTATTGGTACCTGCAGGAAGGGAAGCAGATGTGAGTGTGGACCCAATCCCAGAGCTGACTCCCATCCTTCGACCACCTCATCTCTCAGCCATGAGATTCTCTGCTGGCTGAGGGCCCCTCACCTTAGTCCCTCTGCCTCAAAGACACTACTTACTGTAGGCCTTTGGTTCCTCTTCCTTCCCCATACTAGAAAGTCAGTAAAAGGAGAGGAATTATTTTGATGTAACTCTCAAACTAAACTCTTCAAGAGCTAAGCAATGCATACATGTTATTTACATCAACCCCAAGGAACCAACACAGTGCTAAGAGTAAAAGGGGCAGAACCAATAATGATGTGTGACAAATCAAACTGTGGTTTGATGTGTGGCAATGTCAAACTGACCTTCCAGGAGGAAAGAGAGCCTCCCATTCTCCAAAACTGTTAAACTGTATTAAAAGGGATCTTTAGGACAGTGATGAAAAACTAGTCCCACCTGCTGATATCAGCTGACACATCTGATAATAAGCTAATGGAAACCAAAACAAAGTTTTTTTTGAAGCAAAAAGTCCATTTCCATGAATATATTCACTCCTGATACGAAGGTGGGGAGACAGCCTTACTTCAAGTACATGGCTGGGGAAGCCATTGTTTTTGACATGCATGAATACAAATGACAAATCAGACCTTTAAAAATATTAAGCAATGTCAGTATACAAACATAAAAAAGCACTTTATAGACATCATTGAAAAACTGAAGATGGGGGAAAATGTTGGTTTTATAGATTTATTTTCAAAGAGTAAAACACATACAATTTAAATACAAGTCCATCAGAATCACTCTGTCAGAGTCAGCAAGAATGCCAAAATGTGTCCTCACTGCCAGACATTCGTCACTATCATCTGAGTCCTCTCTCAGCAAAGCCAAAGGGTCTGGAAAAGACAAAATAAGTTCAATGTTATTTTTGATGTATTCTTACTAATGATAAGTGACATCTTTCAGGTGCTAAAAATGCAGCCTCTGGCTGAGTGCAGTGGCTCATGCCCGTAATCTCAGCACTTTGGGAGGCCAAGCTGGGCGGATCACCTGAGGTCAGGAGTTCGAGACCAGCCTGGCCAACATGGTGAAACCCCATCTCTACTAAAAATATAAAAATTAGCTGGGCGTGGAGGTGCACGCCTGTAATCCCAGTTACTCAGGAGGCTGAGGCCGGAGAATTGCTTGAACCCAGGAGGCGGAGGTTGCAGTGAGCCGAGATTGTGCCACTACACTCCAGCCTGGGCAACAGAGCAAGGTTCCATCTTTAAAAAAAAAAAAAAAAAAATGCAGGGTCACTAAAAGCTAAAGACTAAAAACACTAATACAATGTTTTAATTCAAAAAGTCTTATTTGATTATTCTAGGTCCCAAGTAACAAAAGCTACTATTTACTGAGAGGCTTCTTTACATCATTATATCAAGTGATATATATACTCTCTTCAATTTTGCTTTCACAAAAGCCCCAGGTAGGTCCTATCATTACCACCATATTACATATGAGGAAACTGAGGCTTACAGAGCTAAGCAGCCTGCCTGAGACCACCAGGCTTATAGTGTGTGGCAAAGCTGAGAATAAACTTGGGTGTCTCTGACTCCAAAGTCCATCCTCTTATACATGAGGCCTCTCTTGCCTACTTAAGAGCCAGGTCACTTCAGTGTCTTACCCAGCAGGCTGGGCTTACCTTGGCTGAGTAATTGAGGGAGACAGAGGTCTGTTTCCAGGTTACCCTGTTCAGTACTTTGTACAATGTTCTGCTTTTGTGAGGACAGCTGACAATCAAGGGAGTTCTATCCAGGAATGACAGTTCTCAACCTCTCAAAGATCACCACCAGGGCTGGGCCCCTTTGAGTGGCAGACAACAGGAAAGGGCTTGCATTTTATAAGTAGTGAAAAATCTTGGTCAAGCATTTCCATTTTCTGTTTCTTCTTAAGTTTCCTTTATTGAAGAACCACAGACAAATCTATGGGTGAACATCATTTTTTAAGTCTATTTACCTGATACTTTATTCATATACATCCTTCTTATCTGCAATGTAATCTACAATTTCTTGTGGACACATTAACTTTTCAGCATCTATATCAGGAATTTCAAACCCTAAAAGAAAAATATACAACAATGTGAGAGAGTTAAAAAAAAAAAATCCTTTAGAACTGAACACACCTGACCCTTCTACAACAGCTACAAGTATATCAAAACTTTCAGCAACCTTGAATCCCATATAGGTTGTGGGCCAGTTAGCTTCTAGACAGTATGCATACAGGTTGGGTACGATGCTTTGGAGGTATGTTTGTTTGTTTGTTTGTTTGTTTGTTGAGATAGAATTCACATAATAGAAAATTCCTCCTTGTATATACCATATAATTTGGTAGTTTTTAGTATATTCACATTGTGCAACCATCACCATTGTGTAAAAGAAACCCAGCTCCCTCTCCCTCTCCCCACGGTCTCCCTCTCCCTCTCCCTCTTCCCACGGTCTCCCTCTCCCTCTCCCTCTCCCCAAGGTCTCCCTCTCCCTCTCCCTCTTCCCACGGTCTCCCTCTCCCTCTCCCTCTCCCTCTCTTTCCATGGTCTCCCTCTGATGCCGAGCCGAAGCTGGACTGTACTGCCGCCATCTCTGCTCACTGCAACCTCCCTGCCTGATTCTCCTGCCTCGGCCTGCCCAGTGCCTGCGATTGCAGGCACGCGCCGCCACGCCTGACTGGTTTTCGTATTTTTTTGGTGGAGACAGGGTTTCGCTGTGTTGGCTGGGCTGGTCTCCAGCTCCTAACCGCGAGTGATCTGCCAGCCTCGGCCTCCCGAGGTGCCGGGATTGCAGATGGAGTCTCGTTCACTCAGTGCACAATGTTGCCCAGGCTGGAGTGCAGTGGCGTGATCTCGGCTAGCTACAACCTCCACCTCCCAGCTGCCTGCCTTGGCCTCCCAAAGTGCCGAGATTGCAGCCTCTGCCTGGCCGCCCATCGTCTGGGATGTGAGGAGCCCCTCTGCCCGGCTGCCCAGTCTGGGAAGTGAGGAGCGCCCCTTCCCGGCCGCCATCCTGTCTAGGAAGTGAGGAGCGTCTCTGCCCGGCCACCCATCGTCTGAGATGTGGGGAGCGCCTCTGCCCGGCTGCCCAGTCTGGGAAGTGAGGAGCGCCTCTTCCCGGCCACCATCCCGTCTAGGAAGTGAGGAGCGTCTCTGCCCGGCCACCCATCGTCTGAGATGTGGGGAGCGCCTCTGCCCCACTGCCCCGTCTGGGATGTGAGGAGCGCCTCTGCCCGGCCGCGACCCCATCTGGGAGGTGAGGAGCGTCTCTGCCCGGCTGCCCCCTCTGAGAAGTGAGGAGCCCCTCCGCCCGGCAGCCGCCCCGTCTGAGAAGTGAGGAGCCCCTCCGCCCGGCAGCCGCCCCGTCTGAGAAGTGAGGAGCCCCTCTGCCCGGCAGCCGCCCCGTCTGGGAAGTGAGGAGCGTCTCCGCCCGGCAGCCGCCCCGTCAGGGAGGTGTACCCAACAGCTCATTGAGAACGGGCCATGATGACGATGGCGGTTGTTTCGAATAGAAAAGGGGGAAATGTGGGGAAAAGATAGAGAAATCAGATTGTTGCTGTGTCTGTGTAGAAAGAAGTAGACATAGGAGACTCCATTTTGTTCTGTACTAAGAAAAATTCTTCTGCCTTGGGATGCTGTTGATCTATGACCTTACCCCCAACCCGGTGCTCTCTGAAACATGTGCTGTGTCCACTCAGGGTTAAATGGATTAAGGGTGGTGCAAGATGTGCTTTGTTAAACAGATACTTGAAGGCAGCATGCTTGTTAAGAGTCATCACCACTCCCTAATCTCAAGTACCCAGGGACACAAACACTGCGGAAGGCCCCAGGGTCCTCTGCCTAGGAAAACCAGAGACCTTTGTTCACTTGTTTACCTGCTGACCTTCCCTCCACTATTGTCCTATGACCCTGCCAAATCCCCCTCTGCGAGAAACACCCAAGAATGATCAATTAAAAAAAAAAAAAAAAAAAGAAACCCAGTGCCCGTCAGCAGTCACTCCCCATCCTCCCTAGCTCTGGCAACCACCCGTGTACTTTCTATCTCTGGATTTGCCTCTTCTTGACATTTCATGTAAATGGTATATAACGTGTCATCTTCTGTGTCTGGCTTCTTTCACTCGGCACGTTCTCAAGGTTCGTGTGCTGTAACACACGTCACCCATGCATTTTTTTTTTTATGATGGTTGGGTTTTTATAAATGGCTGGGTTTTGGTAGTTAGCTTACTTTGGCCCAAACACTGTGCTGAGCATTTTACACATCATCTCTAATTCTCACAGCAATTCCAATCCTGGGGTTCCTACTATTATCACCCCCACTTTACAGCTGAGGAAACAGGCTTTGAGAGATACAGTTACTTGTCCAGGCTCATACCTGACTAAGCTCAATTCCAGACCTGGTACTCTTAAGCACTAGGCAAAGGGATTCCATCCTAGTCAGCATCATCTGTGAGGAATTTTAACTAGGCCCTGCTCTGCAGAACAGCACAGAAGTCCTTTGATTTCCTATTCAGCCAACTCACGCAGAAACAGCCATGGAACCTTATAAAGGTCTCACCTGCCCAACACACAGTCCCAAACTTGGAGTGTGCTTGTGAGCCAGGATAGGAGACCAAGGCCAGAGGCTCTGGGTGCGTCTCTTGTCCTGGCACACATTACTTCTACCTGGTTCGCGTTACCCGAGCTCAGGAGGGGCTGACATGTCATCAGCATGTGTTCCGGGGAGGCTTTTGCCCTTTGTCTTAGAACCCTGTCTGAAGAATCAGTCCCCTGGAACCATCTCTGGTCATTCGGCTCTTGGCACCACACTGGGCACTCTGCTGGGCTTGTGCAAGGTGCTCTCTGAATAAATGTACCATCCCTAAAGCTTACTTCACCTGATGGTAAGTGGGCAGGAAGGTGTGTGTGAAGGGCAGTGGATGCTACTGTTTCTATTAATATTTAATTCTAATTCCAATTCAGACGCCCACCACTTCTTTCAGTTTAATCCACCTTAATCAAAAATCGCAGTGTGTAGATAGAAGACTGAGCCTTACCAAATTCGTCTTCCATGGCCATGATAATCTCCACTTGGTCCAAACTGTCTAAGCCCAGGTCTTTCATAAAATGAGAATTTACTGAAAGCTGCAAGAAAGGAGCACCAAACACAAAATTTAGTCCATGAAAGCATCTGCTTCCCAAGATAACAGGGTGGTACAATGCCACTTAATCACTATATTGAATTTATTATACTTTAAGTTTTAGGGTACATGTGCACAACGTGCAGGTTTGTTACATAGGTATACATGTGCCATGTTGGTTTGCTGCACCCATCAACTCATCATTTACATTAGGTATTTCTCCTAATGCTGTCCCTCCCCAAACCCCCTACCCCTTGACAGGCCCTGGTAAATGATGCTCCCCACCCTCTGTCCAAGTGACCTCATTGTTCAGTTCCCACCTATGAGCGAGAACACACAGTGTTTGGTTTTCTGTCCTTGTGACTACATCGAATTTTTTTTAACATACAGAGGCTATAACTGACATTTTATATGTAACCTATGCTAGTATGTACATGGTTTGCTTTATCTTACTCTGTTTTGAAGTGAACAATATATACATAGCTAATGAAGGATTTCACTCTAATGTTGTCTGTTTTTTGGTTTTTTGAGAAAGTCTTGCTCTGTCACCCAGGCTGGAGTGCAATGGCACGATCTCGGCTCACTGCAAACTCGGCCTCCCGGGTTCAAGCAATTCTCACCCCTCAGACTCCCGAGTAGCTGGGATTATAGGCGTGCACCACCACGCCCAGCTAATTTTTGTATTTTTAGTAGAGACGGGGTTTCACCATGTTAGTCAGGCTGGTCTCGAACCCCTGACCTCGTGATCCACCCACCTTGGCCTCCCAAAGTGCTGGGATTACAGGCGTGAGCCACTGCGCCTGGCCAAAGTGTTTACTATCACCCTATCACTCTAATTTAGACCTCAGGATCACCAGGAATGATTCTTCAAAAACCCAAATCAAAAAAAAAACTGCCTTACCTACACAACAGATTCAATTTTTTTTCGTTGTTAGATGGAGTTTCACCCTGTCATCCAGGCTGCAGTGTGCAGTGGCATGATCTCGGCTCACTGCACCCTCTCCCTCCCGGGTTCAAGCAATTCTCTGCCTCATCCTCCCGAGTGGCTGGGATTACAGGTGTCTGCCACCACGCCTGTCTAATTTGTGTATTTTTAGTAGAGATGGGGTTTCACCATCTTGGCCAGGCTGCTCTTCATTTCCTGACCTCATGATCCACTCGCCTCGGCCTCCCAAAGTGCTGGGATTACAGGCGTGAGCTACCACGCCCGGCCCCACTTGTGTTTTTATTATTTATTATTATTTTTGAGATGGAGTTTCACTCTTGTTGCCTAGGCTGGACTGCAATCACGCTATCTCGGCTCACTGCAACCTCCACCTCCCGGGTTCAAGTGATTCTGCTGCCTCAGCCTCCCGAGTAGCTGGGATTACAGGTATGTGCCACCATGCCCGGCTAATTTTGTATTTTTAGTAGAGATGAAGTTTCTACATGTTAGTCAGGCTGGTCTTGAATTCCCGACCTCAGGTGATCCGCCCGCCTCGGCCTCCCAAAGTGCTGGGATTACAGGCATGAGCCACAGTGCCCGGCCAGTTGTGTTTTTTAAAAAGGGTGAGAGATACATACATATAATATACACACGTGTGTATACTTCTTTAACATATGCATTGAGTACCTTTGGAAACATACATGAAACTGGTAGCGCTGGCTATCTCCCAGAATGGGCCTGGGTGTCTGGGAGCCAGGGAGATTTTTACTGAGTATCTTTCCCTTTGCATTTTCTAGCATGTAATTAAATACTCTATATTTAAAGAAAAAAATTCAAACCACCATCAGTTACCTTCTCTGGGTCAATCTTGTCATAGAGTTTCAATACGTAAAGAACACGGTCCTGGATGCCCTCTAACGTCAAAGGAGGCATGTCGCTATACTGGCGGCACAACTGTGTAACTCTACCAGGAACCTAGAGCGACGGCAGGAAGGAAACACTGTCATTGAATGGAAAATACCTCTAAATCAATGCACAAGCCTATAGGTAACTTTCACAGAACTTTCGGGGCTTTAGAGAACCCACAGCATCTGATTCTCATTGTGGCCACCAGGACACACTAAGTTGCAGGACTGGGTAATCGCAGAAGCCCCAACAGTTCAGCAGCATCTCAGGCCTCCTTCCTGGGAGTCAGGACCGGCCCCTCTGCCTCCTGGCTTCAACCCTCAGGCTCTGGACATTCATACTGCTCTGCGACACTAACTGCCACTAAAATTGTCTAGCGTCTGCAGAATGCCTGTGTCTTCTCATGGCATCTTCAGCATCCCGAGGCCTCTACAGGGTGCTGCCACCTTTAATAGGCTGACCCAAGTCAAAATAACCCAAAAGGAAAGAGCTGTCATGGTAAACCCAAAGGCAATTCAAATTGAGGACCATACACCAGAAAGGTCTAGTTTGGTTCCAGCAGTTATCTCCCTGATCTCAGCCAGGACAAAGGAAGCTGGCCTCCCACCCAAAGAGGGGATGAGGGAGCTTACAGTCACTACATTCCAATCTGTTTCCCTTCCAGCGAGGCTTGCCTCATGGCCACCAGCCAAACCATGAGCCCTTCTGGCCTGTGCCATGTTAGAGCAATACCTCACGTATCTCTGGTATTAGTCGGCTCAATGTTTAGGTATTAGGGTATTGACCAGATTTCATTCAACAAATGTGGAATGAGCTGCAATTACAGGTCAGGGGGTTTAATGCTGTGGAAGGTACGACGCAGAATCAGAGAAAACAAAACAGGGTATCTGGCAGTTTTGCTCACTACTGAAATCCCTAATCTGGCTAGTCGTGGTGGCTCACGCCTATAATCACAACACTTTGGGAGGCCACGGTGAGCAGATCACCTGAGGTCAGGAGTTCGAGACCAGCCTGGCCAACATGGTGAAACCCCGTCTCTACTAAAAATACAAAAATTAGCCAGGCGTGGTGGTGGGCGCCTGTAATCCCAGCTACTCAGGAGACTGAGGAAGGAGAATCGCTTGAATGTGGGAGGAGAGGTTGCAGTGAGCCGAGCCTGCGCCATTGCATTCCAGCCTGGGCGACAAAGCAAGACTCCGTCTCAAAAAAAAGAAAAAGAAAGAAATCCCTAATCTAAATTGGTTTGTTTACCTCCTGAAGTTGATTTTAAGTCCGAGGCTTGGCGTTCTTCAGGCATTTCCCTATAGAAAGTGGGGCTGCTTGTTAGGGCTCAGGTCCCTGAAACTCACAAAGGTCCATGAAAAATCATAATAAATACTGCCCAGAGAACCAAACCAGTATAACCTCTGTAGAAGAAACATTCATCTTGCATAAAGAACAGGTATTGGGCCGATGTGTGTCTCACACCTGTAATCCCAGCACTTTGGGAGGCCGAGGTGAGCCAATCACTTGAGGCCAGGAGTTCGAGACCAGCCTGGCCAACATGGTGAAGCCTCGTCTCTACTAAAAATACAAAAATTAGCTGGGCGTGGTGGTGTGTGCCTGTAATCCCAGCTATTCAGGTAGCTGAGGCATGAGAATTGCTTGAACCCAGACAGAGGTTGCAGTGAGCCGAGACTGTGCCACTGCACTCCACCTTGGGCCACAGAGCGAGACTCTGTCTCAAAAAAGAAAAGAAAAAGAAGTCAGTTATTAAAATCAGGTTTAGGCTGGGCGCAGTGGCTCACACCTGTAATTGCCACACTTTGGGAAGCCGAAGCAGGCGGATCACGAGGTCAGGAGTTCGACACTAGCCTGACCAACATGGAGAAACCCCGTCTCTACCAAAAATATAAGTTAGCTGGGCGTGGTAACATGTGCCTGTAATCCCATCTACTCAGGAGGCTGAAGCAGAAGAATCGCTTGAACTTGGGAGTCGGAGGTTGCAGTGAGCCAAGATCATGCCATTTACACTCCAGCATGGGTGACAGAGTGAGATTCCGTCTCAAGAAAAAAAAAAAAAAAATCAGGTTTAATCAGCAAACTAAAGAGATGAGTTGGAGAGTATGATAGATATTCTAACGAGCCTTTCTGAGTACTTTCAAGAGTTTTAGAGCATGTTTCTTTGTCTAAATGTCTAGTCTCCTTTCGTATTATACATGGGTTAAGGAGACCTTTTATACAGGCACATGACCGGCCTACTTAACAATGACTCAAATAGGTTTCCAAGTCACAAATAAAATGGAGAAGAAAGGAATAAAGAGAAAGGGGGAGAAGAAATGAGGTAATATGGCAATGGCAGAAAAGAAATTTCAGTTGGAGGGATCTAACAGAGGCTGTGTGCTTATCAAGAAATGGTACGAGGCCAGGTGTGGTGGCTCACGCCTGTAATCCCAGCACTTTGGGAGGCCAAGGTGGGCGGATCTCTTGAGGTCAGGAGTTTAAGACCAGCCTGCCCAACACAGTGAAACCTCCATCTCTACTGAAAGTCCAAAAATTAGCCGGGCATCGTGGCGTGTGCCTATAATCCCAGCTAATCAGGAGGCTGAAGTGGGAGGATCACTTGAACCTAGGAGGCAGAGGTTGCAGTGAACTGAGATCATGGCTCTACACTCCAGCCTGGGCGGCAGGGTGAGACTCTGTCTCCAAAAAGAAAAAAAAAAAAAAAAAAAAAAAGAAATGGTACGATGCCAGGTGTGGTGGCTCACGCCTGTAATCCCAACACTTTGGGAGGCCAAAGTGGAAGGATCGCTTGAGCCCAGGAGTTCCAGACCAACCTGGGCAACAAAGCAAGACCCCTGGTGAGGGTATATTCTATGTTCGTACACAACTACCCATGAGGCCAACTAGGTTGTCAGCATTGTCCTCAGCAGCTCCAGCAAGTACCTACAAGGGCCAGGTGGGCACCATGTGATTAAATTAAACGAGTCTCTGACTGGAGGCCACATGCCAATCTAGAGTGGGTGCTGCATCAGGATCAGCGTGAGGCAGTAAGTTAGTGGGCAAGAGCTCAGACGCTGAAACTAGACCACCTATGCCTGCACCATGGTGCTGGCTCTCACTAGTTGTTTGGCCTTGGGTGGGTTACTTAACCTTCTACATCTCAGTTTCCTCATCTGTAAAATGGGGATAAACAACAGTACCACACTCACAGGACTGTTGTGAAGCATCAGTGAGATGAAGTAAAGGCTTGGACATTGGCTGGCACTTAACACAGTAAGTGCTATTTAGGGTTATTTAGTAGGATCCTGAGAACAATGACCAGCAGCAGCTAGTTTGATACCTTGGCTGTAGCGTAGCCCCAAAATACTTGATCCTACTACCCTCTCATGCTCCTGCCTCTGGTCTCTTTTTTTTTTTTTTTTCAGACAGAGTCTCACTGTGTTGCCCAGGCTGGAGTGCAGTGTTGTGACCTTGGCTCACCACAACTTCTGCCTCCCAGGTTCAAGTGATTCTTATGCCTCTGCCTCCCAAGTAGCTGGGATTACAGGCGTGCACCACCATGCCTGGCTAATTTCTGTATTTTTAGTGGAGATGAGGTTTTACCATGTTGGCCAGGCTGGTCCTGAACTCCTGGTCTCAAGTGATCCACTCACCTCAGCCTCTCAAAGTGCTGGGATTACATGCATAAGCCACCACGTCCCGGCCTCCATTAATTTCTTATCAGCTCAGGCTATGATATTGCACTTTACACACATCATCTTTCTTCAGCTCTCCAGTATTCTGGTGAGATCCATGATACTATCACCCTCCTTTTTACAGATGAGAAACTGAGGCAAGGGAAGGTTAGGTATCCTCCTCACCCCATGTCCTTCCAGCATGGCCTCCTGGAAGGTCTTGCTGCTCCTTCTAACTGGATCTCTGTTGATTGGGAAAAAATAAAAGGGATACAAAATGGACAAGCACCTCCCCAACAGCCAACATGTGATGTTTCTGGTGTTAGTTGTTCTTCCCCAAGATCTACACTTAACAAGTATATGGGAAATAAACCACCTCTCCCAGACATCAGAGAAGGTACTGTTTGCAGGTAAAGAGTGATGACCCTCTGGGCTAGTAATTCAAACAGATGAGGTTCCATCAGAATCCCGGTACTCCACTGGGGCTCACTTCTGCCTGAGGCAAACTCAGAGGAGGCTAAGGAGAGGGCTTTAAAGGCCGTCTCTACAAACTGCCGACTGGTCCACTCTACACAGGCAGCCCAGACCTCTCAAACTCAACAGTTTGGAAATGAACTCCTGACCTGTCTCCAAAACTCCTGCTTACAGACCTCTGTTCCTTCTCCGCCACCTGGGGCTTATTCCTTCAATAAGCCCTGTTTCATGTTCACTCCCTATGACCTTTGCAGAGAATACCCACAATTCCTCGCTGCAGCATACAGCTCCCTTCATGATATGCTCACTCTCTTCCCCCCAACAATGTTCCCTTCCAGACACCCTAAGAGTCAACCACAAGGAGGTAAGTGCCAGGCTCTTCCTGGCCTCTGCACAGGCCTTCAAGATCACGTTCACTGAGAGATTGGTCAAGTATCTCTTTTTGCTTTTGCACTACACACACCTGTTTCACAATGCCTTGCCTTTATTTACACGACTGTCTCAGAAGCCTGGGAACTTTACCTGTGTGCCAAGAACTGTGCAATGGGCTGGAAATGCAAAGATGAATAAGACACAACCTTCCCCCAAAAGAAGCTTACACTCTAATGGAAAAGACCAATCCACAGATCATTTTAGTTGAAATAAAAATATGGCAAGCACCATGACAGAAGTATCTGTAGGCTGATGCAATAACAAAAGTTGTCACTCAGTCCTTGAGTGGCCGGAAAGGAGGATGCCAGACTTGGATTTGGTGAGGAAAAGAGCTGAGACTGATAATTCAAGGAGAGGGAAGAACAGGTCAAGAAAACGAAATGAGGTCAGGCGTGGTAGCGCAGGCCAGTTATCCCAGCTAGTCAAGGGACTGAGGCAGAAGGATTGCTTGAGCCCAGGAGTTTGAAGCTGCACTGATATATGATCATGCCACTGCACTCCAGCCTAAGTGACAGAGACCTTGTCTGGAAAAAAAAAAAAAAAAAAAGTCATGAAAGTGCAGTGCCTGTGTCTATGTGAGAAGACATCAGCTCATGTTGGGAGATGGTACACAGATGACAGGCTTGGAGGCTAAGAGGGAGGGCCCAGGTCTGCAGAGCCTTAAGGGCCATGGGAAGGGACTGGGACTTTGTCTGGTCCTGGTCCCAGTCCTGGAATAGCTAGCTTTTTTTTGTACAAGTGCTGTCTTCATCTGCGTACCATGCCCCATAGAACTGCTGGAAATTATCTTTGTGCTCCATCTGCTAGACAGTGTAGATTCGGGGCCTACCTGGATCAAGTATAAGACTTCCAGGCTGCATTTTAGGCCATTGCCCTTGGTTTTTGTTTTTTTGTTTTTTCCTTACCTTCTATTTTATATCATCTGGTATTTTTATACCCAGGAAAACTGCCTTAGCTCCTTTTGGGAAAAAGGGTGTAAATGAGTGACTAGTTGCTCTGAAGTTGGCATAGTGGATGGATTTGAGGAGAGGAAATTTCACAGCAGGGAATAGGTAGCATGAGCAATGGTCCAAATGAGATGAACAAGGACTGGAGGCGGAGGTCTGGGATATACAGCAATAACAGAAACCAGGAGTGAAGAGTCCAGGGAGCATGTGTGGTAAGAGAACTCGGGAGCCCACCAACATTTAAGGGTTAGGCACACCAGGTGTGATGGCTCATGCCTGTAATCCCAGCACTTGGGAGGCTGAGGCAGGAGGATTGCTTGAGCCCAAGAGTTCACAACTAGCCTAGGCAACATAAGGAGATTCCGTCTCTAAAAAGAAGACAGACATCAAAAAATTAGGGGTGGTGGCTCATGCCTGTAGTCCCAGCTACTCAGGAAGCTGAGGCAGGAGGACCATTTGAGTCCAGGAGGTCAAGGCTGCAGTGAGCCACGATCATGCCACTGCACTCCAGCCTGAAAGGCAAAGTGTCCCAACAAGGTAGGAGGACAAACCAACCAAGGGAGAACAGTGTCACAACAGCCTAGGGAAGAAGACAGCAGCAGAGAAGGAGCCAGCAAGTTGGACATAAGGGCTGCAAAGCGTTCAATGAAGATGTAAGCTAATGTCTTCCTTTTGTATCCATCTCTGTATCTCTCAACAGCTAGCATGAGTCCTGGCACACAGCTGGCCCTCAATATCTTTGAATGAACTTAGTCAAAACCACTTTGTAAATATAAATAAAATGGTTCCTCTGCTATATATGCAAGCCAAGCCGCCATAGTGGAACATTTCTGAGCTCCTTGCCATTCAAAGCATGGTCCAAGGAACACCCGCAGCAGGATCTTCTGGAAGCCCACTGGAGGTGGAAACTCTCTGGCCCCTTCCCAGAACTGAATCAGAATCTGTATTCCAGCCTAAGTGATCTGTATGTCCAATCAACTGAGAATCAATGCTGTAAGAACAAAGACAGTCACTTCACATTTTAGCCCAATGTTGAAATCAATCTTAGGAACCAGACACTCATCAATTCTAACTACTGCCTTTTTAACCCTTATTTATTTATTTATTTATTTATTTATTTATTTATTTATTTATTTATTGAGATGGAGTCTGGCTCTGTCGCCCAGGCTGGAGTGCAGTGGCACGATCTCGGCTCACTGAAAGCTCTGCCTCCCGGGTTCATGCCATTCTCCTGCCTCAGCCTCCCGAGTAGCTGGGACTACAGGCGCCCGCCACCACGCCCGGCTAATTATTTTGTATTTTTAGTAGAGACGGGGTTTCACCGTGTTAGCCAGGATGGTCTCCATCTCCTGACCTCGTGATCCGCCCGTCTCGGCCTCCCAAACTGCTGGGATTACAGGCGTGAGCCATCGCGCCTGGCCTTTAACCCTTAATTTCAAGGTGACACTTTTCACCTTTTGATACAGCCAACAGGGCAGTGCCCAATGAATGAATCCATTACACTGTCAGTGAACAGCAACACTGGCTTCACAAAAGAAACACTTGATGACTTCTAAAAATAGTCGCCTAGTACTCACTTCTAGATTCTGTCGATCTGGCACGGGCTGGCTGGCTTATTTAAGACGGTCTGCCTCCCAGACTGGAGTGCAGTGGCATCATCTCAGCTCCCTAAAACCTCTGCCTCCTGGGTTCAATCGATCCTCCCACCTCAGCCTCCTGAGTAGCTGGGACTACAGGCGCGTGCCACCACGCCCGGATAATTTTTTGTATGTTTAGTAGAGACGGGGTTTCACTGTGTTAGCCAGAATGGTCTCGATCGCCTGACCTCGTGATCCGCCCGCCTCGGCATCCCAAAGTGCTGGGATTACAGGCATAAGCCACCGCGCCCGGCCTAATTTCTGTATTTTTTGTAGAGACGGGGTTCCACCATGTTGCCTAGGAGGGTCTCAAACTCCTGGGCTCAAGCGATTCGCCCGCCTCGGCCTCCCAAAGTGCTGGGATTACAGGCGTGAGCCACCACGCCTGGCCAGACACACTTATTTTTCACACTAACATGCAGTCAAGGTTGAAACCACTATTACCTGAAGTCTATGACTTTGAAAAGGGGTTTCATAACTTGACCTTGGGAGTCTATCCTACCTTAAGACGGTTATTTTTATTCCCAACTGCACTTCAGAGTCATCTGGAGAACTTAGAAAACAACAAAAAAAAGGCAGGGCGCGGTGGTTCACGCCTGTAATCCCAGCACTTTGGGAGGCCGAGGCGGGTGGATTGCGAGGTCGGGAGTTCAAGACCAACCTGGCCAATATGATGAAACCCCGTCTCCACTAAAAATACAAAACTTAGCCGGGCATGGTGGCGGGCGCCTGTAGTCCCAAATACTCGGGGGGGCTGAGGGAGGAGAATTGCTTGAACCTGAGAGGCGGAGGTTGCCGTTAGCCGGAGGTTGCAGTGAGCTGAGATCACGCCACTGCATTACAGCCTGGGTGACAGAGCGAGACTCTGTCTCAAAAACAACAACAACAACACCGAAATCACTGCCTCCCGGCGTTTCAGCCTCACGCAGATTTCATCAGCTCAAGCTATATACTACAGGTACAGTCGTTCCTTGGTATTTGCGCAGATTGGTTCCAGGACCCCCGACTATACCCAAATCCCCGCACACTCACGTCCCGCAGTCAGCCTTGCAGAATCCGCTTATAGGAAGAGCCTGCCCTCCTTATACGCGGGGCGGCACATCCCGTAAATACTGGTCGCGTTTGGTTGAAAAAAAATCCGCATATAAGTGGACCCGCGCAATTCAAATCCTTATTGGTCAAAGGTCACTTGGCTTGTTTCCTAGAATTACTTCCAGGAGTCCTGGACACAGGCAGAAGGTGCTGCAGGGAAGAGTAAGGACAGAACTGCAGAGAGAAAACCGCTCTGGAGAAGGCTGTAGGCCAGTGTGGCTGCCTCTTTGCATGCTGCTTTCACTACAATACGGTGACCGCTATTTTGAGACCGTACGAGGTGCTCTAGCCGCATTAACTCATCTAATCCTCATTGCTACTCCGCAAGGTAGAGACCAGGATCCCAATTTTGCAGGTGAGTGTGAGCCAGGCTAGGAGACTTGTCCAAAGTTTCGGTAAGCGGCAGCCCAGCAGTGCTGGACTCGAGTCAGTGCTCTTGCTCGTTATTACGAGGTCACCCGGCCTCCCGTCAGGGGTCAACTAAACACCTTTAGGCAGCGGGGCTGCGGAGCGAGCCGGCTGCCCCCCGGGTCACCCCTGCCTGCAGCTGGCGCGCCCCGGATGCCCGGCCCCCACCCCCACCGGGCCCAATCCCTGACCCTTGCCAAGCGGCAGCAAAGTCACCACGAGTCACCTGCGCGAGCACTAAGGCCGGCTGCAAAGTCCCGAGCCTCGTCTGGGTCCCCGCGGAGCAGAGAGCGGTGCTGAGAGGCCGGGCCACGGCCAGCATCCGGACCCGGGGCAGCGGCGCAAAGGCCGCGGGCAGGCGGCTGACATAGGCTGAAAGGACACGAGACGCCATGGCTACGCCAACCCAGGATGCACTGCGCCGCCGCCTCCGGACCAGGGTTCCTTTCCGGCGGCGCGCAGGCGACGCACACGGCAGCGCTGTCGGGCACCGCCGGCGGTGGCGGCCCCTGGCGGCTCCTGGAGGCACTGCGCCCTCGGAGCCCATCCAGGTTCGGGGACGAACAACTGCTTGGTGTCACAACTAAACTGTGCAGACGTCGCCGTCTTTCCCTAAACGACACGGCACGAGAAACCTACTTTCATTTTTTATCTGAAAGTTCTGAAATACATCTGTTTAAACGTTTGGGGCCGGGTGCGGTGGCTGACGCCTTTAATCCTAGCACTTTGGGAGGCCAAGGTGGCAGGACTGTTTGAGCTCAGGAGTTCAAGACCAACCTGGCCAACACGGCAAGACTCCGTCTCTATTACAAAAAAGATTAAAAGAAAAAAAGGACAAAGTTTTGATTCCACAATTCTTCCACAAGTATTAACATTTATTGAATAGGTAAAAAAATATATATAATAATGTGAAAAAATAATCAATTTCAATACCTAAGACTAATAAATGTGAGAATTACGATTAAAACAATATACATGTTTTAAAACTTGACAGTGTATAATATAGCTGTCAGGTCCACGACTATGCCAACTGTCATGCCCACAGCCAGGTTCCAGCCCATATCGAGGTCTGAGGGGAGTGGGTGGATGAACAGATAGCTGAAAGAACACTCAGGGGACGGTAGGCAGGTGAAAGATGATTTTATTCAGCAGCAGCTCTCATCAGCAGCTTACTTACACTAGTTCTCTCACACTGTCTGCCTTGTCTCAGCTGCTTAGTCCCATGGCTCCCCCACACAACTGCGAGGCTGGCTCTCCCTTGCCTTCAGGGTCAGCAGCTTAACTCTCTCTCAGCTGTGATCTGGCTCCCCCTGTCTGTCTGCAAAGACTGACAGCTCTGGCTCTCTCTTTCTCTGGGCACGAACGCCTGTACAGTATCAGCAGGGCAATTATACCTTTTACAGAAAATAGTGGCTTAGAGCCAAGTGATGACCTTCCCATGTTATGCCTACATGGCTGTGATAACAAGTGGAGTTATACGCCTCTGTCTAAACTTGCTGAGTCACGCAGGATGTAAACATCTTACCTTGGCCTATCCTTGACCAAAGCACAGCCATGTTCCTTACAATAGCTAACAAAAATAGGTAAGCGAGGGAGGAGTTTAAGAAGGCTAATTCCTATTTCTAAGCAGGGAGCTAAAGGATATTGACTGAAATGGAAACACACGGGATAATGACTCCAAATTCTGAAATCTGCCTGAATGAATGATCCAATAATGTCACCAGTTTTACCTCAATTTCTTTTTATTTTTGTTAAATCCAAGTAAAATAAAATGTAATGGTATGCTGCCAGGCGCGGTGGCTCATACCTGTAATCCCAGCACTTTGGGAGGCCAAGGTGGGTGGATCACGAGGTCAAGAGATCGAGACAATCCTGGTCAACATGGTGAAACCCCATTTCTACTAAAAATACAAAAATTAGTTGGGTGTGGTGGTGCGCGCCTGTAGTCCCAGATACTCAGGAGGCTGAGGCAGGAGAATCGCTTGAACTTGGGAGGCAGAGGTTGCAGTGAGCCGAGATTGCGCCACTGCACTCCAGGCTGGCAAAAGAGCAAGACTCCATCTCAAAAAAAAAAAACGAAAACAAAAAAAACATAGTTTCATCCCACTGTTGTAAAATAATTTCTATTTATTATAGCATTCCTTTAAAACTCGAGTGTCTGGGGGCCAGGCATGGTGGGTCAAACCTGTAATCCCAGCATTTTGGGAGGCTGAGGCAGGTGGATCACCTGATGTCAGGAGTTTGAGACCAACCTGGACAACATGGTGAAACCCCGTCTCTACTAAAAATACAAAAATTAGCTGGGTGTGGTGGCAGGTGACTGTAATCCCAGCTACTCAGGAGGCAGGAAGCTGAGACAGGAGAATTGCTTGAACCCGGGAGGTAGAGGTTGCAGGGAGCTGAGATCGCGCCATTGCACTCTAGCCTGGGCAACAAGAGTGAAGCTCCATCTCAAAAAAGTCTCAAAAAAAAATTGAGTATCTGTTACGTACTAATTGTTGAGGCTGCAACTGTGAGCAAGCCAGACAGGCAAGCCTGGTTCAGTGGCTCACCTCCGTAATCCCAGCACTTTGGGAGGCCAAGGGAGGTGGATCGCTTGAGCCCAGGAGTTTGAGATCAACCTAGGCAACACAGGGAGACCTTGTCTCCATAAAAAATTTAAAAAATTAGCCAGGCATGGTGATGCATGTCTGTGGTCCCAGCTGCTTGGGAAGCTGAGGTGGGAGGACCAATTGAGCCCAGGAGGTCAAGGCTGCAGTGAGCTATGATCACACCACTACACTCCAGCCTGGGCAACAGAGTGAGACTCTGTTTCCCAAAAAAATGTAGCTCTTAGCTTAGGAAGAACCTAATCCTACTAAGTTCACAATTGGGGCCATCTCTTCCCATGACCTATCTAGTCTTTCAGTGTTACACGTATGTATGTATATATGTATGTATGTATGTATTTATAGAGATGGGGTTTCACCGTGTTAGCCAGGGTGGTCTCAAACTCCTGACCTCATGATCTGCCCGCCTCGGCCTCCCAAAGTGCTGGGATTACAGGCGTGAGCCACTGCACCCGGCCTCAGTGTTACATTTAATCCTTTTGGTAAAACATAACAAATCATCTCTTATTTAAATAATTTGGGAGAGCTACTTTTCCCTTCAGCAAACAAATAAAGACAAAATATCAGCCTACATGGCCTGTAGGGTAAAAGTCCCAATATTAAGATCACATCCTTAGCAGATGAGGAAGAGTTAAAAGACAACACCGGTGCTTTTCAGTAACATTCCCATCAAAGGATGGATAAGCATAAAAGCTGTCAGCTTCCCAGCACAAACTATCCCACCAACCCACCATGATCGCTCCCTCTGCCAGCCCATTTGCACGGTAGTCTCATCCCCTCTTATTCCCAATGGGACCTTATACCACCAGTTAGCTCTTCTTCCCTACATCTCAAAGGTCTCTCTTCTGGCTCTTTCTCCTGAACCCATAAACACATCAAAGTTCCTCTTAGCCTAAAAACAAAGTAAGAGGACCCTCCGCTGACCCTTTATAGATCTCTAATACCATTCCTCCTACCTTTCATAGACAAGCTGTTACATGTGGGGAAAAGCAAGAGAGATCAGATTGTTACTGTGTCTGTGTAGAAAGAAGTAGACATAGGAGACTCCATTTTGTTATGTACTAAGAAAAATTCTTCTGCCTTGAGATTCTGTGACCTTACCCCCAACCCCGTGCTCTCTGAAACATGTGCTGTGTCAACTCAGAGTTGAATGGATTAAGGGCGGTGCAAGATGTGCTTTGTTAAACAGATGCTTGAAGGCAGCATGCTCCTTAAGAGTCATCACTACTCCCTAATCTCAAGTACCCAGGGACACAAAAACTGCGGAAGGCCACAGGGACCTCTGCCTAGGAAAGCCAGGTATTGTCCAAGGTTTCTCCCCATGTGATAGTCTGAAATATGGCCTCGTGGGAAGGGAAAGACCTGACCGTCCCCCAGCCCGACACCCGTAAAGGGTCTGTGCTGAGGAGGATTAGTAAAAGAGGAAGGAATGCCTCTTGCAGTTGAGACAAGAGGAAGGCATCTGTCTCCTGCCTGTCCCTGGGCAATGGAATGTCTCGGTATAAAACCCGATTGTATGCTCCATCTACTGAGATAGGGAAAAACCGCCTTAGGGCTGGAGGTGGGACCTGCGGGCAGCAATACTGCTTTGTAAAGCATTGAGATGTTTATGTGTATGCATATCTAAAAGCACAGCACTTAATCCTTTACATTGTCTATGATGCAAAGACCTTTGTTCACGTGTTTGTCTGCTGACCCTCTCCCCACAATTGTCTTGTGACCCTGACACATCCCCCTCTTCGAGAAACACCCATGAATGATAAATAAATACTAAGGGAACTCAGAGGCTGGCGGGATCCTCCATATGCTGAACGCTGGTTCCCCGGGTCCCCTTATTTCTTTCTCTATACTTTGTCTCTGTGTCTTTTTCTTTCCTAAGTCTCTCATTCCACCTTACGAGAAACACCCACAGGTGTGGAGGGGCAACCCACCCCTACAGTTACACTTTTTCTTTTTGTCATTGTTTGAGACAGAGTCTCGCTCTGTCGCCCAGGCTGGAGTGCAATGGTGCGATCTTGGCTCACTGCAACCTCTGCCTCCTGGGTTCAAGCGATTCTCTGCCTCAACCTCCCGAGTAGCTGAGACTATAGGCGCCTGCCACCACTCCCGGCTAATTTTTGTATTTTTAGTAGAGACTGGGTTTCACCATTTTGGCCAGGCTGTCCTTTCTGCCCAGAATATCCGTTGCTTCTGCTTTGACCTACTTATCCCGCAAGGCTCAGCTAAATTGCCATCTCCCATGAAGTTTTTCTGGGACTCCTGGGTTGTCCAAACTGCTCAGCCTTGAGCTTCCATAATAGCACCTGGAACATATCCCTTAAATTTTTTTTTTTTTAGCTTCCTTTTTTTTTAATTAGAGTCTCGCTCTGTTGCCCAGGCTGGAGTGCAGTGGTGCAATCTCTGCTCACTGCAATGTCTGCCTCCCAGGTTCAAGCGATTCTCCTGCCTCAGTCTCTCGAGTAGCTGGGATTACAGGTGTGTGCTACCACACCCAGCTACTTTTTGTATTTAAGAGACAATGTTTCACCATGTTGGCCAGGCCGGTCTCGAACTCCTAACCTCAAATGATCTGCCCACCTCGGCCTCCAAAGTGCTGGGATTATAGGTGTGTGCCACCGTGCCGGGTCTGAAACATACCCCTTAAATTTAAAGTACAGTCCTGACTGCTTTATGCGACAGTCTCTCCCACTAGACTGTGTACTTCTCAATGGCAGAGGTCTCACAGCAATGATTTACATACCTACTGTGTCAAGCAGATGCTCAGTTTGTGCAACCATTACTGACTAGAATTACTTTGTGCCTTAGTTTTGTTGACTCTTGTTATTATCAAGATAATAATACAGGTTTCTCAAGGTTCATGAGTAAATTAAATCTTTACAAAAAGTTCTCCAGTATCTATGATACACTAGCAAATAATTTGAGGTTAAAAATTGTGGGTATAGAATTTGTAAAAGAGGCTGGGTGTGGAGGCTTACACCTGTAATCTTAGCATTTTGGGAGGGGATGCCACAGTGGGTAGATGGCTTGAGCCCAGGAGTTCGAGACCAGCCTGGGCAACATGGTGAGACTCTGTCTCACAAAAAATTTTTTTTTAATTAGCTGGATATGGTAGCCCATACCTTAGTCCTAGCTACTGGGGAGGCTGAGGTTGGAGGATCGCCTGAGTGTGGGGAAGTTGAGACTGCAGTGAGCTGTGATACCACTGTACTCCAGCCTGTGCAACAGAGTGAGACTGTCTCAAAGAAAATATAATAGACATCCTTTGAAAAAGAAAATTAAAAAAATACCAGAATTTGTAAATGAGCAAAAACTACAGTATGATAAAAATGTATCTTTTTTTGTGTGTGTGATCCACCCACCTCTTATGATCCACCCGCCTCAGCTTCCCAAAGTGCTGGGATTATAGCACTGCACCTGGCCAAAAATGTGTCTTTTTTTTTTTTCTGAGACAGAGTCTTGCTCTGTCCAGGCTGGAACGCAGTGGTGTGATCTCAGCTCACTGCAACCTCCGCCTCCCGGGTTCAAGTGATTCTCCTGCCTCAGCCTCCCGAGTAGCTGGGACTACAGGCGTGTGCCACCATGCGCGGCTAATTTTGTGTATTTTTAGTAGAGATGGGGTTTCACTGTGTTAGCCAGGATGGTCTTGATCTCCTTACCTAGTGATCTGCCCACCTTGGCCTCCCAAAGTGCTGGGATTACAGGCGTGATCCACTGCGCCCGGCCCAAAAATTTGTCTTTAAAAAATATAATCTTCTTTGGCTGGGCACGGTAGCTCATCCCTGTAATCCCAGTACTTTGGGAGGCCGACGTAGGCAGATCACCTAAGGTCAGGAGTTCCAGACTAGCCTGGCCAACACAGTGAAACCCTGTCTCTACAAACAATATAAAAATTAGCCGGGTATAGTAGAGCATGCCTGTAATCCCAGCTACTCAGGAGGCTGAGGCATGAGAATCACTTGAACCTGGGAGGCGGAGGTTGCAGTGAGCCCAGATCACCCCACTGCACTCTAGCCTGGGTGATAGAGGGAGACTCCGTTCTAAAAAAAAAACAAAAAACAAAAAACCAAGAAAAAAAAGAGCGGCAGTGGTTCATGCCTGTAATCCCAGCACTTTGGGAGGTCAAAGCAGGTGGATCACTTGAGGTCAGGAGTTCAAGGCCTGCCTGACCAACATGGTGAGACCCCCATCTCTATTAAAATACAAAAATTAGCCAGGTGTGGTGGTGGGTGCCTGTAATCCCAGCTACTTGAGAGGCTGAAGCAGGGGAATCACTTAACCTGGGAGGCAGAGGTTGCAATGAGCCGAGATCATGCCACTGCACTCCCGCCTGGGTGACCAGTGAGGCTCCATCTCAAAAAAAGGTGACTCTAGTGATAATGCAGCACTGGCATGAAAGATGCATGAGAATGAAAAAGAGTAAGAGTATCCCTAAATTAGGATATTTTAGTAGGTTTCATTTTATTTTAGTATGTATGTAAAAATAAAGTATTACAAATAGCACAAAAAGTATATTGCATATTAGTGTAGTAAGTTAACTGAACTGAAATTTACACTTACTAGGCAAAGACTATTGATTAAATATCCTGGTTGTATAATAATTAGTTCTTGCTTCTGCAAATGATCTTGAAAGAATGGGAAACAATAACATGCCAAGCAGAATGTATAAAAATAAATATTTATTGCCATTTGAAGCTTTATGTACACCTTTAAAAGCACATGTACAAATGTGGGAAATTACAAAAATCAACCTAAAACCCTTTTTCTCAAAGTATACATAAATGTACATCCAAGATCAGTGGTGCTACCATCATTAGAATAAAAAATAAGTCTGTCTGGACATAAACAAGCAATCATTTTAAGTGTCATTCAGATATTCTCCTTTATATTTAAAACTCCAAAAAATACTAAGAGGCCCAATATATCCAGAAAATTGTGTTTTCACTTTACCCTAACTTATGAATAGTGGTATACAAATATATTTCCATCTTTTTGTCCAGCCAGCAAATGAGAGTCTGTACCCGACCATTTCACAAAAGACCAATGTTGGTCAGAGACAGGTGGGAGGAGGGCAGTACACTGACCGAGAAGTAAGTCCCAAATGGCAATTGTTCCAGAAGTCAAGATTGCTGCTGCACAGTGATCTTTCACGTCACCTTCCAGGAACCTGATAGCATACAAAGAAGATATAATTCAGATTACATATCCAAAAAACAATTAAAAAAAAAAAAAAGGTCAAAACCATGTTCCCAAAACCAGCAACAGGAACAAAAATCCCTGTAACTATGAATGCCTACATTTGTAGCCTTAGAGGTCTGTTGGCTATTGTGTTGCAGTTTTGGACAGAATCACATGTCCAGTTCCTGCCAATCTCTCTGATGCATCTTGTAGCAATTGAAGGCTGGCGCACAGTGGCCTTCCTTCCACTCTCCATCACTCTGGCCAAACTCAGTCCCAACTCAGTGTCACTGCTCTTGCCATTCTTTCTCCCTGACAGGCTCTCACCCCAGCTCTTAGCATGGCTGAGTTCTTGTCATCATTCAGGCCTGTTATGTCCATAGAAAGGTCACCCCTAATCCTCTATCTCAGGCAGTGTGCACACACATACGGGATCTGTTCCATCTTTATGACATATATGTTTTTATCTTCATTGCACTTTTCACTATTTGAGATTACCCTGTTTCCATATTCAGTGGGAATTTCCCCCACAAAAGATGCCATCTATGAAGCAGAAACCTACCTGGTTGCCTTTTTCATTTAGACAAGGGCTCTGCAGTCAGCTACCTGGGTTTAAATTCTAACTCTACAAAGTAAGAGCTGTGCAACCCTGGGCAAATTATTTAACTTTATCAGTACAATAGGGATGATTTTAAGAGCACATACTTGACAGGACTGTGGTGAGGTTAAATGAAACAGTTCCTATAAAAGGCTTAGCGCAGTGCCTGGCACACAGGAGGTGCTCAATAAAAATTAGCTATTATTAGCCGGGTGTGGTGGCTCACGCCTGTAATCCCAGCACTTTGGGAGGCCAAGGCGGGTGGATCACCTGAGGTTGGGAGTTTGAGACCAGCCTGGCCAACATGGAGAAACCCGGTCTCTACTAAAAATACAAAATTAGCCAGGCGTGGTGGCACATGCCTGTAATCCCAGCTACTCGGGAGGCTGAAGCACAAGAATTGCTTGAACATGGGAGGTGGAGGTTGCAGTGAGCCAAGATCGTGCCACTGCACTCCAACCTGGGCGATAAAGTGAGACCCTGTCTCCAAAAAAAAAAATTAGCTGTTATTGTGGCCAGGCCTGGTGGCTCACGCCGGTAATCCCAGAACTTTGGGAGGCCAAGGCAGGCAGATCACCTGAGGTAAGGAGTTCACGACTAGCCTGGCCAACATGGTGAAACCCCGTCTCTACTAAAAATACAAAAATTAGCTGGGCATGGTGGCACGTGCCTGTAATCCCAGCTACTAGGGGGGCTGAGGCAAGAGGATCGCTTGAACCTGGGAGGCAGAGGTTGCAGTGAGCTGAGATCATGCCACTGCACTCCAGCCTGGGCAACAGAGAGAAACTCCGTCTCAAAAAAAAAATTAGCTATTATTATTATTCACTGCTGTATCACTGGTGCCTGAGGCATGGCCAGCTCTCCAAAGAGTATTATATGAATGAACTGCATGATACTTTTTATCCCTGGTTCCCACCCAACTTTGCGTACCTAACTCCTAACTTATCTTTGGAAACTCCCTAAGGTTTTCTTTGACAGTCTCTCCCCAACCCTCTACTGCCAATTAAGGTGCCCACCTCTCCACTCTTGTGCTCTCAAACAGTGCAAGCTTCATGTATTGTATTTTGTGCACTGAACAACAGTCACTAGTTTTCCCTTCTAATTTCCATAAAATTAGAAATAAGTGGTTTGTTTGTTTGTTTGTTTTTGAGACAGAGCCTTGCTCTGTCACCCAGGCTGAAGTGCAATGGCGAGATCTCAGCTCACTGCAACCTCTGCCTCCCAGTTTCAAGTGACTCTCCTGTCTCAGCCTCCCCAATAGCTGGGATTACTGGTGCACACCATCGCACCCAGCTCATTTTTGTATTTTTAGTGGAGACAGGGTTTCACCATGTTGGCCAGGCTGGTCGCGAACTCCTGACCTCAAGTGATCTGCCCGCCTCGGCTTCCCAAAGTGCTGGGATTACAGGCATGAGCCACCGCGCCCGGCCAGAAATAGCAGTGTTTTGCTATGGTCTGAATGCTTGTGTCCTCCCAAGATTAATCTGTTGAAACCTAATCACCAATGTGATGGTATTAGGAGGTGGGGCTTTTGAGAAGTGATTGGTGGTTTTGTAAAACAGGCCCCAGAAAGCTGCCTTCTACCATGTGAGGACACATCTATGAGCCAGGAAATGGGCTCTCACCAGACAGTGAATCCGCCAGCACCTTGATCTTGGACTTCCCAGCCAAAAGAATGGTAAGAAATACACTTTGTTGTTTAAAGGCTACCCAGTCTGTGGTATTTTGTTGTAGCAGCCTAATAGAACTAAGATATGCTTCCTACAGGATTGGTACCAAACAGGCTTTCAAGGATTCCTGAACAGATGAGTTTGAAAAGTGACAAAGGAAATGCTTGACCAAGCAGTTATCTTTATCTTTAATCTCTAGGGCCAACGACTATCGTTCTCTCTTCAAATCCAAGGAAGCAAGTTTTATATGAAAGCACATACTGCAGATGATAGTTCTGAGGTTCTTAGGTTCTTAAAAAAAAAAAAAATTAGCCAAGCGTGGTGGCATGTACCTGTAGTCCCAGCTACTTGGGAAGCTGAGATGGGAAGATGGTGTGAACCCGGGAGGCAGAGTTGCAGTGAGCTGAGATCGTGCCACTGCACTCCAGCCTGGGCAACAAAGCAAGACCCTGCAGAAGTGTCACAGCTAGCTAAGTGCATAGGGATAGAGAATGTCTTTTAGAACATGCACTTATCAAATAAACTTTGCATAAGGTCCAAAAAAACATGTATTGTAACTGTGTGCATTATCCTTGTGAGTTATTAAAGTCAGACCTTGTTTTCTTGATTCACTTCAGCCCAGGCTGCAGTGCAGTGGTACAATCTCGGCTCACTGCAACCTCTCCCTCCCGGGTTCAAGCGATTATCCTGCCTCAGCCTCCTGAGTAGCTGGGATTACAGGCACGCACTACCATGCCCAGCTAATTTTTGTATGTTAGTAGAGACGGGGTTTCACCGTGTTGGTCAGGCTGGTCTCGAACTCCTGACCTCATGATCCGCCTGCCTCGGCCTCCCAAAGTGCTGGGATTACAGGCGTGAGCCACTGCACCCTGCTTTTTTTTTTTTTTTTTTGAGACGGAGTCTCGCTCTGTCTCCCAGGCTAGAGTGCAGTGGCACGATCTCGGCTCACTGCAACCTCTGCCTCCCAGGTTCAAGTGACCCCAGCCTCCCGAGTAGCTGGGATTATAGGTGCCTGCCACCGTGCCCAGCTAATTTTTGTATTTTTAGTAGAGATGGGGTTTCACCATCTTGGCCAGGCTGGTGAACTCCTGACCTCATGATGCACCTGCCTCAGCCTCCCAATTGCTGGGATTATAGGCGTGAGCCACTGCCTGGCCAGATAAATACTTATCTATAGATAAATATAAACTGCCTGCATGATAGAGGCTCAGTCAAACTCAGTCAGATTTCAAAGTAAAGATGTCTTCCTAAAGTACCTTAAATTTTCCTTAATTTAGGTTTAGGGAAAGAACACAAATTATGTTTTTTAAATACAGAACGTTCATTACTCTTTATGTGAATTTTTTTTTTTTTTTTTTTGAGACAGGGTCTTGCTCTGTTGCCAGGCTTGAGTGAAGTGGTATGATTTCAGCTCACTGCAGCCTCCACCTCCCAGGTTCAAGCCATCCTCCCACCTCAGCCTCCCGAGTAGCTGGAAGTACAGATGCATGCCAGCATGTTTGGCTAATATATATATATATTTTTTTTGGTAGAGACTGGGTCTTGCTCTGTTGTCCAAGTTGGTCTCAAACTCCTGGGCTCAAGCTCTCCTCCCACCTTGACCTCCCAAAGTGCTGGGATTACAGGCATGATCCACCATGTGCTGCCAAAATATTTACCTTAGGGGAAAAAACAGGGCTTGAATAAACACTATTAAAAACCTATATAACCCCATACTAGTAGAGATCAGGATGCAGGGAATCTGGGGTTTGACTCAAGTCCACTAATCTTCATCCTACTTCTGAATATTCCTATCATGATATATAGTATTTCATGTTTTCCATTCTTCTAAGTGACACAAAAATATCTAGTTTTTGTGTTTGCACAGTGCCTTTCAGAATGTCCCACCCATAGAGTAGCAGTTATGCACACTTGCCTGCCAGCCTGCCCTGGAGGAAGACAGTACAGCATCACACCCACGCTGAGAGTCGTCTTAGGGTTAATCACAATGAGCTGAAACACAGGGCTTCGCAACGACTCACTCTCTTTGGCACAGGGATGACTCAGGACAATAAAGAGAAGCCCCTAATTTCGGAGAAAAATAAATATCCCAAATAGACTGTCAAGAGTATGTCAGGAAAAATAAAGATCTGGCAGAGACAAAAACCAAACAATTAAAGCAATGACCGATAGGCTCTGAAGTATCCAGGATTTAACCACTGGCTTGATTTTTTTCCCTGCCGTCTAGGAACTGTTGAGATTATTACTGGACTGGACTTCTGGCTTCTTGTTCTTCTTCTTTTTTTTTTTAGAGACAAGGCCTTCCTGTGTTACCCAGGCTGTTGTTGAACACCTGGCCTCAAGGGATCCTCCCACCTCAGCCTCCCAAAGTGTTGGGATTACAGACGTCAGCCACCGCGCTCAGCCAACTTCTAGCTTTAGCTTCTCCTGCTTCCGGTTCCCAGTGTTTGTTTTAGCCAGTCTTGCCAGGCATGAATCTGATTCATCCATTTCCTTCCCCTTAGATAGTACTACATTTCATGCCATTCATTTGGGGAAATATTGGCAAAGAGAGAATGAGGACACACATGTGCAGGGAGTGCTCAAATTAGAAATATTCATTTGTAAATTGGTTTTTGAACATTCAGAACATGTTTTCCCATAAAAACAATCTTGTACATGGTGGCTGGTTTCTCAGACCAGCCCACAATAGCCTATTTAAAACCCTGACCCTACTACTCTCTATGAATAAGGGTGACCAAAAAAAGATACCATCACCTATGGCTGTTTCTGTGAGAAAATGTGTTAAAGTTCTCTCCTGGCTTTAAAATTACAGGCTCTAATAATAATATTACTGTATGTGTGTATATATATACACACACACACACACACACACATATATACAGATTTTTTTTTTTTGAGACGGAGTTTCGCTCGTTGCCCAGGCTGGAGTGCAATGGTGCGATCTCAGCTCACTGCAACCTCCGCCTCCCAGGTTCAAGTGATTCTCCTGCCTCAGCCTCCCAAGTAGCTGGGATTACAGGTATGCGCCACCATGCCTGGCTAATTTTTGTATTTTTAGTAGAGACAGGGTTTCACCACGTTGACCAGGATGGTCTCGATCTCCTGACCTTGTGATCCACCCACCTCAGCCTCCCAAAGGGCCGGGATTATAGGCGTGAGCCACGGCGTCAGGTCAAATGATTGAATTTATTAATGAAAATAAAATATTTTTATATTTAGAAAACAACTGAGGTAACTCAGGAGGCCGAGGCAGTAGGATAGCTTGAGACAAGCCTGGGAAACACAGCTGAAGACCTCATCATCTAAAAAAATTAAATTAAAATTTAGCTGGGTGCTGTGGCTCATGCCATGTAATCCCATCAACTTGGCAGGCTGAGTGGGGAGGATCGCTTGAGCCCAAGAACTCAAGGCTATAGTGAGCTATGATGGTGCCACTGATCTACAGCCTGAATGAGAGAGTGAGACCCTATCTCTAAAAGGGAAAAAAACTGAGGATTTAAAAATGTTAAATGCTATACAGTTAAGAAGAGGCTGACAAACTATGGCCCACCAGGTAAATCTAACCCAACACAATTTTTTTTTTTGAGACAGAGTCTTGCACTGTCGCCCAGGCTGGCGTGCAGTGGTGCGATGTCTGCTCACTGCAAGCTCTGCCTCCTGGGTTCACGCCATTCTCCTGCCTCAGCCTCCCGAGTAGCTGGAACTACAGGCGCCCGCCACCACGCCCGGCTAATTTTTTGTACTTTTAGTAGAGCGGGGTTTCACTGTGTTAGCCAGGATGGTCTCGATCTCCTGACCTCATGATCCGCCCGCCTTAGCCTCCCAAAGTGCTGGGATTACAGGCGTGAGCCACCGCGCCTGGCCACCCAACACTTTTTTTGGGGGGATAGGGTCTCACTGTCACCTAGGCTGGAGTGCAGTGGCATAATCAGCTCACTGCAGCCTTGAATTCCTGGCCTCAAGCAATCCTCCCTCCTTGGCCTCCCAAAGCACTGGAATTACAGCTGTGAGCCACCATGCCTGGCCCCAGTGCTTATTTTTCCATGGCTAATAAACTAAGAATGTTTTTCAGATTTTGAAATGGCTGAAAAACATCAGAAAAATAACATTTTGTGACATGCCAAAATTAACATATGAAGTTCAAGTTTCAGTCTCCATAAAGTTTTATTAGAACACAGCTACATCTATCCATTTGCATACAGTCTATGGCTGATTTGGGGCCACAATGGCAGAGTTGAGTATGTAAAACAGAGATTGTAAGGCCAGCACAGCTGAAAGTATTTGCCGTCTGGTCATATATGGAAAAAGTTTATCAATCCCTGCACTAAACAGTTAAATAAATAATACAATGTTATTTCTTTTTTTTTTTTTTTTTTGAGACAGAGACTTGCTTTTTCGCCAGGCTGGAGTGCAGTGGCAGGATGTCGTCTCACTGCAACCTCTGCCTCCTGGATTCAAGCAATTCTCCTTCCTCAGCCTCCCAACTAACTGGGACTACAGGTGCGCACCACCATGCCCAGCTAATTTTTGTATTTTTAGGAGAGACGGAGTTTCACCATGTTGGCCAGGATGGTCTCAATCTCCTGACCTCGTGATCTGCCCGCCTCGGCCTCACAAAGTGCTGGGATTACAGGTGTGAGCCACCACGCCTGGCATTAAATATTATTTCTGAAGATTGGCTTTATGGGGGACTTTTACTTACTATCTTACACATGTCTGTGTGAAATGTTTTAATATCAAGTGGGTATTGATGTTGTAATATAAAAGGTATAACATTATTTAAATGCTTAATAAGTAAATTCTAGGCCAGGCATGGTGGCTTACGCCTGTAATCCCAGCATTTTGGGAGCGTGAGGCGGGTGGATCACAAAGTCAGGAGCTCAAGACCAGCCTGGCCAACTTGGTGAAACCCCGTCTCTACTAAAGATACAAAAAAATTAGCCAGGCATGGCGGCAGGCACACCTGTAATCCCAGCTACTTGGGAGGCTGAGGCACAGAATTGCTTGAACCTGGCAGGCGGAGGTTGCAGTGAGCCGACATCACACCACTGTACTCCAGCCTGGGTGACAGAGCAAGAATCTTGTCTCAAAAAAAAAGTAAATTCTAGAGATGAATTCAACTGTCAGTCTATCTATCTATCTATCTATCTATCTATCTATCTATCTATCTATCAATCTATCTATTCGTTGTTGTTGTTGTTCTTTTGTTTTGAGACAGAGTCTTCCTCTGTCGCCCAGGCTAGAGTGCAATGGCACGATCTTGGCTCACTGCAACCTCCACCTCCAGGTTGAAGTGATTCTCCTGCCTCGGCCTCCTGAGTAGCTGGGATTATAAGCACCTGCCACCATGCCCAGCTAATTTTTGTATTTTTTAGTAGAGACAGGGTTTCATCATGTTGGTCAGGCTGGGTCTTGAACTCCTGACCTCAGGTGATCCACCTGCCTCAGCCTCCCAAAGTGCTGGGATTACAGGCGTGAGCCACCATGCCCAGCCTAGTTATTATTATTATTATTATTTTTTTTTGAGATGGAGTTTTGCTCTTGTCACTCAGGCTGGAGTGCAGTGGCACACTCTCGGCTCACTACAACCTCTGCCCCCTGGGTTCAAGCAATTCTCCTGCCTTAGCTTCCCTAGTAGTTGGGACTACAGGCGCACACACCACACCCATGTAAATTTTGTATTTTTAGTAGAGACAGGGTTTCACCATGTTGGCCAGGCTGGTCTTGAATTCCCGACCTCAGGTGATCCACCCGCCTTGGCCTCTCAAAGTGTTGAGATTACAGGCGTGAGCCACTGCACCTGGACTATTAGTTATTTTTGGGACAGGGTCTCACTCTATCGCCCAGGCTGGAGTACAGTGGTGCCATCATGGCTCACTGCAGCCTGGAACACCTGGGCTCCAGTGATCCTCTCACTGGAGAAGCTGGTATTACAGGCATGTGCCACTACACCTGGCCACAACTGTCTTATTTAAAGGAGGACAAAGGTTAGGCTCAAGATTATGTGTTGGATTATATAACATCACACAACTTTTAAATTCAATTCCACAGATCCTACTAGGCTAGGGAAAGATGCGGTCTTTGTGTTCAGAGCCTCTGGATGCTGATCCTCTCACTGTAATCACCAGGCAAGTCAGTCTCTACACAAATGCTGAGCCTGCTGCCATTGTCTCTGCTCATGGCTTCAACAGTGAATACTCAAGTAGTTATTCATTACTCCTAGACAACTACTTTCCCACTGTAACTAGATTGTGAGTCAAGGCTTTTTATTTATTTATTTATTTATTTTGAGACAGAGTCTTGCTCTGTCACCCAGGGTGCAGTGGCACGATCTCGGCTCACTGCAACCTCCACCTCCTGGGTTCAAGCAATTCTTCCTGCCTCAGCCTCCTGAGTAGCTGGGATTACAGGTGCCTGACATGACATCTGGCTAATTTTTGTAGTTTTAGTAGAGACGGGGTTTTACCATGTTGGCCAGGCTGGTCTCGAACTACTGACCTCACATGATACACCCACATCGGCCTCCCAAAGTGCTGGGATTATAGGTGTGAGCCACCATGCCAGGCCAAGACTTTTTTTTTTTTTTTTTTTTTGAGACAGGTTCCCACTCTGTTGCCCAGGCTGGAGTACAGCAGTGTGATCATGGCTTACCACAGCCTCGACCTCCTGGGCTCCAGGGATCCCCTGAACTCAGCCTCCTGAGTAGCTGGGACTACAGCTGCATGCCACCATGCCTGGCTAATTTTTGTCTTTTTTTATAGTGATGGGGTTTTGCCACATTGCCCAAGGTAAAACTTTTTTTTTTTCTTTTTGTTTTTTGAGACGGAGTCTCGCTCTGTCGCCCAGGCTGGAGTGCAATCGTGCAATCTCGGCTCACTGCAACCTCCGCCTCCTGGGTTCAAGCAATTCTCTTTCCTCAGTCTCCCAAGTAGCTGGGATTACAGGCATGCGCCACCACGCCCACCTAATTTTTGTATTTTTAGTAGAGGTGGGCTTTCACCATATTGGTCAGGCTGGTCTCAAACTCCTTACCTCAGGTGTTCCACCCACTTTGGCCTCCCAAAGCGTTTTTTTTTTTTTATTAATACAAAATATTTTATATATTTATGGGGTACATGTATTTGTTATGTGCACAAAGTATATAATGATCAAGGCGGGGTATTTGGGGTACCCATCACCTCGAGAATCTATCATTTCTATGTATTGGGAACATTTCAAGTCCTTTCTTCTAGCTACTTTGAAATATATAGCACATTGTTGCTAACTACAGTCATTCTACTCTGCTACTGAATATTGGAGCTTATTTCTAACTGTATGTTTGTACCCACTAGCCAAGACTATTAGTGCAAGAGCTGAGTAACTGTATTTATTTCTGTGTGAGAAGACTGAAGCCTAAGAGTAAAGCATGTTAGCTGGGCACTGTGGCTCACATCTGTAATACCAGCACTTTGGGAGGCTGAGGCGGGTGGATCACCTGAGGTCAGGAGTTCGAGACAAGCCTGGCCAACATGGCAAAACCCCATCTCTACTAAAAATACAAAAATTAGCCGGGTGTGGTGGCGGGCACCTGTAATCCCAGCTACTTGGAAGACTGAGGCAGGACAATTAATTGAACCTAGAAGGCAGAGGTTGCAGTGAGCTGAGATCGCGCCATTGCACTCCAGCCTGGGCAACAAGAGCAAAACTCCATCCCAAAAAAAAAAAAAAGTATTTCTGGGATTATTGGATCATTTAATCATCCTTCCTAAGGCTACTTAAACATGGCAATGTGGCTGGGAGTCAAGTCTGATAACAGGCATAATAGTTCTCAGTTCAAATCCACAGCTAGAAATAAATATTTGCCCTCAGGTCCTACAGCCAGAAAATTTACCAAGCAATCACTGTACCAACACTTATTTTCATCCTAAATTTCAAGAAAGGACAAACATTGCTATCCAATTTTGAAAAAAGATGCCACGGGGAAGGTTTGTTCATTACTGCTTATGACTTACTGCTCTCACTTAATGAGACCAACAGTAACACACAAAGTGGTCCCAGCCAGTCATTACTTACCATTTCAGAATAGGCTTTGTGACAGACTGAAGCTTGGTAAGAATCATCAATGTGCATCTTTTTCAGGAGTTGACCAGTTTTTAAATTCCTTAGATAACAAAAATAAATAAGCTGATCACATTCTTCCAACAAACCAGTTTTCAGAAAATATTTTCTTATTCATCATAGCATGTCTTAGGAGGTGACCAGGGAAAAAACTAAGAGCTCCTTAGTTTTCTTTAGTCATAGATTTAGGTAAAAGTAGAACTGTGGGTTAATTTTGCCAATAGTTTCATTTGATAGTTCAGCCTTAGATTAAATCTACAATGCCCCTAGGGATAAATCTCTCCAAATTCCATGAGGAAGGTTCCATCATCTCATTCAACCTGGTATTGAAATCAGGCACATGGTATAGCAGTATCATGATTTTGTGACACTTCTTGTTATGTCTAAATTTTCCATGGAAGACAACGGCCAGGAAACCAAATTTTGTAGGGCAAGAGACTACACCTAAAAGAGAGTTACAATTATATCTCTATTACATGTATTTATACTACAACTAGACCAAAATAATGGATAGAAGGAAGGATTGAAGTGGGGTAGGAAGAGAGGGGTGAATATAAAGAAGAAAAAAGATAAAGTTTGTTGGAATCACTTCCCAGCTTTTTTTTTTTTTTTTTTTTTTTGAGACGGAGTCTCGCTCTGTGGCCCAGGCTGGAGTGCAGTGGCGGGATCTCGGCTCACTGCAAGCTCCGCCTCCCGGGTTCACGCCATTCTCCTGCCTCAGCCTCCCGAGTAGCTGGGACTACAGGCGCCCGCCACTACGCCCGGCTAATTTTTTGTATTTTTAGTAGAGACGGGGTTTCACCGTTTTAGCCGGGATGGTCTTGATCTCCTGACCTCGTGATCCGCCCGCCTCGGCCTCCCAAAGTGCTGGGATTACAGGCGTGAGCCACCGCGCCTGGCCTTTTTTTTTTTTTTTTTTGAGATGGAGTCTCGCTCTGTCACCCAGGCTGAGTGCAGTGGTGCCATCTTGGCTCACTGCAATCTGCACCTCCCAGGTTCCAGCAATTCTTCCACCTCAGCCTTCCAAGTAGCTGGGATTACAGGCACCCACCACCATGCCTGGCTAATTTCTGTATTTTTAGTAGAGGCAGGGTTTCACCAGGTTGGCCAGGCTGGTCTTGAACTCCTGACCGTAGGTGATCCACCTGCCTCGGCCTCCCAAAGTGCTGGGATTACAGGCACGAGCCACTGCACCTGACCTGCTCCCCAGCTTTATTGAGGATTTGTGACATTGATAACTGCTTTGTCATGATACTCTATTTTTTTGTTTTTGGAGCTTAGGGTCTCGCTCCATTGCCCAAGCTGGAGTGTGGTGGCGTGATCATGACTCACCGTAGCCTTGACCTCTGAGGCTCAAGCGATCCTCCCACCTCACTGCCCCAAGTAGTTGGGACTACAGCTGCATGCCACCATGCCTGAATAATTTTTTAATTTTTTGTAGAGACAGGGTTTCACTATATTGCCCAGGCTGGTCTTGAACTCCTGGGCTCAAGCAATCCTCCCACCTCAGCCTCCCAAAGTGCTGGGATTACAGGTGTGAGAGACTGCACCTGGTTCATGTTACTCTGTTGATGAAAAACTTTCAGTTGGCTCCCATTAGCCACAACATAAAGTCCAAGTTCTTTTTTTTTTTGAGATGGAGTTTTGTTCTTGTTGCCTAGGCTGGAGTGCAATGGCACAGCCTCGGCTCACTGCAACCTCTGCCTCCCAGGTTCAAGCAATTCTCCTGCCTCAGCCTCCTGAGTAGCAGGGATTACAGGCAGGCGCCACCACACCCAGCTAATTTTTGTATTTTTAGTAGACACGGGGTACACCATGTCGGCCAGGCTGGTCTCAAACTCCTGACCTCAGGTGATCTACCCGCCTTGGCCTCCCAAAGTGCTGGAATTACAGGCGTGAGCCACCGCGCCCGGTGGTATTTATAACTCTCATGAATCCAGCAGTGCAATATTTACATTATCACTCATTGCTCCATTTCCTGAAATCTTTCTGCCTGAAGAACATATGCATTTCCTTGACTCTAGACTTTGCTCAAGCTATGCTTTCCAATGACCCCTGCTCCCCCAACTCCCTGCCACCCATTACAGAAGAGTTCCCATCCCTGTTACTGACGAATTCCCATCCATTTCTTAGGGCCTAGTTATATCCCACCCCCTCCAAGCTGCATGAACTCACTTGAGACTACAGCAGTCCACAGTCATCTCCTCTCCTTTAATTTTGTCCATATACCTCATTTGGTATGCAATATACTACTGGCAATACTGTATCATGTATTCACTCAACAAATACAGAATTCTATGGGCCAGATACTGTGTATAAAAAACTGAAGAAGGAAAATTAAATTTTTATGTGCATATGCAAAGTTTTCCTCCTATCAGGGACACCAGATGGGTGTCCTACAGAGTTTCATACATGGTCTGTATTTAGTAATTGTTCTTTCCTCAAATCCCAAATCACTTTGACCTTATGTGAATTGTAAAAAGGATTGTACTGAAATTGTAGGCTTTGATGGTAAAGGCATCTTATTTACCTACTAGATTATAGGGGCCCTGGGACCAGGATTCATATCTGATTCATCTCTGCATCTCTCACAGAGAATGGGACATAAGTAGAGACCCAGATACCTACTGAATGTTTGGAAGATATTAAATGAAATGTCTCAGTGAATATGGACAGCAAGACTTCCTTACACACTGGCCCCTCAGTGTTTAAGAATGTTTTAACGTGTTTCTTTGATATGACTTCATTGTAAACATTAAGCTTAAGAAATTTTTTTTTTTTTTTGAGACGGAGTCTCATTGTCGCCCAGGCTGGAGTGCAGTGGCGTGATCTCCGCTCACTGCAAGCTCCACCTCCCGGGTTCATGCCATTCTCCTGCCTCAGCCTCCCGAGTAGCTGGGACTACAGGCACCCACCACCACGCCTGGCGAATTTTTTGTATTTTTAGTAGAGACGGGGTTTTACCGTGTTAGCCAGGATGGACTCCATCTCCTGACCTCATCGTGATCTGCCCACCTCGGCCTCCCAAAGTGCTGGGATTACAGGCGTGAGCCACCGTGCCCGGCCAAGCTTAAGAAATATTTAGACCTTCAGCATAGTTTCCAAAAAAAGCCACTTGACACTTGAGTATAACATGAATCACTTGAGACATCTAACAAATCAGGAGTTAAATAAGAACAAATACTACATGTAAGTATAAAATTATACAGAGCCCAAAAGATAAGTAACAGCTTTTGACAGACAATATGATTAATACACCTTTGAGTAACTACCCTAAACATGGAGCTAAGGCAGGCACCAAGAATAGATATGAGACATGGTACCTGTCTTCAAAAACGAGAGAGGATAAATAACACAAAGCAGCAAATACTAAATTAAAAATCAAGGCAGGCCAGGTGCGGCAGCTTATGTCTACAATCCCAGCACTTTGGGAGGCTGAGGCGGGAGGATCACTTGCATTGAGGAGTTCACGACCAGTCTAGGCAACATGGGAAGACCCTGTCTCTACAAAAAAAAATTAAAAAAAAAAAAATTTTTTTTTTTTTAATTAGTCAAGGCTGGTGGCATGCATCTGTAGTCCTGCTACTCAGGAGGCTGAGGTGGGAGGACTGCTTGAGCCTGAGAGGTTGAGACTTCAGTGAGCCATAGTCATGCCACTGTACTCCAGCATGGGCAACAGACTGAGACCCTCTCTCAAAAAAGCAAAAACAAAAAAACAACCAAGGCAGTATGAATTCGGAGAAGGAAACATCAATGAAGGCTGGAATAGTACAACAGAACTCAAGGTAACTGTGGGGGTGAAAATATCCCCTAAGGGGAACTTAGAAGCCAAGTATAGAAATCCCTCCCCAACTTCCCAGCACTCTAGAAGGCCGAGGTGGGAGGGTTGCTTAAGTCCAAAAGTTCAAGACCAGCCTGGAAAAAATAGCAAGACCCTGCCTCTACAAAGAAAAAGAAAAAGAAAAATTAGCCAGGCATGGTGGTGTACATCTGTGGTCTCGGCACTTTGGGAGGCTGAAGTGGGAGGATTGCTTGTGCCAAGGAGTTCAAGACCAGCCTGAGTAACATACCAAGTTCTCATCTCTACAAAAAATTTAAAAATTAGCAGGGCATGATGCTGTGTGCCTGCAGTCCCAGCTACTCAGGAGGCTGAGGTGGGAGGATTCCTTGAGCCCAGAAGTTTGAGGTTGCAGTGAGCTACCTCAAAATGCAGTGAGTCATGCCCATGCACTCCAGCCTGGGTACTGAGTGAGACTCTGTTTCAGAAAGAAATCCCTTCCCAATCTCAAATTCCTTTGTGACCTCTTATATACGAAATGCCAAAGGACTACTTATAGAAAAAGGGTACAACTGAGAGATGGGAAGGAAAAAGGGAGGAAAGGAGGACGGCAGAGCTGGAGAGGACATTTTTGTACTAGAGCACCGGGGAAATAAAAGCTGAAGGAAAGCAAACATGGGCCCCTGTAAAGGTTTTCTTTTGAGGGATGAGGGTAGAGTTGAAGAAAGAGTATTTACAATGTAGTCGAATAAAAAATGACCTGCGTTTGAGCCCAGGCATTCGAGGTTGCAGTGAGCTATGGTCATGCCAGTGCACTCTAGTTTGGGTGACAGAGTAAGACATAGTCTAAAAAAATTTAAAAAAAAAATATCAAGTTTGAATATTGATTAATGGCAAGGAGATGAACTACTAGATTATTTTAACAGTTCAGGAGACAGATAATGAAGGTGTGGACTATGGAAATAGCACAAAGAATAGAAAAGACAACTTCTGGAAGAGCACCATCCTCAAATAACACCCCTCGGCAGAAACCCTGGTGAAAGTGCTCCAAGTGGCCAAGCGCTACCCTAGACAACAGGACATCTGAAAGCAGGGTCTTCTGGCAGATCAGAACATAGTCAAATTTCAGAGGCTTTCTGGTGGGAAGGGCACAACGTTTCTCTCAAGGGCCATACTTTTCTAGTTTATTCCTAGAAGGTTAGGGTTGTAAGTCACCATAGTGTTTAAAAAAAAGAAAACAAAAAAAGGTTAGGGTTGGATGGTACATAAGAGCTAGGGTAGTGGTCACACTAATATAACTTCCTCTTACCAAGACCCACTCTGGCCCTAAGGAAACAGTTAATAGACAAGGCTTCTGAGAAAAGAAAAAACATCAATCTATTTTCCTAATACAAATTAAACTTGCAAGTAAGTGCCTGTGGCTGGGTATGGTTCTCCCTATAGTCAGAAAAGAGATGGCTGGGGACTCCTGTGATGGTTTCCCTATCACAAATCTGTTAATTTGGTTCCTGTGATCACACTTTTTTCTTTTCTTTTTTTGAGACAGAGTCTCACTCTGTCACTCAGGCTAGAGTGCAGTGGCGCGATCTCGGCTCACTGCAACCTCTGCCTCCTAGGTTCCAGCGATTCTCCTGCCTTAGCCTCGCACCACCAGGCCTGGCTAATTTTTGTGTCTTTAGTAGAGACGAGGTATCTTTAGTAGAGATGGGGTATCTTTAGTAGAGACGCCACACTTATTTTTTGTATACTGAGTAACTTTGGACTGTATCCTAGTTACAGTGATATTAATATGTTGCAAAAACTTTGTATTCTGTTAGGTTCCTCTGACAAACACTGATGTTTTTTCTTTTTAAAAATATTTTTTAAAAAGGAATTTTAACATTTACTGAATACCTCCTATGTGCCAGACAATATGGTAAGTACTTTTAAAATACAATTCTATTGACTTTTAAAAAATTATTATTTTTTTTTGAGACAGAATCTTGCTCTGTCGCCCAGGCTGGAGTGCAGTGGCGCAATCTTGACTCACTGCAACCTCCGCCTCCTGGGTTCAAGCGATTCTCCTACCTCAGCCTCCTGAGTAGCTGGAATTACAGGTGTGCACCACCACGCCTGGCTAATTTTTGTATTTTTAGTAGAGCTGGGGTTTTGCCTTGTTGGCCAGGCTGGTCTCGAACACTTGGCCTCAAGTGATCTGCCTGCCTTGGCCTCCCAAAGTGCTGGGATTATAGGCATGAGCCACCCGTGCCCGGCCCTGATTTTTTTGGTTGTAAGTTTGTCTGTCCTAGTAAACAGTTAACTTGGCTGAACTTGAACTCCAAATGCCGAAACTGAAATTCGTTCTTTCAGTCTTACCTGAGCTGCTTTCAGTCTTACCAGACTCCAAGCAGTCTGACCTATGAATATGCAGTTTAAAGGGTCAATCAAATATTTAGGTAAACATTATAGCTAGAATTTAGGGTTCTTTTTTTTATTTTTTGCTCTCTCCTTTTTAGGACTTTTCCCCTCCCTTTCTAGCAGCTGCGATCACCCTGAACTCTGTCCTTTGGTTCTCTAAGCCAGTGGGACAGAAGATCTTCTATTAGGCTTCCAGTCACCCAGTGAGCAGAGTGGGCCTTGCCCCCTAGCTTAAAGCCATAATAGGAATGTTGCCTAGTGCCATTCCCTTCACCTAAAGGGAGAAACCCCTCCAGTATGTTTCTTCTTTTTCTTGTTCTCTGGTGCCTTTAGAAAGTTGTTTTTTGTATTTTTTCCAGAGTGTATACTTATTCGAAGGTAGACAGTTGGTCTGACAGAAACTACTCAACCACTAACCAAAAGCAGAAAGAAGTGTACATCTTTGAAAACAGAATTCCATTTAGTTTTAAATAGTCTACTCAGACTGATCTTTTTTGGTTATGTCTCAATTAATATGATGTTGTTGGTAAGTCAAGTATATAGTATCTGACAAAAAAACCACAATCAGGCCGGGCGCAGTGGCTCATGCCTGTAATCCCAGCAATTTGGGAGGCCAAGGCGGGCAGTTCACTTGAGGCCAGGAGTTCAAGACCAACCTAGCCAACATGGCAAAATCCCTTCTCTACTAAAAAATACAAAAATTAGCCAGGCACGGTGGCTCACTCCTGTAATCCCTGCATTTTGGGAGTCTGAGGCAGGTGGATCACTTGAGGCCAGGAGTTCAAGACCAACCTGGCCAACATGATGAAACCCTATCTCTACTAAAAAATACAAAAATTAGCTGGGTGTGGTGGCACATGCCTATAATCCCAGCTACTCGGGAGGCTGAGGCAGGAGAATCACTTGAATCCAGGAGGCAGAGGTTGCAGTGAGCCGAGATCATACCACTGTACTCCCACCTGGGTGATAGGAGGAGACTCTGTCTCAAAACACAACAAAAACAACAACAACAGCAACACAAAACCACAATCATGTTTACACATACTCTCTTATTTAATCTTCACAACAACCCTGTAAAATTAGAGGTATATCCTCATACTACAGATGAGGGAACTGAGGACCTAGAGGGAAAGCTTACCAAATAACAATGTTGTTCATAATAGTAGTACCAAGCAGAGCTTCTTGCATCCCTTGGACCTCAGCAAAAGTTAGTATAGTCTCCTCAGGGGGCATCAAAAATTGGTTTTCTTTGCCTCTGTAATTAAAACAGTATGAAAAGTCAGTACTTTGCACTAAAGCAGTCTCTAGGTAGCCCTTCTCCGCATTGTTGAACTGCATAATATAAACTAACCTAATATCAGGAAAAAAAAATCTAACCCAGAAAACGTGTATACTAAACTTTCTACAATGAACATATATTACTTTCATAATATCTACCTAGATATGCTGCAAGCACCTCGAATTCATTATATTCAAAATTAAACTTGTTAACTTTTTCTATAAACCTTTTGTTTCTTTCTGCATTCCTATCTCAATGAATTGCATCACCATCTAATGTCCAAGTTTCAGGGTTGGTCACCACTCAAGTGACCACCTAGACTGGGGGGAAGGAGACAAGGATAATACCCACATTTCGAGCTTGGTCACCACTCAAGTGACCAACCCTACCATGTTGATATTCTCTCCTTCCTCTCAATCTAGTCAATCACCAAGTCCCAGTAATTTTATCTTCTCATCTCTCAGAAATCTGTCTGCTTCTTCCCATCTCCACTAACATACCCCTAATTTAAGCAAACAATTATCATCTCTTGCCTAGATTACTGCAACAGATCATGAATAAATAAGCCAAAGTTCCCTGCCCTCCATTTTTAGAAGATACATGAATAATAACAATGAAATGTAATTGAAAAATAAAAATAAAGTGTAATGAGTATATAATAGAGAAGATGCTGTAAGTTCAGTTTGCAACATTTTGAATTTAAGGTGTCCCCAATACGTCTAATAAATAGGCCTGCAGGTCTAGAGCTCAAGAAAGAGCTCAGAGGTAGAAATGTATGTTTGCAAGTAGTCAGCACCAAGATGGTCAGTGAAGCAATGGACACAAGTGTGTGGAACGAGGAAAGGGTCTAGGACCTTAAGGTATTTCTATATTTTTAAAAATATTTGTGTGTGTGTGTGTGTGTGTGTTTAAGATTAGGTCTCGCTCTGCTGCCCAAGATGGAGTGTGGTGGCGTGATCACAGCTCACTGCACCCTTGAACTCCTGAGCTCAAGTGATCCTTCCACCTCAGACTCCCTAGTAGCTGGGACCACAAGGCATGCTCTGCCACACCCAGCTAATTTTTAAATTTTTTGTAAAGATGGGGCCCTGCTATGTGGCCCCAACTGGTCTTGAACTCCTGGGCTCAAACTTCTGCCTTGGCCTCCCAAAGGGCTGGGATTATGGGCATGAGCCACTGTGCCCAGCAGAGGTATTTCTAACATTTAAGGGACACACAGATTTCAAGAAGACTGAAGAACAAACTACATTTGCTGAGCCTCTCACCTTCTTTGACTTCATCCCTGACATGTCTGGCTTCCACCTCACTAACCTGCTTCTATGTCATAACCTAGTGTTGATGCGGTACATGCTTATATTACACCCCCAGCACAGAAAAACGAGATCCTAGTTACCCAACTTTCTCTGAAACCTGTGATAAAATCATTCTTCATCTAATAGTTAAAAATCAATCAATGCTTTTCTTACCCTCCATCTTCTGCAAACGTCATGACTTCTACTTGTTGATCAGAAAGGGTCCCACTGCTACTAACTAGCCTCCTCTTTGTCAGGCCAAGCACAGCTTTTATATTTCCAGACTTCAGTAGTACTTGCTTTTCACTTTCATCATCAGAGGAACAAAACAATGCCCTAAGCCAAATATAAGGAAAAATGGGGTGATGTGAGGAGTAACCTTTTAATATTAAAGGACTAGGTTCACTTTTTTTTTTTTTTTTTTTTTGAGACAGAGTCTTGCTCTGTCGCCTAGGCTGGAGTGCAGTGGCACAATCTTGGCTCACTGCAACTCTGCCTCCCAGGTTCAAGCGACTGTCCTGCCTCAGCCTCCTGAGTAGCTGGGATTATAGGTGCGCACCACCACACCTGGCTAATTTTTCTGTATTTTTGTAGAGACGGGGTTTCACCATGTTGGTCAGGCTGGTCTCGAACTCCTGACCTCGTGATCCACCTGCCTCGGCCTCCCAAAGTGCTGGGATTACAGGTGTGAGCCACCATACCCGGCCTTTTTTTTTTTTTTTTTTTTTTTTTTTTGAGACAAAGTCTCACTCTGTCATCCAGAAGGAATGCAGTGGTGGCACGATCTTAGCTCACTGCAACCTCTGTTTCCCGGGTTCAGGCAATTCTCCTGCCTCAGCCTCCTGAGTAGCTGGGATTATAGGCACCCGCAGGTGCTATACACCAGGCTAATTTTTGTATTTTCAGTAGAGACACAGTTTCACCATGTTGGCCAGGCTGGTCTCAAACTCCTGACCTCAGTTGATCCACCTTCCTTGGCCTCCCAAAGTGCTGGGATTACAGGCGTGAGCCACTGCGCCCAGCCTAGGTTCACATTTTAAATAGAAACTTCAGTCAGGGATGTCATTCTATTGATTTTTTTTTAAACAAATCTCTCTCTCTTTAGATCTTTCAGATTCTTTCAAGACTCAAGCCTAGGTTATTACCTGCACTTAAAACCAGCTGACAGAGACAAAGATGAAGGAAAAACAAATCACTCCTTGGGAATTACATACCTGATCTCTCTGATTTCCAAATTTCCCAAAGCTACACACACGAGATTATACACATCAGGCACTGGAACTATCTGTAATACTGGAACCTAAATAAAACAAAGCAGCCAAAAATTATGCTTGGTTGTTTCATTTTTGTTTAATCCAGATTTTCCAAAATTTATCACATTCTTTTGTATTCTCACTGTACAAGGATAATTTTCATCATTTGAAGGCTCAGAAAACTCTTTTTATTAGCTGTAAATCTAAATAAACTATATGCATAATAGCATAATAGTGCTTACTGAGCATTTACCTAATGCAAGGTATAATTCTAACAATAGGGGAATAATTGGGTATATTTTGGCATGTGAATGTAAAGAATATTTATGCAGCCATTTAAAAGTATATCTATGTTCACTGAACAAATATTTATTGGGCACCTCTGTGTAAAGCACAGTGTTAGATGTTGTATATATTTGGAGAGCAAGAATGAGGTATATTCAAGTATGAAGACTCTACAGGAACAAGGAAATTTTTTTTTTTGAGTCGGAGTTTCACTCTTGTTGCCCAGCCTTGAGTGCAATGGCACAATCTCAGCTCATTGCAACTTCCACCTCCTGGGTTCAAGCGATTCTCCTGCCTCAGCCTCCTGAGTAGCTGGGATTACAGGCATTCGCCACCACACCTGGCTAATTTTATTTTTAGGAGAGACGGGGTTTCACCATGTTGGTCAGGCTGGTCTTGAACTCCTGACCTCAGGTGATCCACCCACCTCAGCCTCTCAAAGTGTTGGGATTACAGGCGTGAGCCACCTCGCCTGGCCAGAAAAATGTTTATATGTATGGTGAGAAAAGACAGATCTAAAAATTTTAAGCACACTAAGATTGCAAGCTTGTAAGATGTATATGATGGTGGGAAAAGACCAGAAGGAAATACATGTAGAAAAGAAGCAAAATAATGCCTTGGTGAAGGGCAAGGAGTACAAATATCAGCAAGTGTCAAAGTCAGAATAGACATAAAATTCTAAGCTCCTCCAACAGGTCTAGTGTAAAAACCCGTCTCTAGGCTGGGTGTAGAGCTCATGCCTGTAACCCCAGCACTTTGGGAAGCCGAGGCGAGTGGATCACTTGAGGTCAGGAGTTAGAGACCATCCTGGCCAACATGGTAAAACCCCATCTCTACTGAAAATACAAAAATTAGCTGGGCGTGGTGGTGGGCGCCTGTAGTCCCAGCTACTCGGGAGGCTGAGGCAGGAGAATTGCTTGAACCCGGGAAGCGGAGATTGCAGTAAGCCAAGATCGCCCCACTGCACTCCAGCCTGGGCAACAGAGTATGACTCTCTCTCCAAAAACAAACAAACAAACAAAAAACCCATATCTAGATAAACCTGTGATGGGCTGGGCATGGTGGTTCACACCTGTAATCCCCAGCACTCTGGGAGGCTGAGGCAGGCGGATGGCTTAAGCCCAGGAGTTCAAGACCAGCCCAGGCGACATGGCAAAACCCTGTCTGCATAAAAAATATAGGCCAGGTGTGGTAGCTCACACCTGTAATCCCAGCACTTTGCGAGGCTGAGGCAGGCGGATTGCCTGAGGTCAGGAGTTCAAGAACAGCCTGGGCAACATGGCAAAATCCCGTCTCTACTAAAAATACAAAAAAATTAGCCAGGCATGGTGGTGGGCACCTGTAATCCCAGCTACTCAGGAGGCTGAGGCACAAGAATCCCTTGAACCTGGGCGGCAGAGGTTGACAGTGAGCCGAGATCATGCCACTGCACTCCAGCCTGGGTGACAGAGCAGGACTCCATCTCAATAAAAAGAAGAAGAAAAAAATACAATAAAAAATTAGCCAGACATGGTGGTGCATGCCTGTGGTCCCAGCTACTTGGGAGGGTGAGGTGAGAGGATTACTGAGCCTGGGGAGGTTGAAACTGCAGTGAGCCGTGATCATGCCACTGCACTCCAGCCTGCATGACAGAGTGAGACCCTGTCTCAAACAAACAAACAAAAATTTGTGATAAAGCGAACAAAGCAGGATGTTAATGGTAGAGTCTAGAATGGTGGGTATATGGGTGCTCACTATACAACTTTTCTGGATGTTTGAAACTTTTCATAATAAAATGTTGGGAAAAAAACCTCATCTCTGTTCTGCCTTGCATGGTCATAGCTCCCAATTTTGGTAAGCTGCCCATCTACATTATCAGGCAAATGGCTGCAAAGATCTCTTTCAGCTCGAGATTCCCACTTACCTCTGCGAAGTGCCAGGTATAAAGTTTTTCCCACTGCCAAGCATCCAGAGCTTTCCAAAGAGAAACTACATCTTCGCAAGCAGTTATGATACATGGCTCTTTACAACCGGCTCTTTCCCAAAACATGGCACTCACATCTACGGAACAGGAACCTGAAGGATTCTGACACAATGGCAACAGTTCTGTTAAAGTGGCACTCGAGTGCTGTTTTATGCAAAGCATAAGTATGCAAAGTGATGAATTATAATTCAATGAAACAGTAGGTATGTAAAATTTAAGTCTTATGCAGGTGAAAAGAAAGAGCTTTGTGGTTCTTATGTACCTAAAAAAATGCCTATCAAACTTACATCATGAAAGATTTTATTTTTTATTTATTTTATTAATTTTAATTTTTGGGTGTTTTTGGGACTGAGTCTCACTTTATCACCCAGGCTGGAGTGCAGTGGTGCAATCTCGGCTTACTGCAACCTTCGCCTCCCGGGTTCAAGCGATTCTCCTGCCTCAGCCTTCCGAGTAGCTAGGATTACAGGCGCCCGCCACCACACCCAGCTAATTTTTGTATTTTTAGTAGAGACAAGGTTTCACCATTTGGCCAGGCTGGTCTTGAACTCCTGACCTCAAGTGATCCACCCACCTCGGCCTCCCAAAGTGCTGGGGTTACAGGCATGAGCCACCGTGCCCGGCCCATGAAAGATTTTAAAATGTATAGTCCAGATGGAATAAATTCAGATATAACCACAAAAAAAATCCTGTAGAACTTATCCATTTGAAAATTAAACATCCTGATGAACCACTCATGGGCTGAAACCACAGGTTTCAATGTTATTCCTCGGAGGGAGTAACATTGAAACAACATACATTATACTATCTACTATTATGACCATGGGAGCACTATGTATCAAACCACAGAGCGTGGCCAAAGCAGTATTTCCAAGAAAATTTGGAAATTTCCAAGAAAAATCATAATCACGGCCGGGCGCGGTGGCTCACGCCTGTAATCCCAGCACTTTGGGAGGCCGAGGCGGGTGGATCATGAGGTCAGGAGATCGAGACCATCCTGGCTAACAAGGTGAAACCCCGTCTCTACTAAAAATACAAAAAATTAGCTGGGCGCGGTGGCGGGCGCCTGTAGTCCCAGCTACTCGGGAGGCTGAGGCAGGAGAATGGCGTGAACCCGGGAAGCGGAGCTTGCAGTGAGCCGAGATTGCGCCACTGCAGTCCGCAGTCCAGCCTGGGCGACAGAGCAAGACTCCGTCTCAAAAAAAAAAAAAAAAAAGAAAAATCATAATCACAAAGGCATTTTTAAGAAAACAAGAAAGATTAAAATCAAGTAAGCATGCAGCTCAGGAAGTCAGTACAAGAACAAAATAAGAACAATAAAAAAAAGTAGGAAGGAATGATTTACAGTTATCCTGTTTATTATAAAAACAGAAATAAATGAACTAGAAAACCAAACAACAACAACAAAAAAACACAACCCAATTAATAATCAATACAACCAAAAACTAGTTTGTTTGGAAGACCCACGTAATGGCCAACTCTCGAGTCTAATGTAGAAAAACAATAATTTAGAAATGGGAGAATGGGGAAGAGAGGCTTAATTACATATACACAGATTTTAATAATCTATAAGAAGTAACTTTTTACCTACACATTTGAAAATATGAATGAAATAGTTGATTCTTTAAGAGACTAAGTTATTAGGACACTGGGCATGGTGGCTCATGCCTGTGATCCCAGCACTTTGGGAGGCCAAGGCAGGCGGATCCCCTGAGGTCAGGAGTTCAAGACCAGCCTGGCCAACATGGCAAAACCCCATTTCTACTAAAAATACAAAAATTAGCAAGGCGTGGTGGCGCACACTTGTAATCCCAGCTACTATGGAGGTTGAGGCACGAGAATTGCTTGAACCTGTAGGCGGAGGTTGCAGTGAGTGGAGATTGGAGATTGGAGATTGCCCCACTGCACTCCAGCCTAGGCAACAGACTCTGTCTCAAAAAATAAAATAAGTTATTAAAATTGACTCAAGAATAAATTCCGAAACAGAGCATAGGTATTACTATGCATCCTTTATAGAAAAGGAATCTGGGGCTCAGAGGTTACACAATTTGTCCAAGGTGACATAGCCAGTAACTGGGAAAAACTTTATGTGGATTTGAAGTGTTTTCCTTCACACCAGTGATTCTCTGGGAGAGCTTCTGCACCCCCATCTTCAACCCTACACCTAGGACATTTAGTAATGCAACATTTTCAGTTACCACACTGCACAGAAAAGATTAACCACTAGAACTGCTCCCCATTTTCTTATAAATCACCATAAGTGATTCTTCCAGAAACATTACACCATTTGAGTAGGAGAGGCATGAATAACTCTCATTTCACTCCGTCAAAATGCCTGTTAGATTTATTTTATTTTATTTTTGAGACAGAGTCTCACTCGCCCAGGCTGGAGTGCAGTGGTAAGATCTTGGCTCACTGCAACGTCTGTCTCCCAGTTCAAGTATTCTCTTCCCTCAGCCTCCCTAGCAGCTGGGATTATAGGCGCCCACCACCACGCCCGGCTAATTTTTGTATTTTTAGTAGAGATGGGGTTTCATCATGTTGGCCAGGCTGGCCTCAAACATCTGACCTCAAGTGATCAGCCCGCTTCAGCCTCCCAAAGTGCTGAGATTATAGGGGTGAGCCACCGTGCCCAGCTCCCTAACTTAGATTTAGACATGAAGTTCAGTTACTTAGCCTAAGTTGTTCTTGCCAATAGGTTGGCATAGAAACTTTAAGAGGAGAGCTCAAAACATAAACAGAGGTAAATATTGGGAAAAATAACCAATCCAAATCTGTTTTTCTGAATCTGTTTACCAATATCTTTAATAGTATTAAAGAACAAGAAGCTATATGACTGAATTCTTTTCAGTTCATTAAAGTTTTCATATGTAAGACACGAGACACTGGAAGAGAATATTCTTCTGACCTTTAACTCTGAAACCAATTGTAGGTTGCCTGGGTTTATGCTATCAGAAGCAGGAAGCTCTGCTGTTTCAGTCTGTGAAAACAAAAGTCACATCATTAGTCTACACTTTATGTATAATGTCTGCCTGCATTACCCACTCATCAAAATGTCTACTTCGTATTGTCTTTATTTCCTCTTATAACAGCAGCAAAGCTCCAAATGCAAACTGTTTCACTGATAACAAAGAGAATAGGACCTCCCATATTTAAAAGAAACATTTTAATGAACCTTAATTTCCCCAGAATGAACTTAATGATTACAATGAAATCATATCAAAGAAACACGTCAAACCATTCTTAAACGTGGAAGGCCCAATGCGCAAGCAAGTCATGCTGTTTACATTCACTAAGGCATTTCATTCCTTCAGAGAAAATTTCACAGAGGAAATGGATTGTACCTGTTCGACGGAATGTTTATGCAGCTCCTGGCATGTGTTTCTACAGAGCTGATTTTCTTTAAAAGTGAATGACTCAATGGGTGGAGGTGTTCCTGGCGGGACAGAGTCACAGTCACAGGTAGGTTGTCCTTGCCTGCCTGACACTTGCAGGGTGGTATGTGGTTTTGCTGGGCTGCCTGAACTGTCGAATTGTTTAGTATCACTGGCAAGACAGACTGAGTCTTTCAAATGAGCAAGTTGGGGTGTGCAGCAAGTTCGTCCAGCAACTTCTGTAGATGCTTTTTCATAGGAGCCTTGAGGGCCAAAGGCTGGAGTAGTACCTAAGATGGGGAAAGCAGGTGAACACATGTCTGTGGTAGGCCTGTCATTATCATCAGGCGCAACCGTATTTAAAGGAGTATAAAGTAATATGGATGAAGAAAGGCCCGTCTTTGTATGCTGGCTTTGCGAGTTTGGCCTTTTGGGATGTGATTTTCCTGGTAGAACAATAAGGTCCTCTTCTAAGTCCTCCATTTCTGTATCCATGCGTTTAGGACTCAGTTCCTCTGGAAAAATACAGCTTCCCTCTTTAAGATGTCTCTCTCCAAACATTTTTGACTCAAAGGGCTCCACTGGTTTTTCTGAGCAGGACTTCACTTTTTCAAGCTTAAGAGGTCCAAAGTCTTCATCAGGTAACTGAAAGTCTGTGATACTGAGAAAAGACAGTAGTTGCTTTAAACTCAGCATTCCATCCCTATGAAATGGAGCCGTGAAAGCATCATCATCCAAGGATAAATAAGCACTATTACTCCAAGAAAGGGAATCCTCTTTTTGATGACGACTTTTCTTCCCTAAAGAAGAAAAATAAGTCACAAAATAGTAACAAAACCCAACAAAACAGACAATCTGTTTCACTGATGACAAAGAGAATAGGATCTCCTAGATTTAAAAGAAACATTTTAATGAACCTTAATTTCCCCAGAATGAACTTAATGTTTACAATGAAGTCCTATCAAAGAAACATGTTAAACCATTCTTAAATGTAATACCCAACAAAGAGTGAGCTTCTAAACTCAAATATACTAAAAAATGTTCATTACTTTTCCCATCCATGACTCAGAAACTTGGGCGAAGGGTTCAAACAACGGTCATGAGTTAGTTGATTAATTAGCAGCTATTTTTCTGCACTACCCAAAACAGTGTATTGCTAGCCAGGTATGGTAGCTCACAGCTGTAATCCTAGTACTTTCAGAGGTCAAGGTAAGAGAATTGCTTGAGCCCAGGAGTTCCAGACCAGCCTGGGCAACACAGTGAGACTGTCTTTAAAAACAATAAATAAATAAATAAAAATTAAAAAAAATAAGGCCAGGCATGGTGCCTCACACTTGTAGTCTCAGCACTTTCAGAGGCTGAGGCAGGCGGATCACTTGAGGTCAGGAGTTCAAGACCAGCCTGGCCAACATGGTGAAACCCCGTCTCTACTAAAAATACAAAAAAAAAAAAAAAAAAAAATTAGCCGGGTGTGGTGGCTGGCGCCTGTAGTCCCAGCTACTCCGGAGGCTGAGGTGGGAGAATGGCGTGAACCCAGGAGGCGGAGCTTGCAGTTAGCGGAGATGGCACCACTGCACTCCAGCCTGGGCGACAGAGTGAGACTCTGTCTCAAAAAAAAAAAAAAAAAAAAAAAAAACTAAACTAAAAAAATTAGCTGGGCATGGTGGTGCGTGCCTGTGATCTCAGCTACTCAGGAAGCTGAGGTAGGAGAATCACTTGAACCCGGGAGGCAGAGGTTGCAGTGGGCTGAAACTGCACCACTGCACTCCAGCCTGGGCAACAGAGCGAGATTCTGTCTCAAAAAATAAATAAATAAATAAAACCAAACCAAACAAAACAGTGTATGGCCAACAGTATAAATAAATAAATACATAAATAAATAAAACCAAACAAAACAAAACAGTGTATGGTCAATAGTATTAACTAGGAGAAGGGACTGAGGACAAGTCTCAACTCAACCACTGATTTGCAGTGAAACCTTAGGCAAATCGATTTATTTCATTTTCCCTTTTCTCATTGTCTCTCATAAGGGAAATGAACTAAAAATACCTACATTCTTTCCTACCTCTAAAACTGTGATTTCAACAGGCTGCCAGAGTATGTTCTACAAAATGCTGGCTCTTCTCACTATGGAAAACTTAGTCCCCTTTTGAAGCAAAGAGTAATTTACTGCTTTTTGTTTGCTTGTTTGTTTCAAGACGAGGTCTCACTCTGTTGCCCAGGCTGGAGTGCAGTGGCGAGATCTTGGCTCACTGCAACCTCTGCCTCCCAGGCTCAAGCAATCCTCCCACATCAGCCTCCTGAGTAGCAATTTACCGCTCTTATTGCAAATGGTATCCCACATCATTCAAAATGTTGCTATATCCTCAATGATGAATGCATAAACAAACTGTGGTATATACATACAATGGAATACTAGTCAGCCATAAAGAGGAACAAAGTACTGATGCATGTTACAACAGAAACATACCTTAAAAACATTATGCTAAGTGGCCAGGCTCAGTGGCTCACACCTATAATCCCATCACTTTGAGAGGCTGAAGGCAGGTGGATCACTTGAGGTCAGGAGTTTGAGGCCAGCCTGGACAACATGGTGAAACCCCGTCTCTACTAAAAATACAAAAATTACCCAGGCATGGTGGCAGGCGCCTGTAATCTCAGCTACTCAGGAGGTTGAGGCAGGAGAATCACTTGAACCTGGGAGGCAGAGGTTGCAGTGAACCAAGATTGTGCCACTGCACTCCAGCCTGGGCAACAGAGTGACACTCCATCTCAAAAACAAACAAACCCATTATGCTGAGCAGCCAGACACAAAAGGTCACATATTGTATGATTCCATATATATGAAATACCCAGAACAGGTAAATCCATAGAGATAGAATGCAGATTGGTGGTTGCCCAGGGATGAAGTAGGGGGTCAGGGGAGGAAATGGGTAGCAGCTGCTTAATGGGTATGGGGTTTAGGGGTGATGAAAATGTTTTAGAATGAGATAAGGTGGTGGTTGCACAACACTGTAAATGTATTGACTTGTTCACTTAATTTAAAATGGTTAATTTTGTTACGTGAATGTCACCTTGAGAAAAAAAGTTTTTAAATGTAGCTGCAGTTTACTACAATTATAGCAGACTATTTCAAACTACTGGCTGGGCCTGGTGGCTCACGCCTGTAATCCCAGCACTTTGGGAGGCCGAGGTGGGTAGATCACCTGAGGTCAGGAGATAGAGACCAGCCTGGCCAACATGGCAAAAACCCATCTCTACTGAAAATATAAAAATTAGCTGGGTGTGGTGGTGGGCACCTGTAATCTCAGCTACTCAGGGGGCTGAGGTGGGAGAATCGCTTGAACCTGGGAGGCAGAGGTTGCAGTGAGCTGAGATAGCGCCACTGCACCCTATCCGGGGCGACAAGGGTGAAACTGTCTCAACAACAATAAAAAAAAACTACTGTGTAAAAAACAGTATTTCTAGATTACTGGATTGCCTACTTTTTGATGACTTTGTATCCTTGTTCGCTTAAAAGATGATGAAAAGTCACAATTATTATTTTTGGATTAATTAGTCACAGCTTATAGACCAAGTCCATGTCCAATGGTACAGAGCAGCCTGCTACCTATTTTTGCACATAAAGTTGTTTTTTTGTTTTAGGAACTTGGCTGTAAAGTGCATATAAAGGTGCGTTGGAACACAGTCACAGTTACAAGTTGACTGGCTGCTCTGGCACATAGCTGAGTAGTTGAGACAGACAGAACACAAAGACTAAAATCTGTGCTATCTGGCCCATTCTAGAAAGTATGCTGATCCCTAGTTTAGAGCCACAATGAATTACCCAGATTTTGTGCTTAGTTCATCAGATATGATTAAATTCTCAGTAAATGAATTGAAAGTTTAAATTACAATGTATCGTTGCTGCCCATCCTCCAAAATTCTGTGTCCCTTGGAGGCCTTAGAGACACTGCATTAGATATTTTATCCAAAAAAGTTGCTTAGGCCTTTTCATTACATGATGACTTCTAAAAGAGATAGTCAGTGGAGTCTTAGTCTTGTTTTTTTTTGAGAGAGGGTTTTGCTCTATCACCCAGACTGGAGTGCAGTGGTGCAATCACAGCTCACCGCAGCCTCAACCTCCTGAGCTCAAGTGATCCTCCCACCTCAGCCTCTCAAGTAGCTGAAACCACAGGCATATACCACCACACCTGGCTAATTTTTCTATATTTTTTTTTGTAGAGATGGGGTTTCATCATTTTACCCAAGCTGGTCTCAAACTCCTGGGCTCAAGCAATCCTCCCACCTTGGCCTCCCGAAGTGCTGGGATTACAGGGGTGAGCCACCAAGCCCAACATAGAGTCTTCCTCTAGTACACATTCCATTTTACTTCAAAAACACTTTCTATGTTAGCTGTGAAGCTTCTACCCAAAGAATTGTATTGAACCTGAATATGTAATATTACGTAAACAACCAATACATTTTCCTTTTCAGTGTTGAATTGTTTCAGCTCTATTAGTGAACTCTGGCACCATACCGCCAGGTTTGAATCCTGGCTCTGTGATTTTAATTAAATTAAGTAAAGTTATTTTAATCTCCCTGTACTTTAGTTTCCTCACCTGTAAAGTGAGAATGAAAATAGATTCTACCTCACATAGGACTGCTGTGATGATTCAATGAGTTAGTATCTGTACAACATTTAGAAAGTGCCAGGCAAGCTGGACACAGTGGCTCACGTCTGTAATCCCAGCACTTTGAGAGGCTGTGGTGGGAGGATTGTTTGAGGCCAGGAGTTCAAGATCAGCCTGGGCAACAGGGCAGGACCTCACCTCTACAAAAAATTTTAAAACATTAGCCAGGCATGGTGGTACATGCCAGTAGTCCCAGCTAGTTGGGAGGCTGAGGCAGGAGGAACATTTGAGCCCAGGAGATAGAGGCTGCACCACGGCACTCCAGCCTGGACAACAGTGAGCCCCTGTCTCTTTATTTTTATTTATTTATTTATTTATTTATTTATTTATTTATTTAAATTTTTTTGAGCCAGGGTCTCACTCTGTTCCTCAGCCTCCCAAAGTGCTGGGATTACAGACGTAAGCCACCACACTTGGCCCTGTCACTTTTTAGAAAAGAAAGAAAAGGAAGTGCCAGGCAAATAGTAATTGTTAACTTTCATCATCATCATCATCATCATCAAACACATCTTGATTTACCTTTCACTTGAATAAATAATTTTTCGTGCTGATATTTGTGTGAGGTGACTTCTTCCTTGGACCTGTTAACAATCGACAGGCTAGAAGTTGGCAAAAGTGGTTCACAATGATCTGATGCTGGGGTGCAGGCTGATTTTCTTTTTCCTGTGTATCTTCTACCAGGTGCTTGGGCAACTGCCTTCCTAGACAAGTCATTATCTTCAGTGGGCCCAGCGGGAGAGCTGACTTTAGTTAATGAGAGAAGTTTCTGAGAGGTTCTTGAACTTGGTTGTCCTGTGCATGTGCCAGACATCCTAATTTCACTTTGGTCAGTTTCCTCATTGGAAAGGTTTAAATTTTTACTTGCATCCTTATTTTTATTTTTAAACCCTTTTTTCTTGACATCCAAATGACTCTGAATGACAGCCTCCACGGCTACTTTCCTCTGGCAATTGGACATGCTTCGTGTTGTTCTAACATAATATTCTGCAGGAAACAGAAGGCCTTCAGGCACTGTGCAAGAATGTTTTTCTGCAGAAAGAGGAGAGGTTGCTTCCAGGCTAAGACTCTTAGGTTGACTTAGAATCTCACTTTCCTGAAGATTTTCATTCCTGCCATCAAGAGTGTCACTGGGAGATTTTAAAGATTTCTCTGTTTGATTTTGTTCTTTTAAGTTTTGGTTTTCATTTGCTGGTAAGTTATTGTAGGTGAGTTCATTTAGAGAACATGAAATATTTGCCTCTAAATTAGAACTTGTGGGCAGTTGGCCACTTTTACTTATAGCTTTATTTACAAGGAGGTTATCTGTAGAGACAGTCATTTTTTTGCCTTGTGCCTCCAAACTTACAGGTGAAGTAAATCTAATGTTTTTTAGGTCGTGAGTAGTAAGTTCACTGCTACCTTTAGGAGGAATGTGTTCAAGGTGCTGACTACTACCGCTATCTGATAGAGTCTGTAAAGGAACTGTAGTCGCCCTGGTGAAATTAGGTCTTCTTAGGAATGTATCAACACCTTTTTCTGGTTGGGCAGTTGGTGGAATTAATACACTGTCTTCATTAATTTCTGTAACTGGTTCTGGAGAATCTGGAAGTTCAGATTTAAGACTTAAAAGGTGAGTTCTTATTTCAGTTACTGGTGATCTAGCAGGATTTTTGCTACTGATTTCTTCCTGTTCCTTTAGTCTTTTCCCAGACAATCTGAGTGAATCAGTGCCAAAGACACAGTCTCTCTCCTGTGAAATAAATGTCCTCTTCTGCTGCTTCTTTCTTCTGCTTGGCAGCTTCTGCTTTTGCTCACCACTAGGGTCACTGACCCTGTGGGGAAAATGTTCTTGGGTGTCATCTGTTCTTTGTATAGGTAATCCTCCTGGGCCATCTCCAGGGTTAAAGGACTCAGGCCCAACATCAAGTGTGATAGATGTCTTTTCTCCAGTTTCTTCATCAAGATGGGTTTTGATGTGTAACTTGTCATAAACACATATTTTATTTTTAGGTTCTGAGGAGGAAAAAAATGTATATAACTTATATTTTTCTTATAAAATAAAACAAAAAATACTCATTTTTAACCTATTATATATAAATACTACTAAACATTTATTTAAGAAAGAATCAGTGACATTTCATTCAGGCAGATGAATTTACAGGTGAAATAAACCTATTTTTTAGGCTGTGAGTAGTAAGGTCACTGTTACCTTTAGGAGGAATGTGTTCAAGGTGTTGACTACTTCTACTATCTGATGGAGTATGTAAAGGAACTGTACATACTCCATACTGTACATATTTTTAAAAGTTCTGATTTTTTAAATTCTAATAATCTATGAAATTTTAAGTACATATAAACAAACAGCATTGTGCTAAAAATGTTTTTTAAACGAACAGAGTATTCTTTATCACACAATCTCTTCTCTTAACTTCTAAATCTCAACTAGTTTTCTATCTCATGTATTTCTTTCTTTATTTTCCCCCTTGGCTCAAGTAATTTTAATAACACTCCCATTTCAATAACCCCTCAGTTTTATGATTATAAATTACTTGAATGTAAACATCAGAATTGATCATTGTTTTTAGAATATTTTCACCTAGAATTTTTCTCTGTTCATATATACTTACATTTTTAAAAAAAACCTTTCACTGGGCACGGTGGCTCACACCTGTAATCCCAGCACTTTGGGAGGCTGAGGCAGGCAGATCTCAAGGTCAGGAGATCAAGACCATCCTGGCCAACATGGTGAAACCCTGTCTCTACTAAAAATACAAAAATTAGCTGGGCGTGGCGGTGTGCGCCTGTAGTCCCAGGTACTCGGGAGGCTGAGGCAGGAGAATTGCTTGAACCCAGGAGGTGGAGGCTGCAGTGAGCTGTGATTGAGCCACTGTACTCCAGCCTTGATGACAGAGTGAGACTCTGTCTCAAAATAAAAACAAAACAAAACAAAAAACCTTTCTAATATTTAAACAATAAATATAATTTCTGAAAATTGAGAGGGAAAAAGAGCAAGAGAGGGAAAAAGAATAAACAGTCTAACTGAAAATAGAGACTATAGATTTTACGGCATATGAATTTTATGTTAATTAGAATATATTGCAGCCGGGCACAGTGGCTCACACCTGTATCCCAGCACTTTGGGAGGCCCAGGCAGACAGATCATTTGAAGCCAGGGGTTCAAGACCGGCCTGGCCAACATGGCGAAACCCCATCTCTACTAAAAATATAACAATTAGTCAGGTGTGGTAGTGCACGTGCCTGTAGTCCCAGCTACTCAGGAGGCTGAGGCACGAGAATCACTTGAGCCTGGGAGTTGGAGGTTGTAGTGAGCCAAGATTGTGCCACTGCACTCCAGCCTGGGTAACAAAGAGTGAGACTCTGTCTCAAAAAAATAAAATTAAAATTAAAATTAAAATTAAAGCGTCTATTGCTAGTCATTATCTTCACACTGTGGGAAAAAGAACAATAGCCAAAATATACCTGGGAAATGAATAATAAAGCAGGCATAAGTGAATGGTCTAGATTTACCTGAGTGTTTTAGCTGCGGTGAGAGATCCTGCTGAGACAAACAATCTTGTTCTTCTACTGTTTTCTTAATAGAATGCTTAATCTTTTCAGCTCTTTGGGCACGCTAGAGGAGACAAAAACAGCCCCAGAAATACGTTTTCTTTAAAGTTTTA